>NC_000011.10:124445151-124748182 GCF_000001405.40 Homo sapiens | reverse complement strand
AGCTGTGGCAGGGAAGCTGTTTGCAGGACTGCCCTGCCCCTCCTCATATTTAATAAAGTTTACTTTTCTGTTCCGAAGGTATTTTCATATATTTTAACCACCTGGGAGTAGTAGTGGCTTGTAGATGCCAGGAAATGGATTTGTCCTGAGCAGTCAGCTGAGTTCAATTCTTCTGTGGAGGAAATCAGGAAAGGGGAGGGGAAACTGCCTCTGTCATCCACTTTAGCTGCCAGTCAGGGTCTAGGATAGGGATCAGAGCAACATTTCTCCAGGTGGAGTCCTCAGATTACCTGGACAGAAATCACCGGGAACTAGTTATACATTCAGATTCAGGCCACTTCTAGCCTTCCTGTAGTTGTGCGTTGGGGAGTGATGAGGCCCAGAAATTTCATTTTAACCAAAGTTCCGCAGATTATTCTCAAGCACAGTGAAATTTAAGAGTCCCCAGGTTAGAGGACGGCCCTCCTCCGCAGGAGGCTTCTACTGTTCACTCAGAACTTGCCTATACCCATCAGGGAGGATGCCATCGCTCCTGGGATCTCTGAGCACACTTGTATGAGGGCTGATTCTAGCAAGGGGTTCCTGGAAAGACCCTCGTCTGCCAGCACCGTGACGACCACCAAGTCCAAGCTCCCTATGGTCGTGTGACTTCTCCCGATCCCTGAGGGCGGTGAGGGGGAATATCAATAATTAAAGTCTGTGGGTACCATACTGTCTCCTTCTTCTTTCTGCTGGTATGGCGAATTCCTCTAGGCGGCTCAGAGTATTAACAGTAAGAGAAGGAATGGGCTTGAAGTCCGAGAAAAGGTAGGCAGGAAGTTTGGTCGGGTCAAAGGGGTGGGTTTCAACCTAGGTGCCCCTCCACTTCACCCCACCAGCCCCCGATTGTTGGTTTCTGGTTTGGCCCAAGGAGGCTTGTTCAAGTTGCAAGCGGAGGCCTTGTGCACCCAAACTCCCTCCCCCGGCACCCTCTGAACACTTGGACATTCCTCTTTATTGTTCACATTCCAACCCAGCACAGTCACATGCACACACGGAGATCAGAAACCTTTCGGCCACAGCCCCAGGAGCCCGGCGGGGGGGAGGGCGGGACCGACAGGGGCGGGGCGGGGCCGTGGAAGACTCCTCCTACCGAGCCTCCCAGGCGCTCGGCGTTTGCATAAACAAGAGAGCTGGAGAGGCTGCCCTCAACAGTGCGCTGGGGAAAGGGGAGGGAACGTGACAGGCAGGTGTGGGATAGGGACTTCTCTTCCGGTCAGAGCAAGGGTCGTCCGAAACCAAAACAACCCTCTTCCCTTCATCTCGCCCCGGATCCAAAGTCTTGGGGCTAGGCTGGGGCGGGAGTGGCACGGAGATGTAGGGCGCCCCTTTTAGCTGCGCACAGAACGAAAGAACTCGTTTTTTCTTTAAGTGAGTGTGCTTGGGTGACGCTTAGGGCGCCCTCCGCAGTGCGCGCAGGAAAGCGCACTGAGGCTGCGGAGGCAGAGCTGCATGCTGGGTGCGGGAAGAGGTGGGCGAGAAGCAAAAGAAGGAAGATTGGGAGCGCATGGTTTAGGGTGGGGTGGAGTGGAAGGGCAAATGGGGACCATACTAGACTGCAGAACTAACTAAAAGGGCACGGACTCAGCGACTCCGCGACGGAGCCTGCCTGGGTGAGGGAGTCTCTGGGACGCAGGGGGCTCCTGTAGCTGGCAGGTTGCTGGGCAGGAGGGGGTCACAAACACGGCAGGGAAGTCTCGTCGCTGCGAAGGGGACGCGGCATCCATCTCTCCTCGGGAACTGAGGAGAGAAAAGGTCTGAGAACCTGCCCTCTTCTGCTACTTCCTCTTCCCCCCACCCTTCCCCCTTTCAGTACCAGGATTCTTTGGGCGGTGAGTGCCAGAGGGCCCCAGTCACCCAGAACCCCCACCCCGAGTCAAAGCGCTGAAATGAGCCCCGCGGCAGGTACGTGTGCGCGCCGCGATGTATTTCTGCCCCTTGGCCGGGCTTGTGCAGCCAAATGGGGTGGCTGCGCATGTCTTGGTCCAGGTATGTCCCCGTCGCAGCCTCGGGCGTCTGGATGTATCAGAAAACCCGCAGGGGCAGGGTGCATTTTCCCCGGCTGGGAGGGGTGAGGGTGGGCAGAGGGAAGGGCTGGGGATTCGATCCTTTTCTCCCACTCACGGGTCCCACCCCGCCGCCTAGGGGCCGTGTTCATTACCTTTGAAAATGCTCAGTTCTTCTTCGGTCCAGGGCGGGGCAGAAGGGAGGATGCAGAGGGAGAAACAGGTGAGCTCCTGGAATCCGCGCAACCTTCAGCCTCTTCCCACCCACCTCCCATCTCGGATTTCTATCCCCCAACCCTTAGCTCCCTCCACGCCCCCTGCACCTCCAACCCGCCCTTATTCTCCCCCTGCTCCTGGGGAGGGCTGGGGAAGGGCAGCTGTCAGCCAGCCGCGCGCCGCCCGCCTCACCTGGCCTAGTCTCCGCTGGGGCCGCCGCCCGCGCCTCCCCGGGCCACCCCAGCTCCGCCAGGCCCCCCAGGGCCCGGGCCCTTCCGGCCGCGCTCTCCGCTCTTTATCTTCTTCCGCGCCATGTGGCCCCGAAAACTCGCCTGGATTTTGGCGGCGGCCGCGTTGGCGCCGGGATCGTCCAGCGGGATGTCTAGAATGTCGTCGTCCGGCTTGGAGCAGGCGTTCTCCTGGGGGCGAAGCAGGGGGGTTCTTGTGGGGTCACTGGGTCTTGATCCGCGGGAGTGGGGTAGGAATAGAGCCCTGAGGGACAGGGACTATGGCGACGCGGGGGTGGGAGGTACAGAGAGGGGTGTCGAGCCTGGAGCAGGGCTATGGCAGGGACACTCACTGGGGCATGGGCAGCGACAGGCGAAGAAGGTTCAGGGCCAGGTGGACAGTCATGTCTCAATTCAGGAAAGAGAAGTGCAGGCAGGATTGGGTGCGGGAGAGCCAGGCCCATCACCAGCACCGAGTTAGGGGTCTGCAGAGCTGATTGGAGGGTGGGTTTGGAGGGGCAAGGAAAACAGCAGCAGGCACTCCTGGAGTGGCCGCCTGTCCCCCTGCTCTCAGAGGGTACCTCCAGCTCAGAAGGACCCAGTCTGAGTCCAGGGTTTTCCGTGGAGAGGATGGAGAAGCCTCAGTCCGCCAGCCCTCTCCCCAGTAGAAATGCAGAAAGCTCACAGCTGGAATTAGGGAGAGGATGGGGATACTAGTCAGTGAGCCAGCCTCCCCCGACCTAAGGCTAGAGGCCCAGAGATTGTTTTCCCATTGACTCTTCATTTTCCACTGCCCAAGGATGAACTCAAACACAGGAGATAGGAGATGATTTGGATGAAGTGATAAAGAAAAGGCTTCACTCCAAGAAAAAAAAGAAAAAGAAAAGAAAATGAAAAGACCTGCAGGAGCAAGAAGCCCTTTCCAGGGTGTGCTTATGAGGAAGAAGGGAATTATGGTGATAGCTACCACTTAAGCACTTACCTTGTTCCAGGTGCAATAACGGTGTTTTACAGGCATTATTTTATTTAGTCCCCCAAAATAAAGCTATTACGTACCTTTTTATCATTACCCCTAATAAAACTAATGATTAGACTGTTTAAAAACCTACCTGGGTCATACGGACAGTTACCAGTGGACCCAAGATTCAAACCTTTGTATTTCAGAGTCCAGAATATATATTTTTACCCCTACTTTGTAGGATAAGAAAATGCAGCCCAGTCAACCAGCCAAGGTCTACCATTTGCTATAGGTGTGTGGCCTTCGGCAAGTTATCTAATCTTTTCCTATCTCAGCTCCTTCCTCTAAAATATCAGGATAATGGTATCCACCTCTATGGGTCGTGGGGAAGAATAAACAGCATGATATGCATAAAGTCTCTTGCACAACCTAGCTGCTCAATAAATGGTAGCTTTTATGCTTGTCTTAAAAATAACATTAAGTTAATGTGAAATAGTCATTTTTGTAGGCCAAAAGTGGTCATATAATAACAATTTCATATGGTTCAACCTAATAATAATCAGGCCCACCTCTATGCCCCAAACTAGGTTTCTGCTTCTCTGACAGCCTGCCCTGGCTGAAAGTAGAAGGCGTGAGGGGATTGATGGTATAGATTGCAGAGGAAAGGCTATGGAACGGAGAGGAATTCAGCCTCTGAGCCCTTTTGTTGCATTAACATTACTTGCAGTATTAGTGTGGGTCAGGATGGGGATGGTTACTATGAAGTTAGAAGGACATTTCTCCTTTGATCTGGCTCACTGGCTTCTAGGAATTTGCCTCCTTCTTTTTTTTTTTCTTTTCATGAAGTCTTCCACTGCTTTGACTATCTTTTTCTTCTAGGACACGAGATGACCAAGGTTTCACATAATAATGGTAATTCAGTTCTGCACATTAGCTCTCCCTGCCATCATCCATCCGGTTCATAGAAGTGGACAGGATATGAGGAAGGCTTCAGTGATCACTGTCCTAGCCAGATTCTGCCCCAGGACCACAAGCTTAAACTCCAGATGCCCAAGCCCCGGCTTATAAATGGTTCCCCTCGCCATGTTTCCCAAGGTTAGCCTCATTTCCTGGGCTTCACATTCTTCAATTCGTGCTCAAGATGCCCATAATCGATTTAAACACAGTTAAAAGGAGTTACATTTTGGTAGAAGAGTCAAAAAAACAGAAAGAAAAAAAGAGTTACAAAAAGGCAGGTATGGTTGTGGAAAGGCCAAACACAGGTCTAGGGTGCTCAGAAAAGACTCCTTTGGAATGTTTTATTCTTAGAGCTCAAGTCTTTCTTGGGATATCCTCAGGGAACAGTGAGGCTTCTTCTCAAGAGGGTGACAACCATAAAAAAGCATTCCTGACCTACCTTTCCTCCTTGGCCTCGCAGCTGTGGAGGAGTGGGAAGGTTGAGTGGAGGAAGGGATATCTGCCTCCAACCACGCTAGACCCGACCTGCTGTCACCGCCCGCCCCAGCTGGATCCAGAATGGAAACCTGGAATAGCAGGCAAAGCCACCCCCGACACTCCATGTTCCTCCCCAGAACCAGCTCCCTCTCCTACCAGCTGAATTTTCAGGACAGAGCTGCCAGGTGGCCAGTCCACAGGTGGAAGTGGAAGGAGATTGAAAGGACCTGGGAAGAGGTTCATTGGTCATGGTGCCTGGCTGGTGCTTTCCAAAGCCAAGGTTGCTGGTGTGTGCCTGACAGTTCCATAGGAAGTAGGGACTTCTGGGAGGGAGGAGGAGGTGGAAGGTGCCCTGGTCAGCAAAGTGGGGTCCAAGCCTTCTAGTCCCAACTGGGCACATCACTTCATCTCTGAGAGTCTCATTTTCTTCAGCCACAACTAATGAACAAAGTCTCCTTCAGCTCCCAAATCCGAATAGCTTTAAGGATATCCCCTGCTTGCTGCTTGTTATTATGTCAGGCCCTGTGCTAAGCGCTTTGCATATATTACCTCATTTAATCCCCATTTTGGAAGTCAGGAAACAGCCTCTGAGACATTTTGTAACTTAGCTAAGGTCACTCAGTTGACAAATAGTGAAGTGATGGGATTCAGTAGCCTCTGCTGCTAGCCACTGCCTCAGGGCAGGTAATTATTTCTATGAATTCAGCAGGGCCAAGCCAACTAGACTAAGCAAAAGAAATGAGGATCCAAAAAAATTCATGCGCTTTTTCATGCGCGGTGAATGCAGGAAAAGTCATATATATATATGGCTATGTAAATCAGCAACTGCAATATTTGAATCAGCATGAATAAAAAACCATTCCTCTGTCTCTTAAAAAAATAGGCAGATCTGTTTTCTTCTTCCTCATTTCTATCTGAGCCTCTGTACCAAGGAGAAACGGGAATAAGACAGGACTAGATTCTTCCCAAACACCAGGTGATGCGGTCAGTGAGGAGAGCTCCAGAATCAAAAGATGAAGAAGGACCTGCCTCTAGCCCCCAAGAGGTATGCTGTTCTTCCCACACATCTCAGCTCTCTCCCAGCACTGAGTCCAGCCCTCCACAGAAAGGGGAGGAAAATGCCCACCCCTAGCCCTGCCCTTCCCCAACCCTCCACACATCACTCCTTCTTCTTCCTGCCCTCCTGCACAGTCTGATAATGGTGCTCTCTCTTGCTCAGCCCTTTAGCCCTGCAGACCTAGGACAGGGCATGACTTGGGAAGGCTCCTGTGCACAGGGTGCACTGGAGGAGGTGCCCCAGGCCCTGGGCCATGGAGATAATTGTGTATCTGCTTCTCTTTTACCTTTTGGGTGGGTAGCCTCTCCTTTTTTAAGGGACACTGACTTCAACCATGTCTACTAATCCCTCAGTATGGCTCCCTGGGCACTCAAGAGCAACAGTTCCAGGCAGGGACCCCCACATCCTACTCTAATTACTACTGCAGACACAGAGGAGACCAATTCCATTCCTTCCCTGGCCTCTTGGATTCTTTGTTTACTCACCTCTTTCCAGTGACCACGTCTCCCACTTCCCCTTCCCCAGCAATACTCCCCTGTCATCCTCACCTCTCCCCTCCCCCCAGCTCATTTCCCAGAACCCACCATCCATTTATCTTCTCTACTTTATACAACACTGCTGGGAGGAAGGGCTCTTCCTCAGTGGAGCCCAGGAACCTCCATGAGGAGCCCATTTCTCCCTTCACAACCAAAAAATTGCTTCCTGTAGAATAACAAGCAGAGGGAAAAGGCTGGAAGGAGATATGTTATCGGGGTGTTCTCCAGGGGGTGGGACTGTAGGTGACTGACATGTTTGTTTTTCATACTTTTCTCTAGGTTTTACGTTTTCTATTATGAGCAGATTACTTTTATAATCAGTAAATATTTAGAGGAGAGGTTAAACCACAGCTCTTCGAAGAAGACAGGGCTATGTTTGAATCCTGCCTCCACAGTTAGGAGTCATGCTTCCTTGGAAAAATCTAACTTTCTAAACCTCAGTTGGCACATCTGTGAAATAATACCTACTTCACAGGGTTGTTGCTATGATTAAATATAAAGTGCTGGCTACAGGGCAGGCATTCACAAACTGGCAACTATTACTTAAACTAATAAGAGTTAAAATCGCAACCACCACCACTTGCCCCTAAGTGTTCTCTGCCTCTTGGTACCCAGACATGGGAAAGTCTCACCTATTATAGAACTGGGCTATCCTTCCCTTCCAAAGCCCACTTTTTTTTTCTTTACTATGCCATAAGGTGGCAAAGTCAGTAACCTCGTGTATCATTAGCTGGTTGACTGAATGACTGAAAATACAAGGACTTTGGAATAGTCTTTCTCCAAGTGCAGAGGCAAAAAATAAATAAGCAAACAAATAAATTTCATATACGTATGATCACTGTACTCTTCCAGTGAGGCAGGAGCCAGGGCCTATGCCAGGCGCTTTCATACCGAGTCACCTTTACAGCAAACCCCTCGGGCGCTGGGCACTTGCAGTACCCAGGTTTCCGCGTGGGCGCTGACAAATTGCAGACACTTCCTTTCCTCGCCAGCAGGGCTCTCTCGCGGTCACTTCACCCAGCCCCTTCCGAGCGAGAAGGCCTTGGGGGCCGGGACAACCCCTCCCCAGAACCACCCTGACTAGGCTCTTTGCAGCCAGCATCACTACCGAGCTAACCAATATGGACCAGCCTGCGCTGCACAGGGCGCTTAGGCGATCGTTGGAGGGTCATGAGGATCAGCCTGTCCGCCCACCGACGGCGGCGCAGTGGGATGGGGAACGGGGTGGGGGCCGAAAGACGGGAGGAAGGAGTCGCTGCAGTGTCTCCAGGCGATGGTTGCCAGCGTCTCACTGGGGAGGAAGTTCCTCCTGTCATCCAACCCGCAGTTCCCCTCTTGCAGAGCCCTGCCGAGCTCCCAGTCCAGCCTAGGCTGTCTAACGGATGGGCGCTCAGACGCCCCCGCGAGTTGAGGAGCATTTTTCCTAGGGCTTCCAAGTCGGGCGGGCGCCTTCCACCATCCACCACCCACGTCTCGGCAAGGACCCCTTTTCTTTCTGCTCCTAGGTCTTCCGCATCCACTTCCATCCCTCTCTCGCCCTCCAGGGCTTTCTCAGGCGCCTCTCGCAGCGGACCCCGCCAAGTGCCCCTCCCCCGGGCCCTCTAACTTACGGTGCAGCAGTCCATGCTGGTGTCGGGGGGTCCTCTGCGGGGACGAAGGCTGGCGCAGGGCGGGGGTGGGGTCTGTGTGGTGCCGGGTGGGGGCTCTGGGGCAGTCGGCCGCCAGCCGACCCGCGCCGAAACAGCAGCTCTGCTCTCGGGTCCGGTCTCCCGCGCTCGGCTCCGCTCGCGAATGTAACCTGAGCCCCGCGGCCGGGAAGCCAATCAGGAGCAGCCTCCGGCAGGGTGGGCGGGGAGAAGTGGAGGGAGGGCCACGCCCTCTCGCGGCTCTCTGCGCCGCGCTCCCGCTCCTGCCCCAGCCCCTCCGCCTACACGCTTGTATCCAAGCCTCCTACACACTCCATCCTCCCGGGCGCAATCCCCTGGCTTGCTAGGCGGCAGACTGCCAGGCAGATGTACGCCGGAGTAGGCAGAAGGAGGCCCCCGACACCCCGAGCACAAACACCCACATCTGGGCACAGCACCTACTCCCGCTCAGAGAAAACCACGCACCCCTCACCCATCCCTCCATACTTCCACAACCTAGCAGGAGTCCCAAATATGGCTCCCTTTCACTTCACTCCCCCTCAGTCCGCAAAGAAAGGCTCCCTAACGGGCGGTAAAAAGGTCTCATCATCACTCCTGCTACAGACGGAGAAACCTGTTGGTACAACCTGGCGATGGGCATGCGTCCACACAAAAGCTCACAAGCCCCACATGTCCACATATGATTTTCCCAGGCCTTCTTCCAGCATACAGACACTGCAGATACAACCTGCAAAAATAACTACGCAGCCCTTCAGTTGCAGGTAAATGCGGACACCCTGTTGCGGGCGCCCGCGCGCTCACGCACGCACACGGACAGTCACCCAACTCAAGCTGTCGGCATGACGTATCTATTATCGATCTGTCTACATGAGCTGCAACAAACAACATCATATATGCACAACACCTATTTTGTATGTATTTATATATGGGCACAGACTTGGAAGAAGTATCCTCCTCCCTTTCATACCAGACTCTGCCTAACCTTTTGATCTGCTGCCTCAGAATAAGACAAAAGCTGGCCATCCTCGCCCTTGCTCCTGAGAAGAAGAAAAATACCCTAAACCCAAGTGTAGAGAATTCGAAGTAATTGGCTCTTGGGTCCATGATGAGGCAGGATGTGGGCTTCGTGAGAGGCTGGGAAGGGGAGCTATGGAAAGAGCATCTGGGAGGGACAGACTGCCACTGTTGTGGTCGTCAGCCTCCCCCAACTCGGCAGGGTACAAAAGCTGGCAGTGTGGCTTGTTATGTGGGTAGGGTAGGCCTTCTCTGAGAAAACTAGAAAGTCTTCTCAGCTAAGGTCCCAGAGAAGGGAAGGAGGAAAGGATGGCTCCTGCTGGGAGCAAAGGTGGGAAATGCCCTGTGGCTCTGGTTGGGACAGCAGATCCTGAGACAGCTCTGCTGTGCATCCCCAGTCCCTGGCCATGACCAGGGACCACGTGGCGGTGACATGCTTCCTTTCCACCTAGATGTTTGGGCCCGAGGCTCTGCTTGCCAAAGGAAAAATGAGTGGGAGAGAAATGCCTGAGTCCATTCAGGGTGGGGATAAGGTTAGCCAGCTTGGGGTCCCAGGCTGAGCTGGATGCTGGCCGGGATTCCAGGGCTTGGGGTGTAGGGGTGTCTCTCCCAGCATGTTTGGGACCCACCCACTTTTGTAAAAAAAAATCTGTTCCCCAATCTGTCTCTGGCACATCTTTCATCTCCCCACCTCCTCCAAGTGGCCAGATGTCCTGGGAACTCAGGCCCTTGCCTAAATGACACGCACATCTGTGGCCTTCTGTTGTGCCAATTCCTGCTGGACTTCAACTCCAGAATCCAGAGAGGAGAGGAAAGGGGGAAATTGGGGGACAGAGTGGATACCAGGCCTAGACTCTGTGCTTTTCTCTTCCCAAATTAGAGCTGAGGAATTCGGGATTTGGTGAGTTTGCAGTCAAGTCTCCCAAGTTGCTAGGCAACATCCCTCTGCAGACTGCGCTGCCTCTGGGCCCTTCTTCCTGCTGGTCAGAACTGAAGGGGGGGTATCTTTACAACACCCCCCCCACCAACTCCCACACAGGCAGCACAGCCCTTCCCTCTTCCTGAAGGACACCTTTGTGTGGGGTGAGGGTGTCTCTGAACACTGGAGGGCCCATAGGAGAACAGATACGGCAACTGTCAGTTCCATCCGCAAAGCAACCATTTCAGCAACAGCCCACTCAAGGCGCCTACGCAGAACTGGCCACAGTGCTGGCCCTGGGGGATGGGCAGGCTCTGAGGTGAGGAAAAGACAGAGAGGAAGGCAGAGCCTGAGATGAGAAGACAGACACTCACAAACTCAAATACCAGTGGCAGGAGCAGTAACACATATGGCCTCATAGAAATTACACACACAGACCCAAAGATGCAGACACACACACTGCCCACACACCCAGAGACACACACCCTGCACGGGTTGTCACCCACTGACATCCAAAGACATGCTCAGCGTGGGCCCCTTAACCACTGTGGGGCCAAGGCACCCACTAGCGCTGGGGAAAGGTCCCTCTTCTGAGCCTCTAGGTGGCTGGGGTTTGTCAGCAAGGTGGGCTGGTGGGACTCAGCCTGTGATACTCAAATAGGTGAGCTAGGACAAAGGACAGATGCAGTAAGGGATGGCTGGGTCTGCCTCTGCAGGCTCTGGTCTTTGGCAGAATGATGCCAAGTTATACTCCCCATGGTAACCTGCCTGGCCTAGGGCCTGGGTGCCACCGGTCAACATTTGGAGTATGACCTACTGTCCAGATGGGCTTGGACTCGTAGTTGTTCTTGACTTTTCAAATTTTAAAGCTTCTCATCTACAGTCTCCAGCCCCCATAGCTACTGAAGGAAAACTGCTGGCCTGGAAAGGAGATGAGCTCTGGAAGGGAATGGCCAGGTTAGGGAGGCAACTGGGGCATGTTGGTGGGTGCCGTGGGATGGAGCCAGCAGGAAGCATGGAGATGACAGGGGTGAGGAATAGAAGCCAAGGCAGGTGAGGGATAGACAAAAGAGAGGATAAAAGATGGATTAGTGGGAAGCTCCTGTGGTCCAATACAGATTCTTCTTGGGACAGATGGAAGGGGATTTGGAGAGGGTTGGTCCTAGTAAGCAGGCAGAAAAGCCAAGGCACGTGACAATCTATTTCCCAATAACTTGTGGCTTCCCCTTCTCGGAGTGGGCACCTTCTGAACTTCACATCCTGGCTCAAGCCCGTGGAGGGACCCATAATCAGAAGGGGGCTAGAAAGTATGAGGCCTGTGTCTTTGGTGGAGCTGATCTGGGGGCTTCTTAGGTCAGGATTTTACCCATTTGAGTGGAGGGGGTGGAGGTAGCAGGAAATTCAGTTTTCTCTGCAAATATTTCAGCTTTTGCTGTTGTAGTATTTTTAGCAACCTGGTTGGCAGAGGAGGAGCCCGGGTACATTTTTAAAGGGGCCTCTGCCAGGCTGGAGGCCTCTTCCCACCCTCACCCCACATGTCAGGAAGGAGAGGGGGAGAAAGCACATGGCTTAAGGGGTCCATTCAAAGGTAGAAATCAGGTTTGCTGGACATTAGGTGACCGTTGAGTCATTTTCACCAGTAGTCATTTTGTTCTGTCATTGTCAGCATCATGATTGTTACCAGCATTATCAAGAGGAGTAAATATTTCTTGAACTTCTGCTATGTTCAGGGTGCTGCTAGAGAGGCAATACGGAAGGCTCGGTATAATATATTTGCTAAGATGGGGAAATAACCAATATTCTAGAGTGAGTTCTAGGCTAAATCTGAATAGCACTTTACAAAGTGCTACCACATCCATTATTTAAAGTGGTGCTCTCGAGAACAGTGTGAGGAGGTATTACTCTTTCTTTCTTTCTTTCTTTCTTTTTCTTTCTTTCTTTTTGAGACAGAGTCACACTCTGTCACCCAGGTTGGAGTGCAGTGGCACAATCTTAAGCAACCTCCACCTCCCAGGTTCAAGCGATTCTCCTGCCTCAGCCTCCTGAGTAGCTGGGATTACAGATGCTCACCACCATGTCAGGCTAATTTTTTTGTATTTTTAGTAGAGACAGGGTTTTGTCATGTTTGCCAGGTTGGTCTCGAACTCCTGGCCTCAAGTGATCTGCCTGCCTCAGCCTCCCAAAGTGCTGAGATTACAGGCATAAGCCACCGTGCCCAGCCTAGGAGGTATTGTTATTTCTAACCTCTTTTTCTGAGGAGGAAACTGAGGCTGGGAGAGGTTAAGTGACTTGCTATTTGTCCAGCATTAGATCTCTGAGGAAATGCAGAACTAGGACTAAAACCCAGGAGTTCTGACTTTGAATTCTGCATTTCTCCTGTACAGTGCTCCTAGCGTAAGCTAAGCAAATCAGACATAATCTCTTTTCTCTTGGATGTTGTAATCCGATGGAAAAAGTACATATATGTGCGTGTATAAAATAATGAATGATAGATACGAAAGGAATTAAGCAGACAGTAAATGTTCTGGGAGTTGAGGTGTGGAAGAAATGACTGAGAATTTGGATGGTCAAGGAAGCCTCCCTGGATGATGGTTTGAAGCAAGCATGAATCCAAAAGTATCTGAGACATGTATCAATCAATTTGGAGAGTTCATTTTGCCAAGGTTAAGGATGCACCTGTTGACACATCTTCAAGAGGTCCAGATGACATGTGCCCAAGGTAGTTGGGTATAAGCTTGCTTTACAAGTTTGTGCAAGGGGTACAGTTTGCTTTTATGCTTTTTAGGGAGACATAATACATCAATCAATACTTGCAAGATGTACCTTGGTTTGATCTGGAAAGGTGGGATAACTTGAAGCTGTGGTGGAGGGTGGTGGCTTCCAGGTTATAGGTAGATTTAAAATTTTTCTGATTGGCAATCAGTTAAAGGAGTTATTATCTAAAGACCTGGAATCAATAGAAAGGAAATGTCTGGCTTACCATGATAAGCAGAGTTTTATCATGCAGACAAAGCCTCCAAGTAGCAGGCTGCAGAGAGAATACATGGTAAATGTTTCTTATCAGACTTAATGTCTGTGTTGATGTTAATGCTGGTCGGCTTTTCCTGAATTCCAAAAGGGAGGAGGGTATAATGAAGCATGTCAGACCCCCTGCCTTCCCATCATGGCCTGAACTAGTTTTCCAGGTTAACTATGGAATGCCCTTGGTTGAGAGGAGGGGTTTGTTCAGATGGCTCAAGGGAGCCTTAGAATTTAATTTTTGGCTTACGCAAAAATACGACTTAGATAAGTGAAGAGGGCCAGGAGTGGGCAGAAGAGCATTTGAGGCAGGAGCAATTGTGAGCTATGCACCACACTTAGTGTCCCTGTGAGTGCATGCCATCCCAGCCCAGAAGGGCCCTGAGGTCAGCAATCCCAGTATCCTTCCTCTTACCCAGGGTTTTATGTCCAAAGCTCAGTGCTCTGAATTCATCTACAGTACCATAGCCCTGCTGCTCCTCAGAGCTCTAATGCACACCTGCCCCTTGCTCCTATAGATGTGCCAGGTGTCTGGATCCTCTGCCTTCATCCCATTTTTTCTAGGTCTCAGATGTAGTTCAAAATCCTGGATGCGGTAGCTCCTTATTCCTATTTTGCTCCAAACACCTACTTGTTCTTACCTTTCCACCTCCCTTTCCTCAGCTTGCTTCCCCACCTCTCCTAATGTGTGAAAGCTCTGATGGCTAAGCAATGTGTGTCCCTGCTGGGCCTGCACATCCTGCCTGCAAACATTAGACCAACACAATTTTTTTTTAATAACAAGGCACCAACCATTTGAATAACAAGCTCTAGAACAAACCTAATAATAAGCATTTCAGTGTTGGTTCAGACAACGACCTGTTTTAATTGATTTCTGCAAAAAGACTTACATGAGATGTAGTTTTTACCTTATTTCTTAGTCTATTTAAAGACGTTTGCTCCTTTTGTGGTTCTGCTGGATAGTCAGATCCAAGAAATTCCTGGTTTAACCAGCAATGCATGCCTGCTGAACCAAATGAGGTTTAAGCCATTCTCCCCAACATTGTCTACCTCTGGGCAGAAGGAAGGGGGAACTCTTATCCAGGAGAGCGATATTCTCTTAAAATCATCCAGAATGAGTGGCTCTTGCCTGCGTGTATGTGGTCAGCATCCCAGGCTCACACTTTTCCATGCTGATGCTCTCTTGGTCTGAGAGCTTGTACTGATTGTTCTAATCTGGATCCACTGGCTATGGCTATGTCATTAATTTGGCATCTAGTATTTATTGCCTCATATTAACACTTAAAAAACTTTTTTATTTTAGAAAAACTTAAACATATGCAAAACTAAATAAAGTAATGAACTCCACTGTACCCATCATCCACATTCAATAATTCTCAACTTATCATCAAACTTATTTAATTCATATGCCTTCTGATTCCCCCATTATCATTTCATTCATAAATATCTAAGTATGTCTCTCTGAAAAATAAGGACCCTTTAATGCTTACTTTTAAAGCATATGTTCATTAGCCTATACGTTCTGTGGGGAAACAGATTAGATTCTGAGGATCCAATGTACAATATGGCAGCTACAGTTAATAACACTATATTGTTTACTCGAAATTTGCTAGGAGAGTAGATCTTAAGTGTGATCAGCACACACACGTACACCAAAAATGGCACCTATGTGTAGTGATGGATGTATTAACTAATGTCATGTGCTAATCATTTCACAAAGTATACATATATTAAATCATCCCACTGTACATTTTGAATATATACAATTTTTATTTGTCAATTATACCTCAATAAAACCTGAAAAATATAAAATGAAGGCTGGGCATGGTGACTCATGCCTGTAATCCCAGCACTTTGGGAAGCTGAGGCAGGCAGATCAATTGAGCCCAGGAGTTTGAGACTAACCTGGGCAACATGGTGAAACCCCATCTCTACAAAAAATACAAAAATTAGCCAGACATGGTGGTGCATGCCTGTAGTCCCAGCTAGTTGGGTGGCTGAGGTGGGGGATCACCTGAGCCTGGGAAGTCAAGCCTGCAGTGAGCTGTGATTGTGCCACTGCACTCCAGCCTGATAGAGCAAGACTCTGTCGAAGAAAGAAAAATACAAAAATGTAAAGAAAAAAATAAAGAAAGAGATGAGAGATGTTTTCTTTACCGCTGTAGCCTTAGCACAATATCCAGAACATAGTGGATATTCAATAAATAGTTTTTGAATAATTGAATGAATAAGGCGGAGAATGAAAGAATGTATGTCAGAGGAAGCAAGCAGTAAAGAAAAGTATATTGCTGTGGTCAGGCATGACCTTCTTTGCAGCAGGTCATGATTCTGTTAGAGGTCCAGGTATGTCTTCAGCAACAACTAAGAAGTTAGGCCTTAAATAGGGAGGCAACTCTTCATCTCTCTGAGATTTGGTGCTGGGGCTTCCATTTTGAGGAGTGGAGACAGAGAGAAAGTTGATGCTGAGGTGGCCTCTTTTGGGGAGCAGTTGGGAGATAGAACAAGACTGGGCCTGAAAGCCAGGAAGGAGCCACGTCTGTTCCAATGTATCTGGTTTAATGTCACTCTCTGTCTAGTTCCATTTTATTATTTCCTTCCTTTAACTTGGTTAAGCAATTCTACTTTGTCTTAGCTGTGTGAGGGGACATTCAAAGAAGAGTTATATACTTGGCCTTGGGCCAGAGAGGCCAGGGTGGGGCAGTCAGCTTGGTGGCAGCAGTCCTTACGGAGGCATCACAAGAGGAAGCGACTTTAAGCCTTCATGGCCTTAGTGTCCTGTCGCAATGCAGGGATTTGTTTCCAGTGCTAATCTTGGAGGGTTTTATTTTTATTTAAAAAGAGGAGACATTTCTTTCATTGGGTGGTCTGACATAGCAGATCCCAATTGCTTAAATAAGCTCACAGGCTAATGACTTCTACCTATCAGGTCAAAGCGGCAGCCTGTGGGGTAGACGAAGACCACCTTTTCACTGCTGTTTATGAGGAATTAAGGGCCTAACACCTATCATCTCTAAACCAATCCAAGTCAGCCATCTGGCTGAAGATGGTGTTACCAATAATCATCTTCTACTGAGTTTTCATATGAGCTTCTCATATAAGTGTTGGCATGTTCTGAAGTTTTAGACTTCAGAAGAAAGAAGACATTGACAGGATTGTTCCAGTGGACTGTCGTCCGCTATGGCCAAGATACAGATGAGCAGATATTACAAGTCAGCCATTGCAAGGCCTGGGTGGCAGGCCATGTGCAAGCCAAGGCTTCTTCAAGGGTATACCCAAAGTGAAAGATACTTCACATAGCCCTGGACTTGGATCATGACACAGGAATTGGTTATATGAACAAATGTCTTTCTTTATGTAAAAATGAGAGTTCTCTTACCCAGATAAGCCCTGGCTCTAATCTTGGAAAATGATGATTATTTTGACTTTTCTTTTTCTTTTTGGTCAGACTGAAGCATTGAAAGGTAAAGGATTATTAACTACAAGTTTTTGCTATTCTGTAGTTTGGGTGGGACATTTAAGTTAAATGAGATAAGTAGCGATAGTTATTTGGGTTGCTGTATTTGTGTTATTTTTGCTTTGCCTTCATGGGATTGTGTGTTGGAGTGGGGTGACTGAGGGGAGAGCTGGGACGTGAGCTGTTTTTGGATTGGGTTGTTAGTGGAAATGTTTTCTCTGCTTAGAGAAAAGGCATGTTTAGAGAGAAGGAAATGAAAGTAAAAACCACACTTCATTTTGACTTAGGATAACTTTTCCATGGATGTTCAGTGTTCATATATACCTAGTAGAGAGAGTCAAAGGTTTGTACTGGATACAATCCTATCTAGTAGATGTTCTTCAAAAGAGGAAGAATATAAAGCTTGATCCTTAAAGGAGAGACAATATTGCTGTTTTTTTGTTTGTTTGTTTTTAATCTGGAGTCTCACTCTGTCACTCAGTTTGGAGTGCAGTGGTGAGATCTCAGCTCAGTGCAACCTCTGCCTCCCAGCTTCAAAGCGATTCTCCTGCCTCAGCCTCCTGAGTAGCTGTCACCTGCCACCACTCCTGGCTCATTTTTGTATTTTTAGTAGAGATGGGGTTTCACCATGTTGGCCAGGCTGGTCTTGAACTCCTGACCTCAAGTGATCCACTTGCCTCGGCCTCTTAAAGTGCTGGGATTACAGGTGTGAGCCACTGTGTCCAGCCTGAAGAAGAGAAAACACTTTCTGTTCCACTGGAACAGGATGGTGGAGCTATGCTACTTTACTATTTGCTGAACACATGTCAGATCATGACAGCAAGAAGGTCCTGCACTTGGGATAATAAGTGGGGCTGTGTAGACTGTAACGAAACCATCATGGCAGACACCGTTGCTTACCTAGTCAATATCCATGCAGTCCCTCTTCTTGCTTGATAATGCAACTGCAGTTTTGTTGGGGTGGTTGTGGATCCAGACATGACAACGGGTCATAGTCTAAGCCTGTTTAGGGCTAGTCATGAGACACAGATATAGCCAATGAGATACAAGCCAATTTCTGCTGAGGAATCTGAAAAAGCTCCTACTTCCCAGATAGGAGAGGGCAGATAGTACTACCAGCCCCTGTTTCTTATTCCCTCAAAGCAGAGCTGAAGTCTGGAGCTGTATCAGCTGTCTTATGACCATGAAGCAAAATGTCAACATGATAAAATCATGAGGGAAAAAAACCCTCATAATCCCATAGACTTAAGCCACTATCATTCAGTCTTTCTATAATAATATGTATAATATGTATATAATATGTATAATATGTATATGTATATTCAGTCTTTCTATAATATAATATAGTAATTCTATATGAATAAGGCTGGGCTCAGTGGCTCATGCCTGTAATCCCAGCACTTGGGAGGCTGAGGCAGGCAAATCACTTGAGGTCAGGAGTTCAAGACCAGCTTGGCCAACATGGTGAAACCCTGTCTCTACCAAAAATAGAAAAATTAGCCAAGTATGGTGGCAGGTGCTTGTAATCCCAGCTACTCAGGAGGCTGACACAGGAGAATCACTTGAACACAGGAGGCAAAGGTTGCAGTGAGTTGAGATTGTGCCACTGCACTCCAGCCTGGGAGACAGAGCCTGGGGGACAGAGAGCAGTTTTTTTGTCTCAAAAAAACAAAAAACAGATTTAAGTGAACGAATCCCTAATATGCCACAATAATATAAGAGATGTTCGAATGCATCAGATCAATGCACCTATCTTTTTGACAAGATGGGGACAGCATGTGGAAGTTGTTTCCAGGGATTCTTTGATAACAGACCCTGAAATGTCTAAGTTGGGATGCCTTGTAATTCAGACATAAATTTATGCAATCTTATGCAACCTTGATTTCCTAATGGGTTGTTCTAGCTTGGCTTTGCTTAGCCGAAAGAACCATTGCAGGATTCCAAGTGACTGTTTGTTGTTCCCGTAGTCACACTCAAGCCTTTGTCCCCAGTCTCTCTCATTATTTCTATCATGTCAACCTCTCCCAGTTGTCCCATGTCTGGAGTATGGGCTTGCTATAATTTGAATTACTAGTAACTAAGGAAAATTCCTTTAAGACAAAGATACCCAGAGATAGATGAGGACTGGATGGGTTTAGGCATTTTATCTCTTAGCCAAAAGGCCGATGTATATTGGTTTTAAAAAAGTGATAGGCGGTAGGCCCTTACTCCCTTATGAATGGCAGTGGCTGGCTGGTCCTCATTCCATCCAACTGGCCACTGGTTTGGCCTGGTAGGCAGCAGTCATTAATCCATGAACTTAGTCAAGGGAATTAGGATCAACCATGTCAGACAACCCAGTGAGGAATCTTCTCTTTTCTTTCAATGAAAACAAAACCCTCCAAGGTTAGCACTGAGAGAAGATTGATTAAAGGCAGAGTGAATGTTCATCTAGAGTCCCTCATTTGTGAAGCCTTTGGAGCTCCTTTGGGGAGTGGCGCCCGTTCTCTGCTGTTCCTGCAGACAGCACTCGGTAGTCCATAACAGATGCCAATCTAGTTATTCGGATATTCTGAAAGATTAGTTAGATACCCTTAGGACAAGGACTCCCTAAAAGTTCTTGTCTCCCTTAAAATGAGTATTATTTACTTTTAATTATTAGATGGAAATGGCTTATACTGAAAAGCAGAAACCTCTGGGACACTGGTAGGGCACTTCTTTTTATTATACATTTTTATTATTGTAAACCAATGTATATATACATATATACAAGGGCTTAAAAATTTATTTTAGGCTGGGCACTGTGGCTCACACCTGTAATCCCAGCACTTTGGGAGGGCAAGGCAGAAGAACTGCTTCAGCCCAGGAGTTCCAGATCGGCCTGGGCAACACAGTGAGACCCTGTATTTACAAAAAACGAAAATTAGCTGGGCATGGTGGCACACACCTGTGATCCCAGCTACTCAGAAGGCTGCGGCAGGAGGATGGCTTGAGCCCAAAAGTTCAAGGCTGCAGTGAGCTAGGGTCGCACCATTGCACTCTAGCCTGGGCAACAGAGTGAGACCCTGCCTCTAAAAATAGAAAAATAAAAAGAATTTATCTTAAATTAAAGCAAAGATTCTATAAATCTAGAAGGTCTTAAACCATTTTCCAGGGAGCACTTTCTGTGCCAAATCTTTATTATGAGCATTTATTATGTGCCATCTGCTTTGTACTAAGTGCATTACATACTGTATTGATCAAGACTCTTTGGGTGGAAAAGGATAGAAACTCAACTTACATTAACATAAGCACTGATTCACTGAAAGGGCAGAGGTGGAGTTCCAGGAATGTAAAATCCTATTAAGACTCTCTTCCTCCCTTTATGTCACTTGTTTCTGCTTCCTTCTGCATAATGCTGACATCTCCATCATGCTGGAACCGTGGCTGCAGGCAGCTCTGAACTTAAGCCATTATAGCCTTGGGACTAAGGAAGAAATAGAATTCTTCAATTGCAACCTCATTAATAATAATTGTAAAATTCCCAGAGGAGATCGCTGATAAACCAGATTTGAGCCTTATGCCTATCCTAGCACTAACCCTTGTGGCTAGGTGAGGGAAGTATTATAATTGACCCAGCCTGTGGCACAACCGTGTGGCCAGTTGGATTCATTGACTGGCAGGGCCTGCAGAACCATTTGGTAAGAGTAGGGGAAAAGCAGTTCCACAAAAGAAAAGGGTGTTTTGGACTGGATGACTAAAGAATGCACGTACATCTCAATACATTATGTTGTGTCATACTCACAATAATCCAAGCAAATACCATTGGTGAAGAAATACCATTCTCCAATGTTTTCTAGGTAAAAAAATATATATATGGGGAAAAGAAAGGTTAAGTAACTTGAACAAGGCCATACAGCTGGTAGGCAGTAAAGCTGGGCTTCTATTCAAGTCTGTTTGACTCCAAAGCTGTCCCCGCTATTTGGCCACCTCTCCTGCCTGGATGAATTTCTCCTCAATCTGTGCATTTTACTCAGAGTGACGAAGCCATTAAGACAGAAGACTAAATTTGCATATTAAGCAACATTCTCCCGCTCTGCTCCCCTCTGGGAAAGGTCATTTTTGCACTGAGGGCTCTCCCAGGGTTCTGCTTCCTTCTGGAATAACTATCTCAAACAAACCTGGGGATGTTATGAAGCCACTTAACTGGGCTGACGTGGCTGGACCAAGGGCTTAGAACAATGCCATCAGGTTTCTGTCTCCCTTTCCATTTTTCAGCAGTGCCTCCCTCAGGGTGTCTCTGTGTTAGATTCACCCTCAGATTGGCCTTTTATGGTGGTGGAGGAAGGAAGGTTATTAGAATCCCCAAACTCTCAAGAGAAAAAGACACCGTCTCTCTCTATGTACCCGTATATAAAATTTCGTGAAAGGGCTCTAAGCAACCTTTCTTGGGCGTTTGCTCATGTTACTGACAAACACTCCAGGACCACACAGACTGGGGCAGGGATGAGCCAGCCCTAGGAAGGGACCTTGGCAGTCGAAAACATGGCCACGTTGATGCCTAGCAAGGCAGAATCATTGCAGAGTAAAGAGCTGTGATCAGCTCCCCCACTTCCCTGTATGCCCTCTCGCCAAGTGTGTGCCTTATTGGCAGTCATCACACTGCCTTGCCGTTGTTTCTGTCTTACCTTCCTCACTAGGCTGTGACTGCCTATAGAACCAGGATTTGGCCTTTCATTTTTTTGAGGTGGGGGGCTGGGGGGGAGGGTGGTGTCTCGCTCTGTTGCCCAGGCTGGAGTGCAATGGCGTGATCTCGGCTCACTGCAACCTCTGCCTCCCAGTTCAAGCAATTTTCTTGCCTCAGCCTCCTGAGTAGCTGGGACTACAGGCACCTGCCACACACCTGGCTAATTTTTTGTATTTTTAGTAGAGACGGGAGTTTCACTATGTAGGCTAGGCTGGTCTTGAACTCCTGACCTCAGGTGATCCCCCCACCTCGGCCTCCCAAAGTGTTGGGATTATAGGCATGAGCCACCGCGCCCAGCCTGGCCTTTCATTTTGACATCCCAGCATCTAGCACAGTGTCTGACACATGGTAGGAGCTCAATAAATATTTAATGAATGAATGACTATAATATAATGCTATGGTTTATATGATTTACAATGCTATGGTTAAGAAAACAAGCATTTTCCAAAAATCTGGTATGCACCACAGTAGTAAAAAAACTACCACTGAGATGCCATTGCATAATTTACAAAGTAAATTATAGGCACTTGGTCAACACATTTTACATATGTATCTCATTTAAACCTAAACGCTGTGGAAAGTTATGTGCCACTTCTTATCAGCCTTGCACTTGGCTGGATGAGGGTGAGGGAAGATCGCAACGTAGAGGACGCAGTCTGTACAAAGTGTTTGGTCTTATGGAGAGGCAAGACAATCAAGATAATTAGAAAACCTCTTCCAGATGATACATAATAAGTTCTTCCATTCAAATCGATGATTAGGTGCTTCCTGGCCAAAGTCCAGTGTCTGTTTGGGGTTGCAAGGAGGAATTGGGGATATATTCAGAGCAAGGTTAAAGGAGTGACAACAAGATGAGCTAAAAAAAAAACATGATGTGTGGAAAGGTTCACGGAACGGGAATGACTCAGGTTGGAGAAGAGAAGACCGAGAGGAAACTGAATCATTTCCAAGACAAAGAAGGGCTCTCTTGCTGGGGGATGATGGCCAGCTGTCCTCCTTTGCCTCTGCTTGCAGAGCAAGGGGAAATGGGCTTAGACCGAAGGCAGGGCTAAGATTAGAGAGAAGGAAGAACTTGGCAGTGAAGGATGTTGTATAACCTAGTTTTTGAGACAACTTGGGGACTGAGGAGACTCCCACACGCCTGGTCTGAGCCCAGTGGACGTGCATGTGGGGTGATCTGGCTGACTGGCTGGGAAGGGAGGAGGAGGTCCTGAGGCTGCATTTTTCTGTGTCCTCGATTTCCCGTTGGAAGTTAAGTTCCCAAATTGTGGAGCTGGCAAGGCAGCACCTCCCCCACCCACCACGCACTGCACCAGTGTTCCTGGGCTGGGTAATAATGCCTGTCATTTCCTCTCCCGGGGGAGTGGGGCTGCAACCGCCCTGACAGCCCCGAGGGATTGAAGGCAACTAAAAATAGTGCATTAAATATAATCTGTTGAGGGGCACATTTGCATTGCTTTTCTTTCCCCCTCGCCTGTCTCTTCATCCTTCCTGGCAGGGCAGGCCTGGGTCTTGCTCTGGGCACTGGGAATCAGGTTCCGGGCACTGGCTGCTCTCATTTTGTTGCAGAAGGGCTCTCTAGACAAGAGGGCCGAGGTCAAGGATCCCCAAGGGTGTCCCATTCCACTCCTCTCCATTCCCCCTGGGCCTCTGGGTCCTTCAGGGCCTGAAGGTGCAGGGGGAGGAGCTGCAAGTAGGGGAGGCAGTGTTGAAAAGGAGAGCCAGCCAGGGCTTTGTTCTCCCATCAGCCACTTCCGTCTGCTACACAATCTCTCTGAGGTTAAATATTAATTAAGAGCAGAATGACAGTGAGAGCTGAGCAGTGTCACTTTCTGTCCCAACACAAATGCTAATTTCCTCCCCTGTAGAAAGTGACTTTGGAGTGGGATTGGCAGCGCAGGGGGAATAGCTGGGGAGAGGGGAGGAGAGGCAGCAGGGAGAGATGGGTGGCGGCGGCAGCAGCCCTGCGTCAGAACTATTAAGAATGATAAGGCAAGGAAGGTGTTTGTGCTGGGATTCCAGAGGGAAGACAGGACACATCCAGTCACAGAGGACACCATCACGGCACAATCCTAAGCTCTTCCCACTTTAACGACAGTCATCTAAGAAGTTGAGGTAGAGCTGGGTCTCCCCACTTCCCTAAGACTGAGTTCTTAATCTTGGGTCTGTGCGTTGGTTTCGGGGCTCATCAAACCTGGGAAGTTGTTTGCAAAACTGTTTCTGTGCACATCACCAGTTTTTTTGGAGACAGAGTTTCCAGCGGGGCTGGTATGTGATCCACAGTGTCATCCTCAGCATGTGGTGCCATCTTTGAGGTCAGCTTATGGTTTGAGATGGCTGCTGGAGCCTCAGCTGAACACCTAGATTCTAGGCAGGAAGCAGGAAAAAGTTGGTGGGCAGGAAAGACCAAAAAGTTCCACTCCAGTTTTCTGTCCCTCTTTTAATGAGCTTTCTTAGAAATCCATTTCTATCTTACTGTCCACACCTACCTGCAAGAGAGGCTGGGAAAATATGATAGTTTCGCTGACATGGGGCATCTCCATGTCATACTGGTGTTTGTGTTTGTAGGAAAGAAAAGGAGAGAATGGTAGACAACTAGGACTTTCTGCTGCAGTGTCTGTCTCACAAAAGGTCAACAACCTTGGATTTGGGGGAGGAGATGCTACCATCTCTCAAGGGTCTCTGTGCTCCCTGCTCAGACAGAGCTGACTGGAGGAAAAAGCCTACCATGGAAATGCCTACTTTGGTATGGATTCCTAAGCTCACAATGGGTCCTCAGAAGCTGGTCCTCCTGAGTGAGGGTGGCAGGGTTATTCTCTGACCAGGGCTTGGTTATTAGAAAGGAGGCTAAAAAGGAGACGCTTGTTCCATTAAGGACCATGGCCTTGTGGGGGGCTTTGCAGCGTATGCGTGGGAACAGCTTTGTTTGGTCTCTGATAATCATCTTCTTCTTGGCAATACTTTGCTCCGCACAGCCTGGAACAGGTGGCTGAGGAGAGGGAAGATGTTTTCACCTCTTAGGGAAAGATGAAGTGAGGAAGGCTCTGGGGTGTGGGTATGGGATGGGTGAGCTGGGCCAGTCTGAGATTCCACTTGTTTGGGACCTGGGTGGTATATTTACTTCAATCCCTTTCTCTTAGATCTTTGAGCCTTTGCACAAGCTGTTCCATCTGATTGGAGTGGTTACCCATTGGTGGACTCTTAATCCCTCTCTAAGAGTCGGGTCCATGAAGCTATTCCTGATTTTTCTTGACCATTCTCTCTATCCCCAACCCCTGCCCCAGGAACCTTCTTGTGATTCTGTAATCCTCTGTACGTGTTCTGTGATCTTTACAACCACACCTGTCACATTGTTTAAAACAATCGACTTGCCTTCCTCCACAGCGCTAAAAGCTCCCTCATGGTAGAAAATGTTTTCGGCCATCTATGGCATACGACTCTCAAAGTGTTCCATGGGGATGAACAAACTTTACAAAGTGTTAATCAACACCTGCTGTGAGCAAAATGCACTGGAGATAAGAAGGGGATTAACATTAAAAATCACAAAGACAGTCAGGCATGGTGGCTCATGCCTATAATCCCAGCACTTTGGGAGACTGAGGTGGGAGGATCACTTGAGTCTAGGAGTTCGAGAGCAGCCTGGGAAACATAACAAGACTCCATCTCTACACAAAAAATTAAAAATGAGATGAGCATCATGGCACATGCCTATAGTCTCAGCTACTCGGGAGGCTGCGGCAGGAGGATCGCTTGAGCCCAGAAGGTCGAGACTGCAGTAAGCTACGATCACACCACTCCACTCCAGCCTGAGCAAGAGTGTGAGACTTTGTTTCAAAAAAAAATGATGAAGACACTGGCTTCTAGGAGTTCACAGTCTAGTGGGGGAGACAGAAGTGTAGATTACGGATCTGATAAAACGGTAACCGTGATAAGGTGCAGGGATCTTCAGAACAGGGGAGGGAGAGATTAATAGAACTGAGGGGCTCTGGGAAGGCGACACTGATTTGTGCTAAGGCTTTGAAGGAAAAGTCACATCTCTATCTTTAGGGCAGAGAAAGGGCAAAGACAAAGGAAAAAGCAGGAGTCATCTCTGGAGATCAGGTGTTTTGGGGTTGGAGAATCCACATGGGAATCTGGGAGTATTTCTATTTGTTGGGTTTTTTTTTAAACATGGGGAAGCTGGTCCTGTGTGTGTGTTAGGTTGATTTGAAGACTTGACCTTTGTCTGCTTTTTGTGTAAGAAGACTGGGCCATTTGTTCCTGTATGGACTGAAGGTGTTTGTGAAAGTGTCAGGACTGGGAGATGGTGCCGTTCAGGGAAGAGGAGGCAAGAGGCCTGGGTGGGGACAGGGTCTGCGATGGTTGTCACCTTGGTCTGAGTGTTTTGGGGGCCTGTGGGAAGGAGGACCCATGCTAGGTTCTCCCCTCACCCTTTCCTTTTTTGTCTTTCTTAAAATACCCTGTGTTCCTGCAGCAGTGCGGCTGCTAATCTAAAATAAAAACAGCAGGAAATGCAAATGGTCAGGTTCTCCTAGCAACAGGAGCCAACCCACGCAGGGCGTGTGGAGCAGAGCAAAACTGTCCTGAGGCTGGGATGCGGGTGGCTGGGGTAAGGAAAACGTCTTCTCGTACAGCTTGGCCCCTCCAACTTCCAAGAGGGACTGGCTGGTGGACAGCCACCTGCTGTGCAGAAGAAACTCTCACTGGGCTGGACTGGGGCAGAGGACTGTGTACCAGGGAGAAGGTGCAAGGGTGGGGGAGAGAGCAGAGCCCTAGTTGAAGACACCTGACTGCAGTGGCTGGAATACTGCCTCTCAGAGAACCGACACTAGGAGTCTAACTAGGTGCATGGTTGGGAAGGGCCTGGATTTGTGTACACATTTCCATGTGTCCATTTCGATAAACCTGTGGATCCTTGTCATTTTTAAGATGATGAAATGAAAGGATGTGCAAGGTGACTCAGATTCCTAGGTAAGGGGTTCAAAATCAGGAAACTGCAAGATTCCCAGAGACATCTTGTTCCATCCCCTTTTGTTACAAAGGAAAAAACTGTGGTCCAGAGAGGTAAGTGACGTTCTCAGAACACAGACATCATTAGTGGAAGGGGTGGAAATGGAAAACAGGCATACAGGCTGAGACATTTTATTTTAAGTAGAAGCTGACGATGTCTCTACTCTGTTCACAGCTAGACAGTTAGAAGCCATGATAACCTCACTGGGCCCCAGGGGGGTTGCAGGGAGAAATCGTCTTAGGCACATCAAAGAAGGCTGAAGACATTTGAGAGATAAATGAGGGTCACCTCCCCAGTGGGGTGCCATAGAAAAGTGAGCACCTGGAGGTGAGAGGGGCATCGGCTGGGGGTAGAAACCAAAGGATGTTGCTCAGACTGCCAAGCAGCTCCAGCGGTCGCTATGCACAGCCATTCTTTGGGGATCTCATCATGGAAAAGGGTAAAAAAGAACATTGCTGTGTCAAGGCTGCACAGCAGGAAACTGGAGAAGGTGAGGTGACTTGCTCAAAAAGACAGACCCAAGTGTGGGTGAACTTGGAAGAGAACCTTGGAATTCTGGCTCCCTGGATCCCAGAGAAGTCCGTGTGCCCTAGACAGTGTGGTTTCCTATTACATAAGCAACTCTTTTATTACTCACACTCGCTTGCTCCTGCAAGACTCCTACAGCATCTCCCCCTAGAAAACACAGTGGAAGAAAAGGGTTCTTAGTTCCAGCTGAGTCTTGGTGACTTGAATGCCTGGTCACTCCTAAGGATTCCAGGTGAATAACAGCAACAAGCCACATCACGGAAACTGGTGCACTAAGAGCTTGATTTCAGAACTGTGGGCCTGCAAATGATCTGTACATACATCTGCGTACTTCACTTCCCCATGGCTGCATGGCGCCCCATGGCCAGAGCACTCTGAGTGCCCTCAGTGCCTTCCCATGCTGCCTCATCCTTTCCGGCCAAAGCCCCAAATAAGGCAGTTGATGAATAGAAGAAAGAACATGGGCTTTGATATCTGTAGCCTTGACTCAAATTCTAGCTTAGTAACTGTGTGACCTTAGGGAACTTGCTTAGCTTCTGAGTATTGGATTCTTTAGCTGTAAAACAAGAGCAATTATGCCTATCTCATAGATGTACGTAAAATGCTAGCACAGCCAGACATACAGTAGGCATTCAACAAATATTGGTTTCTACACTTCTTACTTGTGGTTGCAGTTGCTCAGGGACCAGGTGGGAGTTTCAATTGCTATTGCCAAGGCAGGGAATGCTATTTTCCAGGTATTCCAAGATGGAGCTCAGAATGCAATGCTTCCACAGACAAAGAATAGTTTGCCTTTATTATTGATTAAATAGGTTTTTATGGGTGGATCTGGGAATGCGACCTCTGTTTTTCACCATTATATTCCCAGCATCTGATAGAGTAGACAATCCATAAACATTTGTTGAGTGTTGCATATATGAGAAAAGGCATTCTAAATTATAGACAACCACCTTACAAAATAATATTTGAAACATAATGAGGTTCATAATACTTGAAACGTAAGTTCAATCTACTTATAGAACCTCTTTGAAGTCAGGCCTAGAAAGACAGATCTGGGGGCCCAGGGTGGTAGCTGCTATGCTAGTGACTCTACCAAGCCATGACCCATTGCAGCCCAGCCCCTGGACAACTCCCTGGGTCAGACAACAGACTGCACTAGTCCCTATACATGGGTTTTGAGGATGTGGGGTTGGGGGTGGGTTCTTCCCAGGAGACCTCTGGGTTGATGGAGCCACTAAAGTATATCATCATCACCCTTGGCCTTGGCCACTCCATCCTCTATTCCAACCTTCCAGCAGCACAGACTAGGGGCATATTCAACTGAGATCTCCTCCCTCCAAGGAGTTGTTTGTTCTTTCCTCTTAGTCATAAAATCCCCTTTTCCCTGTCTCTCTCCTTCCTCCTTCTCTCTCTCTCTCTCTCTCTCTCACACACACACACACACACATGCACGCACACACACATAGAGCTATGAATTTGAATATTGATTCTGCCATTTTAACTCCAAATTCTGTTTCTCAAATGTGGGTAGTGTTGGCTTACTCACTGTTCTCTTGTTGCTGGAGTTGTAAAAATCAATGTCCCATTGCTGAGATCGAAGCTCCCTGTGTCTCTGGGGGGCTCAGCAGGGACGATGGCCTCCAGAGTGGACCTCTGAGAAATTGCAGAGGCATCAGAGCTGTGGGCTCAGCATATGAGGTCCCCAGGGGGCCATAGACCCCCTCCTCCTGGGAAGAGTGCTCCTGCAGAGCTTATTTGCAATCTCCTGGAGTCCCAGACTCACCAAAGGATTCAGATCCTCTTCTTTTTGCCTCCTACATAGAGCACATTATAGACCTGAAACAGGAATCAGAATTCCAGACTCCCTTAGTGAGAGACAAAGTGTTAGGTCTTAGCTTTTTCCTTTCTAAATTAAGGGTCCTCCCTGGAATCAGGCTGCCTGATAGCATTATCCGTGAAACTGGTGGAGAGTAGGAAAATCGTATTTCTCTTTATGGGTGGGAAATCAGGTCATCCTCTGCAAAGGTATAGAATACTCCCCCAGGCTGTGGAGAGCATGTTCTGGTTTCTACCCAGAAAAACTATAGAGGAAAACTGTGGCTGCCTACTACTGAGTATCAGGGGAAAAAGCAGAGATATTTTTAACAGACGGAATATCAGTGAACAGAATGCTAAGGAACTAGAAAACTTATTCCAATAAATAGGAAGCATATGCTCTGCCTAAAGCAAACTCGGCTTTTGCTATATACAAATTTCATGAGGGAAAATAATGTAGGAAATTGCGGAAATATCTGACCATAGGTGGGCTACTACCGCTTGCTACAGGAGACCTGGAAGGCTGTGTGGATGGATCGGGGAAAGTGACCGGTGCGCCACGGTGCGTGGAGCCCTTGGCCATCTTGTCACGTGGGTCTGGGATCGTCCAGACTCTCAAGAGTCCTGGGGGCACAGGGTCCAGACGGACACTCCCCCCCACACAACCCCACTGTGTAATGGGGTGCACAGCACTGACAATCGGAACATCCCCGCAGGCTTCACCTCCCTGAGTCTCCAGGCATGGACGATGGCAGTCTCACTGGCAGAGATTCCTGGGCTTTGGGTTTTATGCCACAGGTTCTTCTTGCAACTAGGAAAAGCAATTTGTATGCATCTCATTAGCGAGATGCTAGTAATTGGGGATATTAATTTTATTGCTAAACCTGACAAATATTTTACTGTCTCCTGTAGTGGGTAATTGCATCCCCAACAGCCCATCCTTTTGTGCTGCCAGATGGAAAGGATGTGTGTTTGCCGTTTTCATTAATACAATTATTACCTTAGCATCTCGCCTGCCTGATCCCTGGCTGCAGGCTCCCTGAGACGGGGAGGAGAAGGGGAGACGAAGCGGGAGGCCTGCCCGGGGCGAGGCTCTGGGACGCGGTGCGGAGGGGCAGGCGGGAGTTACTGGGAACCGCAGCCGCCAGCCGGGAGCGCAGCGGGGGGAGGCGGCGCTGCCAGGCGCTAAACCACAACAATAATACCGCCGCTGACAAGTGTGTGGTTAGGGAGCAACAACTCATTAAGCTGCCTAAAACTCCCCCTGCTTCATCTGGGTCCCAGAGCAGCTCCCCACACAAAGGGCGTCGCTGCCACCCTCCCTCCCCGCAGTCGGACGGCGGACTCGCTGCTGCGGCCACTCCAGCCCCCGCCGTCCCCATCCTCTGTTCCCGTCGCCTCAAGCGCAGCCGCTCCCCTGGGAGGTGCTGGAAGGCCCCTCCGGTCAGGGGGATAGCAGCCTGTTCCCTTTCGCTCAGGAATAGGAGCAAAAGTCCTGCTCCGGCTGCAGGGGCCTGCACGTTGCTCTCTGAATCACTCACTCCCTTCTCTATTCCCGCTCCGAAGGCTGCTAACTTTGCCAAATATTTACTATGCTCTTCGCCCAGGCTCCTCAGCCATCACAGGACTGAGACTGGCAGACGCTCACTTTTGATTCGATTTCCCTCTCGAAGAGATGCAGGCAATGGCATAACCTTCCTGATGGTCTCACAGAGGAGAACTTGAGTAGAAGTGGGTTCTAATCCTGGTGGGAAACTCTGAGCTTAATATGAACTCTTTCATTTGGGAATACTTCCTGAGCCTGGGATTTTTGAAACAAGGCTACATGGAAATACGCCAGCTGATTAGCTGTTTTCCCTGACTGGACCCGACTCACCCTTCCTTTCCAGCATATGACCCCTCAGCTTTACTATTCCAAAGAAGCTTTCCTTGAACACAGCTGTGCAAGATAACCCTTCTAGAGAATGCACTACGTGCTGCGTTCACTTACCACTTGGTCAGTGTTATCCTGTGTGACTCAAAGTGAAAGGATAGCTTGCCTGGACCTGTTGCGAAGTCTTTTTTTGTTTTGGATCCCACTCAAAACAGACAGTCTTATTACCTTATTATGAGCTTCCCGATAAATGGGTAGAAGGAATACATTCGTAGGTGATATATTTTGATTCTAAAATCCAAACAGGCTTGCCAAGCACTATGCCTCTTTCTTTGGTAGGTAGATGCAACCTGTTGTTTTTTAATTTTTTATTTTTTATTTTTTTTTTGAGACAGAGTCTCGCTCTGTCACCCAGGCTGGAGTGCAGTGAGGTGATCTCAGCTCACTCAACCTCTGCCTCCCAGGTTCAAGCGATTCTCCTGCCTCAGCCTCCCGAGTGACTGGAATTACAGGCGCTGACCACCACGCCTGGCTAATTTTTGTATTTTTAGTAGAGACAGGGTTTCGCCGTGTTAGCCAGGCTGGTCTCGAACTCCTGACCTCAAGTGATCTGCCCACCTCGGCCTCCCAAAGTGCTGGTATTACAGGCATGAGCAATTGCCCCTGGCCATTTTTTACTTTAAAAAGTATATCTTGATATGAACTAGACCTGTAGACCTTTATGAACTTCACTGAAGTGGCAAGCCTTTGAACGTTCTATCATGTTACCAATACGATGGACTAGTGTGATGTTCTATAAAATATTAAGACAATCAAGATTCTCCAGGCTACATGATGACAATGTGCAGGAGCACTGCCATAGCCTGAGGTAAGAGATTGCTTCTGATTTCCTTTGGCGGTAGGAATGGGTTGGGGGGAGGAATTTGTTAGGCTAATATCTGCATACCAGCTTCCAAGGGCTGCATTGTGGCACTGCTGATTAAGTGTGTAATAATCCACAGTCATTCTCCAAAACCATCTGGCTTTTCTAAGAGCCAGGAAGGAAGTTAAGTGGAGATGTGGTTAGAATCCCACCTCTGCCTCTGTCAAGCCTTTAATGGGTGGCACTAACCCTGCAGTTCCTCTGGGGTAGTGGGTTTACTTTGGGTTACTAGTTTGGCATGGGGGAGTGGGTTGGGTAGGGCAATTCTAGGGTCTTCTACTTGCTACTGGCTCCTCCCTTATGGCCATAGGATACCTCACTCTGTGAGCTAGGAAATAGATATGAGGATCTCGGCAGTTTTTTGGTTGTTTTTTTTTTTTTTTTCCTGGAGACCGAGTCTCACTCTGTCACCCAGGCTGGAGTGCACTGGCGCGATCTTGGCTCACTGCAGCTCAGATGTGAGGGTCTTTTAATTACTAAATATATCTATTTTAAATATACCTCCTGAGGCTGGGAGCCACAAAATGAATCCATGATCCCACTGGACTTAGACCAAAACTCCCGCTTTTACCTGACTTCCATAAGCACATTCTGATTAGTGAACCAAGGTAGGATTTCAGGTTTTAGGATTAGTCAGTTTAATTCCTTTCTTACTGCCTTAAAGAAGGGAGTATCCTCTGGGCCTTCCTGGGGGGATATGGCTAGGAGGGGTTAATCAAGCTGCATATAATAGATCCATTTTAGCTTTCTCATGCCTGTTCACATTTAGACTTCTTCCTCTGTCTATAGTATGCCAAGTTCTGGCATTTCATCTTTACTGACTGTGGCTTGCTGTTGAGATTGACCAATCTAGCCGACTATTAGTGCCGCTTCCCAAGTGCTCAAACCATGACATTAAATACTGATTCCCAATTGTGCACCCATTTCAATAAATTCAGCTTAATCAAGTCTTAAGTTACATTCTTCTTGGCCTAACAACCTTACAATCCACTTAAATAAATGTTCTCCAGACTCCTGCTGATAAAAGTTAATGAAGTTCTGCAACTCTTTTGGCATAAAGTCTATCTCCTTGAGGCCTAGCCTCTATACTTTGCAATCTGGACTATGCTGGCATTTTACTTTCTTTGTGGATCTGGAAGCAATGAGGGGCAGTGGAGGTGGGTCTTGAGGAAAGTCACATTTTTTTTTTGTAAGGGAACTGCCTGAGGAATAGTCATTGAAAGGATTTTATTCAATGGAGTTGGGGTTGCAGGGTATAAACCTCCTCAGAGAGGTTTAGGGGGATTTTAGGATTCAGATTCTTAGTCTCATCCATGTCTACACAAATGTCTATATCGCATCTCTCAGGGTCCCATCTCTCTCCCTTAGTACCCTTTGCATATTGTAAGAAATTGAAACGGAAGGATTTGAGTATTTAATTGGTTTTGCATCTCTGCAGCTATTAACATCATTTTTCAGATGTGGTCTTCTTCCATATCAGTCCATTGACTAGAGGAGAAGGACTCCATTAGAGCTACTGTAGAGATGTTCTGATTTCCCATAATGTTTTCAGTTGGGTATGCAAGGCTTTCAATATGTTTTTTTCCGTGTTTACTCTTTAGAGCCATCAGAGACAGTCAGTTGACTCCACAGTCTTTATAATCACTATTGTCACCATGGTGACTAAGTACCACAGTCACTTTATTTCTATTGCCATCCTCCTTGAATTTATTCCTTGCCACCAACAATGGTAAGTCTAGTCACTGTTATGTCACTGAATGCCATGGATTACCAGTATCCACTGTTCTCCTGGTAAGGAGGTTACTTAAGAAGTTTTGTGCTTCTTAAGTATAAAAGCAATAGAATTTCAGAATCCTACTGTGGGGTTCTGTTTTCTTGGGCCCTTCCTGGTACCTATTCCTATATTTCTCTGGAACCCAGAAGGCAACATGAGGCAACCACTAAGCCACACTCAAATGTGGCTAAGCTCTAGGTGCTCAGGTACACGAGAATAGGGGTAATTGACGTGGATTTAATAAAGGTAATATTTATAAAGATGAAGGCAGGGTGGCAGATTAAAAAATTGACTTCAATTCTTCATTCTTATCTGTATCTGTATCCTTTCATGCCCTCTTGATGGGTGGACCGTGCTTCCCTGCCTTGTGTCGTTGGGCTTGGCCGTGTGATTTGTTTTAGCCAATGACATGCGAGTGGGAATGACAGCATGGCAGTTCTAAGCTTAGGCTTTCATAGGCATCATGTATTTTTGTTTGTTCTTGTGTGCCTCTGCTGCCACAAGCAACATGTTTGCTGATCTAATGAAGATGAGATACATGGGGAACAGAGTTGCTCCAACCACCTCATAGATCTACAGTGGGAAGCATAGCTGCTCTAGCTAGCAAGGCATGAGGTAAAGATGCTCAACTGAGCCCAGCGTAACTCAGCCCCACTCTAGCTGACCTGCAGATGTATGAGAAAAAAATAGTCTTTTAAAAGACACTGGACTTTGGCGTAGTGGTTATGCAGCATTAATGTTGCAATAGATAGCTGATGCTCTGGAGTAAATAAAAAACATTAAGAGATGGGACAGAACCTCAGAGATGTTGATGGTAGGCCGAAGGATCAAGGGGAGGAAGCAGTTACTAGAACCTGGAGAGTAGCTAGAGGAGAGGACTGTATGATAAGAGCTGTGGCCTTTGGTTGAGGGATGCAGGCAATCCATGAGAACCAGGGAGGGAGGCAAGGGGAATGAATAGCATCACCTTGCTCTCCTCCCACCCTCTGATCTCCTCCTGGTGCCTGCCATTGTCCAACCTAGAAGGCTAAGGAGCTCATTGATGCAGTTTATTTAAAAAATCCTCCTAGTGCATAAACACAATGAAGAATAGGTCTGGAAGGGAAAATAGAAAATATCTAAGCCATTGTGTGTCTGAAAATATCTTTGTTTTACCCTCATACTTGTAGGACAGTTTGGTGACACAGAATTCTAGGTTTGAAATAATTTCCTTGAGAAGTTTGAAGACAATCCCACTACTGTGTATGTATCTAAAGGAAATAAAATCAATATGTTGAAGAGCTATCTGCACTCCCATGTTTATTGCAGCATTACTCACAATAACCAAGATATGGAATCAATCTAAGTGTTCATCAACAGATGAATGGATAAAGAAAATGTGGGGCTGGGCGCTGTGGCTCACACCTGTAATCCCAGCACTTTGAGAGGCTGAGGCAGGCAGATCACGAGGTCAGGAAATCGAGACCATCCTGGCTAACATGGTGAAAGTCCATCTCTACTAAAAATACAAAAAAATTAGCCTGGCGTGGTGGCGGGCACCTGTAGTCCCAGCTACTCTGGAGGCTGAAGCAGGAGAATGGCATGAACCCAGGAGGCAGAGCTTGAACTGAGCTGAGATTGTGCCACTGCACTCCAGCCTGGGCAACAGGGTGAGACTCCATCTCGAAAAAAAAAAAAAAAGTGGTACATACACACAATGGAATACTACTGGGCGGTAAAAAAGAACGGAATCCTGTCATTCATATGGACATGGATGAACCCAGAGGACATTATGTTAAGTGAAATAAGCCAGGCACAGAAAAATGAACACTGAATGATTTCAGTCATATGTGGAATCTAAAACAGTCCATCTCACGGAAGTAGAAAGGAGAATGGTGATGACCAGAGGCTTGAGTAGTTGATGGGGGGATAGGGAGGTGTTGGTCAAAAGATATACCATCATGTGTCATGTAATGACATTTCAGTCAATGACAGATGGCATATACAATGGTGGTTCCATTAGATTATGATGGAGTTAGTTGAAGAAATTCCTGTAATCTAGTGAGGTCGTAGCAATCCTAACCTTGTAGCACACTTATTATTATTTTTTACAAATTTAGTGTAGCCTAAGTGTACAGTGTTTACAGTGTTGACAAAGTCTACAGTAGTGTATGGTAATGTCCTAGGCCTTCACATTCACTCACCAGTCACTCACTGACTCACCCAGAGCAACTTCCAGTCCTGCAAGCGCCATTCATGGTGAGTGCCCTATACGGGTGTATCATTTTTAATCTTTTATACTGTACTTTTACTGTACCTTTTCTATGTTTAGGTATGTTTAGATACACAAATACTAGCCATTGTGCCACAATTGCCTACAGTATTCAGTACAATAACATGCTGTACAGGTTTGTTACAGGAGCAATAGACTATACCATATAGCTTAGGTGTGTAGTGGGCTGTATCATCTAAGGTTTGTGTAAGTACACTCTATGATGTTTGCACAATGATAACATCGTCTAAAGGCAGAGTTCTCAGTATGTATCCCTGTCATTAAGAGATGCATAACTGCATAATTACAGTTAGGATAAATAAGTTCGAGAGATCTATTGTATAGCACAATGACTATAGTTAATGATGATATATTGTATGTTTGAAAAATGTGGCCAGGCTCAGTGGCTCACAACTGTAATCCCAGCACTTTGGGAGGCCGAGGCAAGTGGATCACTTAAGTCCAGGAGTTCAAGACCAGCCTTGGCAACATGGCAAAACCCCATCCCTACTAAAAATACAAAAAAAAGTTAGCCAGGCATGGTGGCGTGCACCTGTAATCCCAACTACTTGAGAGGCTGAGGTGGGAAGATCACTTAAGCCTGGGAGGCAGAGGTTGCAGTGAGCCAAGATCACACCACTGTACTCCAGCCTGGGTGACAGAGCAAGACTCCATCTCAAATACAAAATAAAAGAAAAAGAAAAAAAATGCAAAGAGAGCAAATCTAAGTGTTCTTATCACAAAAATGATAACCATGTGAGGCAATGCATTCGATTTAACTGTTCCACAATGGATATATACTTCAGAACATCATATGGTACATGACAAATGCATACAATTTTATCTGTCAGTTAAAAATGTCCAGAATAGGCAAATATAGAGAGATAGAAAGTACACAAGTGATTGCCAGGGCCTGAGGGGTTGTAGGGAGAGGATGGGGGCAGAGAGAAACAGGGAATGACTACTAATAATTATGGAGCTTTTTGGGGGGTTAAAAGAATGTTCTAAAATTGATTTTGGTGATGGTTGCAAACTGCAAACATACTAAAAACCATTGGATTGTACATTTTATTTTATTTTATTTTATTTTATTTTATTTTATTTTATTTTATTCTATTTTATTTGAGCAGAGTCTCGCTCTGTCGCCCAGGCTGGAGTGCAGTGGCGCAATCTCGGCTCACTGCAACCTCTGCCTCCCGGGTTCACGCCATTCTCCTGCCTCAGCCTCCCAAGTAGCTGGGACTGCAGGCGCCCGCCACCACGCCTGGCTAATTTTTTTGCATTTTTTTTAGTAGAGACGGGGTTTCACCATGTTGGCCAGGATGGTCTCGATCTCCTGACCTCGTGATCCACCCGCCTCAGCCTCCCAAAGTGCTGGGATTACAGGTGTGAGCCACCGCGTCTGGCCCATTTTATTTTATTTTATTTATTTTTTGAGACAGAGTTTTGCTGGTCACCTAGGCTGGAGTGCAGTGGCACGATTTCGGCTCATGCAACCTCTGCCTCCCGGGTTCAAGTGATTCTCCCAGCGCCGACCACCATGCCTAGCTAATTTTTGTGTTTTTAGTAGAGACAGGTTTCACCATGTTGGCCACTGTGGTCTTGAACTCCTGACCTCGAGTGATCCTCCCACCTTGGCCTCCCAAATTGCTGGGATTACAGGCATGAAGCACCGTGCCCGGCCGGATTGTAGACTTTAAATGGGTAAATTGTATGACATGTGAATTATATCTCAATAGTTTTATTTTTTTAAAAAAAAGTTTGAAGGAATTTCCAGTGGACTCCACTGAGAGGTTTGAAATTCTTTGGAGTTCTCACTCTTCATGTGTGCACTGTTTTGTCTCTCTCTGTCTATCTCTATCTGGAAACTAGCAGAACCTTGTTTTTGCCCCAGTCAAATTTTCACAAATTTTTACCATGTGCCTTGCAGTGGACTTGCTTTTATTCATTGTTCTAGACAATTATAAGTTTCTTTCAATCTGGAGACTATGCCTTTTGTTCTGGAAATGTTTCTTGAATTGTTTCATCCATGAGTTACCCTATTTTCTTTCACTGCTCTCTGTTTCCAAATTTCTATTTTTCTCTCTTCTATTCTCTCTCTTTGTATTTTTACTCTTCTTTCTGGGAGATTTCCTTAACTTTTTTTCTTCAGTCCTTCTATTGAGTATTGTTTTTAATAGCATTCTTTTTTTTTTTTTTTTGAGATAGAGTCTAGCTGTATCACCCAGGCTAGAGTGCAGTGGTGTGATCTCGACTCACTGCAACCTCTGCCTCCTGGGTTCAAGCCATTCTTCTGCCTTAGCCACTCAAGTAGCTGGGAGTACAGGCGCGTGCCACCGCACCTAGCTAATTTTTGTATCTTTTGGTACAGATGGGATTTCACCACATTCACCAGGCTGGTCTCGAACTCTTGGCCTCAAGTTGATCTGCCTGCCAAAATGTTGGGATTACAGGTGTGAGCCACTGTGCCTGGCTGATTTTTACTTTAAAAGCATTTTAGAATTGAAATATGCTTCACATAACATAAAACTCACCATTTTAAAGTGTATGCTTCAGTGGTTTTTATTATAATTACTACATTGTGTTTTTAATATAATTACTACTTGCATAATTGCACAAATTACTTCATCCCCAAAATATTTCCATCACCCTGTACCTATCAGTAGTTAGTCCCAACTCCCCTCTACCTTCAGCACTGAAAATCACTAATCTATTTTCTATCTCTGTATTTACCTATTCTGGACATCTTATACTAATAGAATCATAAAATATGTGGCCTTTTGTGTTTGGCTTCTTTCACTTAACATAATGTTTTGAGGTTCATCCATGTTCTAGCGTGTAACAATATCTATGTTATTATTTTTTATGCTTGAATAGTATTTTGTGGTATAGATATACTGCATTTTTTTAGTCCATCAGTTGATGAATGTTCGAGTTGTTTCTCCGTTTTGGCTACTATGAATAATGCGACCATGAACATGTGTTCACTAGTTTTAGTGTTCGCATGTTTTCAATTCTCTTGGGATTTACCTGGAAGTGGAATAGCTGGGTCATATGGTAACTCCATGTCTAACTTTTTGAAGAACTGCCAAACTCTATTTATAGAGTTTTAAAATTCTGCTAACAAGCTTTACATTTCTAAAAGCTCTTTTTATTCATTTTCTGAATGTTTCTTTTTAAAAATTGAATGTAATATCTCTCTTCCCTCTCTGATGATGTCAATACTTTTTTTTTTGAAATTTTCTTCTCCCTGCACAGTCTGTCTTACAAAGTTAATTTAATTTTTTAAAAAAAAATTTGTTTTCCCAAATATCTCAATCCTTGGCCAAGCCAGAGTGATTGTATTCAGGAGTGGGGAACCAGAAAGCTGATTGGATCATGGTCTTGATCATGTGGTGTGGGTGGTCTCAACTTGGAGTTTCAAAGTGATTCGATCGGACATTTGTTGAGAACTCCTAATGTTAGTCATCTTTAGGCCAGATGTTTTCAGAGAAGGACCTTCCAATCTCATCTAGAAGGTTAGGATCTTTCTACCAGTGCTCTGGGGAGTGTTTGTTAAAGACGATTGGAAGTCTCTGTACTTATGATTCGGAACGCCCGTGACCACTGAATCCTCCTCTTCAGGCATGGTATTTCCGTCCTCAAAGGGGCCTGGTACCTCCCAGTCTAGAGACTATTCTATTTCTTCTGGACTCTACACCTCCAGATTTCTGCCAGTATGAGGGAGGGGCAGGCTCCCAGTGGCATGGAATCTAAGGATCAAATAACTCTCAAAAAAGCTTTTACCCATGGTTTTTGAAATTTAGCCCTCTTAACTTTTACTTCTTTTTTCTTTCTTTTTTTTTTTTTTTTCGGATGGGGTCTCACTCTGTTACCCAGGCTGGAGTGCAGTGGCATGATCTCGGCTCACTGCAACCTCCACCTCCTGGGCTCAAGTGATTCTCCTGCCTCAGCCTCCTGAGTAGCTGGGATTACAGTTGCCCACCACCACACCTGGCTAATTTTTTTTGTATTTTTAGTAGAGACAGGGTTTCTCCATGTTGGCCAGGCTGGCCTGGAACTCCTGACCTCAAGTAATCCACCCGCCTTGGCCTCCCAAAGTGCTGGGATCCGACTTTTACTTCTAGTTCTGGCAGTACCTGGTACTTGCTAATCTTGTGCTGTTTGTGAATTTTGGGATGCTAATTGTGTTGATTCTCAGCCTTCCTCACTCTGTGGGCTTGGGATTTGGCTCTCGTAGTCCTGCTGGATAAATTTGGTTTCCAGCTTTCAAAACGTGTCGATGCTGTCTCATTTCTTGTTGCCCTACCCATGTGTTAGTTAAAATCATTTGCTGTTGTTGTAATGGAGTTTTTGGAGGATGCAGAATTAGCTGTATGTTTTCAGTCATTCATGTTAATCTAGAAGTCTCCAATCCACCTTTCTAAGTAAATAAATCAGACATTTTTATTTCTATCCAAATCAGTCATGGTCTAATCAGGAGACAGAAACCACTATACTTATTTTAACAGATAGAATTTAATATAAATAATTGTTAGTCAGGTATAAAGAATTGTTAGCATAGTGACTGAGAAAGCTCAAAGAGAAGACACAGCTATTATGGAGATAGAAACTTCAAGAAGCAGCTACCACCCCTAGGCCCGAAGCCCTGAATTACTAAAACTCTGAAACTTGGAAAAAGAGCCTCAGGCAGCTGAAACTCAGTACTCTGAGGAGGAACCTGATAGGCTGGGGCTGGTGTTTCTCAGGGAGCATGATGAGGCCGAACGCAAGTGCTGGGACACTGGATTCCACTGTTCCTGGACTGAATTGCTGCTTGGGAATGAGGAAGAAGCAACGTGATACCAACAGGCATTGGAAGATTGTGCCACTCTCCACTTCCAGCCTTGAAGTCTCCTCTAAGGACCCCTATTCTCTGAGCCTAAAAAATCCACCTGGCAGGGGAAAAATGTGGTTTGAAGAGCCCGACTCCAGCATCACAAAGCCAACCAGAAGTGGGACTGGAAGCTGAGCACCCACAGCTTAGTAATTGGTATGGTCTACCCCTTTGGCTACTTGGATTCGTATGCACATGACTCAACTCACTTAAATTTCCATACAATCACAAAATTGACTGTTTCTACCTTCCTACAAACAAAGGTATTTTCACTTTCTCCCCCAGTATGAGGAGACACAAAGTTCAGGCAGCAATGGTATTCATATGGGGGAGAGTCTCATGATCTATTCTGGGCTATATATTAACTACTGGTCAAATTCAGTCATAGTCCAATCTGAATATTCTGTTTCTAAACACTACCTTGCTTTTTTTTCCTATAGAGATGAGGTCTTGCTATGATGCCCAGGCTGGTCTCAAACTTCTCGCCTCAAGCCATCCTCCCATCTCAGCCTCCCAAAGTGCTGCGAATACAGGTGTGAGCCGCTGTGCCTGGCCTAAACACTACTTTTTCATCCCTGCTCTCCTCCTTAGTTTCCCTCAGTTGGTTCAGAATTTGGGTTGGGAAGAGGGGGTATTATATATTGACCCTCTTAAACTCTAAGTGTGCTTATCATTGTGTTTATTAGCTATTGTGCCCATTTACATTTGTAAGAGCAGTATAAGTGAGTTCCAGTCATTCCACATCATCCACTTAGTATTGTCAGACGTTTTAATTTTGCCAATCTATGAATGAGAAATTACATCTCACTATTGCTTAATTTGCATTTCCCTTGTGGAGGAGGCTGAGCATCATTTTGCCATATGTTTATTGAACTTGAGTTTCTCTTCCGCTCATGTATTTTTTTTTTTTTTTTTGAGGCAGGGTGTGGCTCTGTTGCCCAGGCTGGAGTGTAGTGGTGCCATCATGGCTTACTGAAGCCTTGACCTCCTGGGCTCAAGTAATACTCCCACCTCAGCCTCTCAAGTAACTGGGGCTACAGGCGTGAGCACCATGCTAGGCTAATTTTTTTTTTTATTTTTAGTAGAGATGAGGCCTTGCTATGTTGCCCAGGCTGGTCTTGAACTCCTGACCTTGTAATCTTTCTGCCTCAGCCTCCTAAAATAATTGGGATTACAGACGTGAGACACTTCTCCCGGCTGCTCATATTTTTTGCTTAATTTTTGAGTTTTTTTCCTTGCAGATTTGCAAGAATTCTTAAAAAAAATTTTTTTGGTGAAATATATTTGAAACATATAGATAAGAAGATAATTTAAGAGATATTCATATTCCCACCATCCAGCTTCATTAAATCTTAACATTGTCTTATTTCTTTTAAAGAAATAAAACATATACATACTTGCCGTCCTTCGGGCCTTCTTCTTCAATCCTGTTCTCCTACTGTTCCTCCCCTACGATAATCACTATCATGAATTTAGTGTTTACCATTCTCATGCAAAGCTTTTACACTGAGCAGGAGTTTATATTCTGGATACTAATCATTTGTTAATTTTATGCATTTTGAATTGCAAATATCTCCTCGCATTCTGTGCTGTGTTTTTCACTTTGCTTATGGTGTTTTTTGATATATGAAAGTTTTTAATTTTAATATGATCATATTTATCAGATGTTTCTTTCATGGTTTGTGCTTTTTGTGGTATAACTTTTCTGTGGATGTATGTCTTATCTGCTTGGTGAATGTCTATTTTTCCTTGAGGAAAGGACCATGATTTTTATACTTTTTTCATCCTCTATAGTCTTATTATTATTATTATTATTTTCTGAGACAGGGTCTCACTCTGTCACCCAGGCTGGAGTGCGGTGGCACAATCTCCTCTCACTGCAATCTCCACCTCCCAGGCTCAGGCAATCCTCCCCAATCAGCCTCCCGAGTAGCCTGGGACCACAGGCACATGGCAGCATGCCTGGTTAATTTTTTATATTTTTGGTAGAGATGGGGCTTCACCATGTTGTCCAGGCTGGTCTCAAACCTTGATACTCGAGGCATTTGGGCCAGATAATACTGTGTTGTGGGAGGATCTGTCCTGAACATTACAGGATGTTAGGTGGCATCCCTGGCATCTGCCTATTAGATGCCAGCAGCACTCCCCTTTTCCACATGGAGCTGTGACGACCAAAAATGTTTCCAGATATCGCCAAGTTTCTCCTGGGGGGTGAAATCACCCCTGGCTGTGAAATACTATCCTAATTAAATGGTCCTAAATTATGGGTTCAGAAATAATGACAGGCTGCTGAGTGATGGAAGGTGCTGACTGGCTTAAGCTAATCTAGATTTATCTCCAGGTTTGGTTCAACCTTTGTTCTGGGTTAATGAATGTTCTAGAAACAAAAAGAAAAGTTAGGTACTAGTAGAAAGGGCAAAGGTGGAAGTGGAAGTGATGCTAAATAATCAAGAAATGGTCACCCCCAGAAAATTGTGATATGAGGCTCAACGTGGCAGCTAAGTGATCATTGCCACCCTTCTCCCATTTTATTTTATTTTATTTTATTTTATTTATTTATTTATTTATTTTTTATTGATCATTCTTGGGTGTTTCTCACAGAGGGGGATTTGGCAGGGTCATAGGACAATAGTGGAGGGAAGGTCAGCAGATAAACAAGTGAACAAAGGTCTCTGGTTTTCCTAGCCAGAGGACCCTGCGGCCTTCCGCAGTGTTTGTGTCCCTGGGTACTTGAGATTAGGGAGTGGTGACGACTCTTAACGAGCATGCTGCCTTCAAGCATCTGTTTATTTAACAAAGCACATCTTGCACCGCCCTTAATCCATTTAACCCTGAGTGGACACAGCACATGTTTCAGAGAGCACAGGGTTGGGGGTAAGGTCACAGATCAACAGGATCCCAAGGCAGAAGAATTTTTCTTAGTATAGAACAAAATGAAAAGTCTCCCATGTCTACTTCTTTCTACACAGACATGGCAACCATCCAATTTCTCAATCTTTTCCCCACCTTTCCCCCCTTTCTATTCCACAAAGCCGCGATTGTCATCCTGGCCCGTTCTCAATGAGCTGTTGGGCACACCTCCCAGACGGGGTGGTGGCCGGGCAGAGGGGCTCCTCACTTCCCAGTAGGCGCAGCCGGGCAGAGGCGCCCCTCACCTCCCGGACGGGGCGGCTGGCTGGGCGGGGGGCTGACTCCCCCACCTCCCTCCCGGACGGGGCAGCTGGCCGGGCAGGGGGCTGACCCCCCACCTCCCTCCCAGACGGGGCGGCTGGCCGGGCAGAGGGGCTCCTCACTTCCCAGTAGGCGCGGCCGGGCAGAGGCGCCCCTCACCTCCCGGACGGGGCGGCTGGCCGGGCGTCTCCCATTTTAATATCCAATAATTAATCCAGAGCCCTCACCAGCAGCTCATCCATTCCAATTTTCTCTTCTCTTTGTCACTCAGGTGTATACATTATAGCAAAATTAGAAAGGAATAACTACGTCAGTGGTTCAGAAAAGATGGCAAACACTGACGTGGTATTAAGTTTTGGGCATATCAGGTGTTCAGTTGTTACTTATCTTGGTCTTTTTAAGATGCCATAACAAATACCATAAGCTGGGTGACTTAGTAACAGAAATTTATTTTTTCACAGTTCTTGGGGCTGGAAGTCTGAAATCAGGGTGCCAGCATGGTTGAGTTCTGGTGAGGGCTCTCTTCCTGGCTTGCAGACGGCCACCTTCTTACTGTGTGCTCACATGGCCTTTCCTTGGTGCCTGTGTGAGTGGAGGCTGGGTGGGGGGCAAGCTGTCTGGTGTCTTTTCTTATAAGGGCACACCCTTGTAAGGGACCCACCACATTAACCTCATCTAATCCTAATTGTCTCCCAAAGTCTGTCTCCAAATACCATCATATTAGGGGTTATAGGACTTCAACATATGAATTTTGAAAGGAACACAACTGAGTCCATAGCATTACTGGTTGGGGCTTTGGTAATTGTAATTCATTTAGAGAAGAAATGTGTATTTTTTTCTGTTATAGATTATCCCCTGACAAGCAAATACGCTTATCATTGAATTTTTATACAGGTCACATTAGAGGAAGCAAAGGGTTTAAAAATGTGCAAGTATGCCAGAAATTTGCAACTTAATCGGTCATAGGTCAGGTTTTTTGGGCATAGTTTTGGAGACAGAATTTGAGCATAGGTGGTTTACTAGAGAGTACATTCGGGAAAAACACCTGTAAGGATGACAGAGAAGCAGGACTGGATAGATGAGGTTGAACTGCGATAAGGTTACAATAAAAGTTTAGCCAATCCTTTGGGTGAGAGCTGGGACGGCTCTGCAAAACTGTCTAAATTTGAGGTAAGGGATCAGCCCTGGTACCAGAGCACTGACTAGGCATTAGATGGGGGCTGCCCCCAGGGAGGGCACAAATTTAATGCTGAGGGCAATTCTTAGAATAGAGGCAGCTTTAAGTCCTGAAAGAGTGGGGAGAAGGGGGCATATCTGGGTAGCACATTACAGCATTGACTATATTACTCAAGCAATCCAAAGGCCAGTGTCTCTAAACTCATTACTGGGACAACAGCACTGCAGTAATCATTCTTTCCTACCAACTGCTTGTTAAGGGTCCAGGTAAGCATATTTTCTATAATTTCAAGGACTTAATAAACAAGTTTTTCTGATAGCTTCCAAAATTGGGTTTAGTACTTGGTTTATTAAACTGGACCGTACTTCTTAGTAATATAGTTTCAGTGGTGTAAGATGCTATACTTTTTGTCATGAAGTCTTTGCCCAAGCCTATGTCCTGAATGATATTGCCTAGGTTTTCTTCTAGAGTTTTTATGGTTTAGGGTTTTACATTTAAGTCTTTAATCCATCTTAGTTAATTTTTGTATAAGATGCTATACTTTTTGGTCAGAAGCCTTCTGAGATAGGAGTGTGTCTTCAGGGGTAGAATAGTGGCAGATTCTCATACCTTCCCCATTGTATCTGACCCTCTTAGGGTTGTAGTTCATACACTTTCTGTGGTAATCTGATGGTCTTGCAGTGTTGATAGTCCTTTGTCAAAGTGTATGGTGGCTCCTGAAATTTTGGTTATAATAACATCACTCCCCAGCAGGCTTTAATTTTTTGGATCTACACAACAGAGGCTGCTTACTTTGAAGCCTATTTCATTCATGAAAATAATTTCACATTCTGAAGTATTGTATTCTGCATGTACAGACTCTTCTGAGACAATCACAGGCATAAATAATTGTCAATCCGAGTAGCTATATTTGTTTTATTTATTTATTTTTTATTTTTTTTCTGAGACAGGGTCTCGCTCTGTCACCCAGGCTGGAGTGCAGTGGCACAATCTCGGCTCACTGCAAGCTCCGCCTCCTGGGTTCAGGCCATTCTCCTGCCTCAGCCTCCCGAGTAGCTGGGACTGCAGGTGCATGCCACCATGCCCAGCCAATTTTTGTATTTTTAGTAGAGATGGGGTTTCACCATGTTGGCCAGGATGTGCTCGACCTCTTGACGTTGTGATCCACCTGCCTTGGCCTCCCAAAGTGCTGGGATTACAGGCGTGAGCCACCATGCCCGGCCTCCAAGTAGCTATATTTGTAAAAAGCACTTCAGATTGGAAATGAGTTTGTCAACATCATGAATTGATACAAAATGGATTATATGTTCATTACAGATAGCAGGAAAGGGAAAATAGGAATAAAAGTAGAGTCCTAGTCCTGTTTATAATGCACTCTAGAAATATCCTCAAGCCAAGAAACCTACAGGTAGGAAATTAGTACCTAGTTTTTGTATTTCCTCCACCCCCGGGCTGCCCCAATAAAACAAGAACATTGGAATAATTTTACAGGGGAAAATCCAAGTTTGAAGATAATATGGTGTCTGCTGAAATATTTCCAAATGTTAGATAGCTCAAGTGGAATACCTAGGAATTCATCTAACCAAGGAGGTCAGAGATCTCGACAAGAAGAACTACAAAACACTGCTGAAAGAAATCAGAGACGAGGCCAGGTGCAGTGGCTCATGCCTGTAATCCCACCACTTTGGGAGGCTGAGGTGGGAAATCACTTGAGCCCAGAAGTTTGAGACCAACCTAGGCAACACAGGAAGATTCTGTCTCTACAAAAATAAAAATAAAAAAATTAGCCAGATGTAGTGGCATAAGCCTGTGGTCCCAGCTACTTGGGAGGCTGAGGTGGGAGGATGGCTGCAGTGAGCCGTGATAGTGCCACTGTACTCCAACATGGGTAACAGAGCAAGACCCTGTCTCAAAAAAAAAAAAAAAAAAAACCCAAACAAACAAAAAACAAATCGACAAGCAAATAATCCAATTAAAAATGGGCAAAGGACATGAACAGACACTTTTCAAAAGATGATGTACAAGTAGCCAATAAACATATGAAAAAAATGTTCAGCATCACTAATCATCAGAAAAATGCAAATCAAAACCACAGTGAGATAGATCTCACACCAGTTAGAATGGCAATGATTACCAAGTCAAAAAAGAACAGAGGCTGGTGAGGCTGAGGAGAAAAGGAAATGCTTATACACTCTTGGTGGGAATGCAAACTAGTTCATCCACTGTGGAAAGCATTTGGATATTTCTCAAAGAACTTAAAACAGAACTACCATTCACCCAGCAATCCCACTACTGGGTATATACCAAAGGAAAATTATTCATTCTATCAAAAAGACATGCACTCATATATTCAAAGCAAAGATAAGGAATCAAGCTAGGTGCCCTTCAACAGTGGATTAGATAAAGAAAATGTGATACATATATACCATGGAATACTACATAGCCACAAAAAAGAATGCAATAATGTCCTTTGTAGCAAAATGGAGCTGGAAGCCATTTTTCTAAGCAAATTAACATAACAGGAAACCAAATATTGCATGGTTTCACTTATAAGTGGGAGCTAAACACTGAATACACACAGACATAAAGATAGGGAACAATAGACACTGGAGGCTACTAGACGGGAGGGAAAGAAGGGGGAGTGAGCTGAAAAATTAACTATTGGGTACTATGCTTACTACCTGGGTGACAGGATCATTTGTAGCCCAAACCTCAGTGTCACACAATATACCCATGTAACAAACCTGCACATGTACCCCTTAATCTATAATAAAATTTGAAATTATATAAAAAAGGGAAAGCTCAAGTTGTTTTGAGGTATAGAAACTATTGGGCTAATTTTATTGAGGAATTGGGGAAATTACTGTTCAGTTTGCTTTAGAACAAAGAAAGTGAATGATGTAATAGTTTAGAGGCAGAATGACAGTGATAATTCAAGACCTTATTCTGGGTTCATCTCGGAATCACAGAGACATTGTTTGACTGAGCTTCATATCACAGTGGAACAGAGAAAAATTCCCTCCAAATTATGCTGGGTTTGTGTCTATTAAAAAGAACTGCTTGATGATCTCGACGGAAGATTCCTTCTCCATAGGTACAGTGTTCATAAGAATGTTTTATGAAAAATTCATGTTGACAAACTCTCACACTTAGCTTCCCACAGAGAAAATTTTGCATATATTTCTAAAACAGTTCAAGTTCTCTCTCTCTCTCTCCCTCTCTCATGATTTTTCATACTCTCTTAGACCCAAAGCTCTTTCTATACAGCCTATAGTCCTCTGTTCTACCAGCTGAGCTATCAAAGGGTGCACCCAAAGCTCTTTCTTTTGGGAGAGTCTCCTTTTTGCATTGCATAGCTCCAAGAAGCACCATTAGCATTGCAATTTATGTGGCAGGCTACCCAAATTTCCACATTCCCATGTCTTGTTAACCCCTCATATGCTGTTTCATTTTTCTTCCTTTTATTCTTGATACTTCTCTCATCTTTGGTTTTGATGAATAATTCACAAATGCAGTGTAGTGAGAAGCCAGGTGGTGATTAAAGCATTGTGGTGGATATTTGTTAGTTGACAACATTCCTCTATTCCTCTATTTCCTATAGGAGACTTCAAATTTCCTTCACTTTCAGCCAGATATTTTTGGGCAGAACTGACCTACTCCAGGGACAGGTTCTGACAGTCAAATGCATAAATTTATTAGCATATTCCTTTTCCCTGACCTCAATAATTGATTCAAGGATAGATGTATTACCCAATCAAAGCTAATTAGATGGAAGGAGATTTGCTAGGACTCCTTCAACTTCTGTATGAGGCACTAGAAGTGATTCATTCCTTCCCACTGCATATAAAAAAGGCGCTAGGCAGTGAATAGAATAACAAATCTCTATCTTCATGGAGCATAGATTTTACTGAGGGAAGCAGGCTGTAAACAAGATATATTAGATGGTGTCCAGAACTATGGAGATACATAACAAGGAGAAAGGGGAGTGCTTTTTTTAAAAGCTGTTTTTGGTAGGGGGGTGGTTCAGGGAAGATCTTATTGACTTTTGCTCATTGACTAAAGACTTGAAGGAATGGGGCAATGTTTGGGGAAAAGCATTCCCGGCAGAGGGAACGACATATGCAAAATCCCTGAGACAGGAGCATGCCTGGAATGTCTGAGGAAGAGCTCTGAGGCCAGAGTGGCTGGAGCCAAGTGAACAAGTGATATGGGGGTCAGAGGTAACAGGAGGAAAGATCTCCACAGGGCTTTGTGACCATAAGGAAGACTTTTACTCTGAGTGAAATGAGGAGCCGTTGGGGGTTTTAAGCAGAGGAGTGACATGATGTGACTTAAATTATAATAGGATACTCTGGCTGATGTGTTGAAAGGGGGAAAGGGTGTGTGATGGTTCATTTTTTTGTGACAACGTGACTGGTTAAGGGATGCTCAGATAGCTGATAAAATGTTTCTGGAAGAGATTAGTATTTGAATTGGTAGACTAAGTAAAGAAGGTCTGCCCTCACCAGTGTGGGCAGATTGACATTGAGGACTTGGGTAGAACAAAAAGGCAGAGGAAGGGCAAATTATCTTGGGAAGGGTGCACCACACCTTTTGGTACATGGAGTTGACTATAGTCAAATTCATAGGAAGTCCATAAAGTTTAAAAGAGAACTTTATTGGCAAAAGTACCAGTACCAACTAAAAGGCAGAGGAAGGGCAAATTCTCTTTTGGAGCTGGGACATCCATTTTTCTCTGTCCTTGGACACCAGAGGTGCTGGTTCTTGGGCCTTGGGACTTCAGGACTCACACCAGCAGCCCCCCTGGTTCTCAGGGCTTTTGCCTTGGACTGAGAGCTACACCATTGGCTTCCATGGTTCTCAGGCCTTCAGACTCAGACTGAATCACACCACTGGCTTCTCTGGTTCTCTGCTTGCACACAGCATATTGTGGGCTCTCTCAACCTCCATAAGTGCATGAGCCAATTCCCATAATAAATTCCTAGTCATATATCTATATATATTCTATTGGCTCTGTTTCTCTGGAGACCCTGAGTAACACAAGGTGGAAGCTGGGAGAAGAAGGGATAGTGAATGCTCGGCAGTTATGATATCTATATATTGAAATATTGGTTCCAATTTTTCACTCTTAACAGAATTGGAAACAGAGAGATAAAGGGAGGCAAATCTTGAAAGAAATTGCGAGTGCACCACACCTTTTGGCACGTGGAGTTGACTATAGTCAAATTCATAGGAAGTCCACAAAGTTTAAAAAAGAACTTTATTGACAAAAGTACCGGTACCAGCTAAAATAGACATTCTACAAGATATAAACAGATTATTGGCCTCTAATTTTCTACAGGCAGAAAGCAGGTTGAAGAACCCATTTATCCACCAAAAAGGGCATATTCTCTAATGTCCTTTGCAAGTGACTAAGGAAGATGAGGGAAAAAGAATGATTCCCTAGAGTGTAGAACAAAGAGCTGTGGAGGATAGACTGGAAAGTCATTTTTAAGGAGCAGAAACAGTGCCTAATCATGAAACACAATTCCCTCCAATGGAGGAACCTGACAACCATTGTCCAATGAGTTTTCCTAATTGTTATGGACCAGTGGCTGTGATCTGCTTCCATTTCTCCCCTTTGTGAATAAGAGTATTTTTTTGTGGTTATTATTGTCTCTATTCCATCATTTGTTGTATGTTTGGTATGTGATAAAAAGATGCTTGCTCTTTTAATTCATAGGTCTCTATATCAAGAAGGGCTATATCTGGACCTGATGTAGATCATGAGATCCTGGATTTCAAAGATGTGATGGAACTTTTAGGGGTTTTGGGATAGGAGTGGGTCAATTTTTGCATGTGGTAAAGACATAATTATAATCAAGAAAGCAGATCGTGGTAGATTAAATTACTGGTCGCAATTCTTCACTACCCTGTAGTAGTATTATGCACACATGAAGCCTTTGCTATTGGTGAACAGTGTATTTCCTCATCCTCCTCACTTTGGGCTTCATTAGATGACTTTCTTTTGTATATGGGATGTCAGTGGAAGTGATATGAGCAAAAGCTTGAAATATTCTTGCATGCTGGGTTTTCCTGCTTGTCTTCTGTGACCAGCATGAGAAGAGCTTGTCCTGGATAACGTCTTTCAGCAGGGGCTCAGAAAAGGACACGTGAAGCAGAGGCACTGTGCTGCAGCTGACCCTTGGGCCCACAGCCTGAAGCAGACCTTCCTGTCAGCCCACAAACCCACAGCTTAGAGCTGACCTGAACCTAACCTTGAGATTGTAGTCCAGCCTAGCTTAGCTACATTACCACTGACCTACAGACCCAGGAGAAAATATAATTGTCTTAAACCACTAACTTTGGAATGGGTTGTGCAGTAGTAGTGAGATAATCACTGGCCAATATAGGTTATTGCAATAATTCACAAGGCTATCATGGGAACTAGGACCAAGGCGGTAACAATGGAAGTGGTTAGAAGTAGGCAGATTCTGAGTATTATTTTATAGGTACAGCCCACAGGTTTTGCTGATAGATTGTATATGGGGTGTGAAAGAAAGTGACGCATTAAAGATGAATCCAAGGTTTTTGGCCTGAGCAAATGGAAGAATGGAGCAGCCATTTTTGAATGGAAAAACTTGGGTGTGGGGGAAGTTTCAGATTTGGGGGCAATATCAGGATTCATTTTTTATATGTTACTTTTGAGATGCCTATAGACATCCAAATGGGGATGTTATGTAGGCAGTTGAATATAGAAGTTCGCAGGCAGAGGAGAGAAAGGTCTGGGAGTGATCATTAAGAAGATTGGATTTTAAAGCTATGAAACTGCAGGAAATCAAGTGAGTGTAGAAATGGGGTCGAAAGACTGAGCCTAAGGGCACTTAGCATTTAGTGGTTGGGGAGTTGAAGAGTTACCAGTGAAGGGAATTGAGAAGGAACAGCCAGAGAGATAAGAGGAAAACCAGATAAGTTCTAATAAAGTGTCATTCATATGTGTTGTTCTCATAATATCACATCCATTGCTCACCTTTTCCTTTTCCTCCTTCACTACCAATATCACTACCATGAGATCTGTGTGTGTGTGTGTGTGTGTATGGAATGCATAGTGCTAGTCACTTTATGTGTATAACAGGAGAATTACTGAAAAAGCTAACTCATCTTTTTTTTTTTTCCTGCTATATACTCACTAGGGAAAAAATCCCTTTTTTCCTCTTCTGATCTCTCCAGGTCAGGGAATCTAAGTCTTTGCATAAATTCTGGGTCCCCCCTTGACAATCCGCTAAGCAGGATGGCTCTGTCTGAGAGGGGAAGGTGTTAGAAGCTGGTGCTTTCAGTGGAATGGGAGGGACGAACAGCTGGAATCCTGGAGGAGAACTGATTTCTTTTCCTCTGTAAGCCTGGAGGAGAGGGGTTAAGGAGGAGAGGAAGGGGGATATTAGAGACTTGTGTTTAGCTAGCATGAAACTCTCTACAGTGGCAGCAAGATTTTGGAAGGAGAAAGGCTGCCTGTATGAGTGGACATTAGAGAATGAAAGCCACAACCTTGAAAGGGTTGGTGTGAATCAACTGTGTTTGAGTGGCGATCACTTGGGGGAACCTCTGTTGCAGAGCCTGATAAAGGCTCAGTGCCAGGGAAGGGCAGTGAGGCACCTGAAATAAAACTGCTTTGCAGAAAGAGCATGTCTAAGCCTAGGACAAGGATCAAAGTGTTTGTAGGAGAGTATTTGTTGTGACAACATAGACCTGGTTTTAGAATCTCCTCAGGACTGAGCCATCCTGGCTTGTTTTTAAGCTTTGGGGGAACACTGGCTTTGTGACTATAAACCAAGAGAGATGTAATCCTGGAACTAAATCATGGGCCATCCACTATGGTGCAGGCAGGAATTGGAACCAGCCAGAGAATCACCTCAGTCTGCTGGACTATGCTACAACATTATGGTAGAAGGCAACAGCATTAACTAAATGGTAAGACTCCACTTTCTACCTTTTGTATTGGGAAGAGAACTGCACCCTTTGGTCTAAGACATGAACCCTCAGTTTCTTGGACAATCAAGGGTGGAGAGGCCTCAAAAAGGAGAGACGGAACTTTCTAAAACTAAGGCACTAGGGATTTGAATGAATCATTGAAAACATAAAAGAGATAAAGCCTCTGAGTTTGTTAAACAGGCATTACCATTGTATATTTAAAAACTTGGGAAGTTTTAACTGAAGAAGGCAGCATGATATGATAGCTTTTGCTTTTTACAATATGATGTTATTAGTCTTGTTCTGTGTGGTTCTGGAGAGCAAAACAATAAAGCATTGTAAGTTGTATGAGTGTAAGAACAAGTATTCACTACTAATTCCCAGCACATGAATAGTACTCAATACATTTTCAATAAATGATTGAATACATGTATGATAAATGAAAACCAGTGGGTTAAACTTACAAGGAGGCAGAGGCTTTTTTTTGTTTTGTTTTGTTTTTGAGACAGAGTCTTGCTCTGTCGCCCAGGCTGGAGTGCAGTGGTGCGATCTCGGCTTACTGCAGCCTCCACTTCCCAGGTTCAAGCGATTCTCCTGCCTCAGCCTCCCGAGTAGCTGGGATTACAGGTGTGCGCACCACGCCTGGCCAATTTTTGTACTTTTAGTAGACATGGGGTTTCACCATGTTGGCCAGGCTGAAGGAGGCAGATTTTTGTCCCAGCTTATCTTTCTAAAAATTCCAAAATTAAATAGACTATCCTTAAAAAGCAGTGAAATTCTTTACCACTAGGAGTGAAACAGGAGCTAAAGAACATTTTTGGGGGATGTGATAGAGAGGATTTATTCATTTGATAATAGTTAGAACACATAACCTCTGAGATCTCTGTAATCTCAGATACTTTAGTTCTATAATTCTAAATCCAAGGGTCTCTATAGATAGGCTTGAGACAAGTGTAAACAAACTCATGATCTCAGAGAAATCTTCAAGTGGCATGTTTCAATGGTATGCTTATTAAACAAATGCTCATGACAGATTTTCACAACAGTAACGAATGTTATTTCACAACATCAAATCTTCCTTCCTCAGGAAGAAATGACATTAATAAGAAGGTTGATGGATTTGGATTATTTTTCATGTTTCCTGGAGGTAAAACCAGTGTCCTCACTTGTTTTCCTCTTTTTCCTCATTTTGAAGACTATTTGTTTTCATTTTCTTTGCCTCCTCTCTGGCTATGTGTCCCCGGAAGGCAGCTTGGATTTTGACAGCAGCAACCTCTTCTTTTTCCTTATCTTCCTCAGAAGAGTCCTTCATCGAAAGGAGAAAAAGTAAGAGACTCTTTAAATATGGCGTAGTTTTGATGCCACAAAAATAAATGGATGAAATTTAATCATTTTAGGGATGCAACTATCTGAGAGCTGTTGCTTCCTGAGGGAATTTCATATATTGTCACATTGTATATGTACCAAATGGCAAATGCCAAAATAGCAGGCATTTTGTTTTGTCACTCTTTTAATATGTCTCTGCAACAAAAGATCATTGCCAACTTTCTTTCCCCTAAAATAGTGCCTATTTAAGTTTCCTGAGCAACAACATTTTTTGGGGGGTTGGGGGGACAAGAAAGAATCCTTGAGGCATGGTAAAAATGTTAAGAAGAAAGAACTGTAAATGTTATGTTTCAAAATAATCACAATTACATATAATGAATTAGAATAACTTCTCAATTTCTCAATGATTAGTTAATCATCGTCATACATTTAAAGTGAGGTGCCAAAGAGAAATCCATTTAGTCCAATAATGTCAGTTTTAACAGGGTTGGTTGAACTTTGGCACATACCCTCTTTTAAAAAAATTGGGTATAAATTTTTAGCTATAAATTTACAGACAGTAAAATGCATGAATCTTCAGCGTACAATTGAATATACAGCTTTTAATATATCTTTTAAAATTATAGAAATGACATGTATACACTTTAAAAACTCAAATGTCACTGGCAGTGATAGTTTTCTCCACCTATCCAAATCCTGCTCTTGGGAGATACCCATTATTATGAGTTGAGTATCTACATCCTTCCAAAATTTCTCTATATGCAAATATATTCATATGGGTATATATATATATATATGTCTTTTTATTTTAAAAATGAGATCATCCTAATCACAGAGTTCTGCAGCTACTTTTTCCATGTAACGATATATCTTGGTTCTCTTTTTCTGTATTATTAGTCAGTGTATAACTCTCCCCATTCTTTTTTTATGACATCATTATATTATACTGATGTACCTTGATTTAATATTTACTCAATCTCATATTAATGGACCTTTGGGTTGCTCAAGCCTCCTATCCCCCTATTATAAATAATGAGACAAATCTAGCTCTTAAACTTTTAAATGCAAACAGAATGGTATAAAATTCTTCGAGATGACATCCTAATATAGCAAACAAATACACTCAAGTTGGAAATCAATGAGATCCCTACTCAAACTCATGAAAACCTGTGTAAAAGCACCTATGAAAGATGTAAGGAAATAAAACTCCCTTCTTCCTTGACTTCCTGTTACATCTTAATGTTAATCTTCCTGTTATATCCTAATGTAATGTTATTTCAGTACAACCCAATGGCAATTGTGGAACAACCTGTAAATCTTATAGGGAAAAGCAATGCATCACTAGGTAGGAAGTAGGGTATTCCTTGAGGGGATATCCATTCTGGCTGCCAGTTCTTGGGCAACTACCTGGGACCTGAGACATAAAAAGGAACTCAGAAGTTTGAACTTCGACATTTTAGAGAGTGAGTTCTTCTTTCTTATGAGGCCTAGTCCACAAGAGTCTGGAGTATGAAGAATATAGACAATGATGTACTGGTAAGTGTTTTAACAACTGGCTCTCCAGAAGAAACAAAGCCCTGATTTGCAGTGTTTGCCATGGTCTTAATATTCTCATTGTGGCTGACTTCAAGTTATTAAAGTGACATTACTGAACAATGGGCCTTTGAGGGTGGACTTCGCTATGTCTTTTTTTTTCTTTTTTTGAGAAGGAGTCTTGTACTGTCGCCCAGGCTGGAGTGCAGTGGCGTGATCTTGGCTCACTGCAACCTCCGCCTCCCGGGTTCACACCATTCTCTTGCCTCAGCCTCCCGAGTAGCTGGAACTACAGGCGCCCGCCACCATGCCCGGCTAATTTTTTGTATTTTTAGTAGAGATGGGGTTTCACCGTGTTAGCCAGGATGGTCTCAATCTCCTGACCTCGTGATCTGCCTGCCTTGGCCTCCCAAAGTGCTGGGATTACAGACGTGAGCCACCACGCCCGGCCTCCGCTATGTCTTGACTGCTTGGATGTAGTACATCAGGCACGAAGGCATTTTTGTAGAGCGTTATGCATGGAAGATGAATAAGCCACATTGTTGTAAAGCCATTATTTTGGCTGTATGTAATTCCCTGTGATTTTCCTTTTGTTATCTCTGAAATTTGCCATTGTGTAGTGGTGACAGCACCAATTAGTGAAAAATTCCCAAAGTGGAAGATGAATCTGAAGGATCATGACTGGGTCTGTGAGTTCTGTCTGCCCTTCCCCATAGGGAGATTTTTCCATCCATTAACAATCTTGAAAAATAAGATTTCATTTTTAAAGGAAAAATGAATTTTTGATCAAGAGAGGCATGGCTGAAAATTATCTACCAGTTAGTTTATCACTGATGTTAATTATCTGGAAAGTAAAGTCATAATTTTGACAATAAAGATAACAGACATTCATATTTGGAGTTCAGTTTTAAATTGGGCAATATCATTCTTTGTAGGAATCCAATAGTACATGAAAAATATTACATACTAAGATGGTGACTGATGTCTCTTCCTCCTTCCCAGATATCTGAGACTCTTCTTGTTTAGGATCACTTTTCTCAGGTGGTTCTTGCTCCTGGACAGATAGGAGAGAGCCACAATTAGCAATGTTTCCAAAATGGCAAAGTCTTGTATCAAACTGCTTAGAAGTAATGAAACATTACTTTAAATTACTGAGAAATAGGGGGAATTAAATACTACGTATTTATCTTTTAATAAGGAAAATACATTGAAACAAGAAGAAATAATAAAAGCTCTTAAGGAAATACGTGTAAACAAATATTAAAGACCAAATAATTGGCAAAAATGTTTGATCTGTTGCTTTTGGAATGTGTGTACCACTGTTTTATGTTAAAAATAAACCACTGTCCTATACTAAAAGTTGATAAGATGATGTAATGAATCCTGAACAAAGTATAAAAAAGAGGATCCAATAGTTTCTAAAATAGGAATAAAATAAATGGCATTGTGTTCCATAATGTGACATCAAATTGACTTTTTAGTGACGTTTATGGATTAAAACTAGTCAGAGAAGTAAGTTTTGCTGTGGAGTTTTGCTTTATGATTTAAATATAAAAGGAGAAACCACCTCTGCCTATTTTGACATGGCTATTTAAGTCTTCCTTCATTGCTAATTCACACCTATGGAAAGAGCTTCTTTAACCCATAAAACCAAAATTTAAGAATATATAAGTTAATCAAATAAAGCCTTTAGAATTAAAAAAAGAAACACCCCAAAATTGCTATGTGATGCAAGGATTTAAAATCTTTCAACATTATTCCTTTGACTTCGATAAACATGAATACAAATAAAACATGAGCACAGAGAATCTAGTAAAATGGAAATACACAGAACACACCCATACCTGCAGGCACAAATGGATGGAACTTCACTTTCAAACTTGTGTAATAAGTGACAGCTCCTTCTTCAAGAAATTCCCCAAATCTACTGGAGAACTTGAACTTTGTTAATTCTTTTCAATTCTAATATCTGCTGTGCTTTGTGGCTAATAGTACTACCTCAGTTGTCTAGAGCAGTGTTCTCAAATTTTAATGTACCTACGAATTATTCTGGTGATCTCTTAAAAATGTAACTTCTGATTTGTAGACCTGGAATGGGGCCCAATACTTTGAATTTCTTCTTTTTCTTTTATATTTGTACAAATTTATGGAGTACATGTACAATTTTGTTACATGTGTGGATTGGTGATCAAGTCAGGGCTTTTAGGGTGTCCATCACCCAAATACTGCACATTTTAGCCTTTAACCAATTTCTCATTATTCTCCTTTCTCCCACCTCTCCTCACTCTTCTGAGTCTCCATTATCTATCATTCCACGTCTATGTCCATTTAAACACATTTTTTCAGCACCCACTTATGAATGAAAACAAGCACTACATGTCTTTCTGTGCCTGGCTTGTTTCACTTAAGATAATGGCCTCCTGTTTCATCCATGTTGCTGGAAAAGACACGACTTCATTCTGTATTATGGCTGAATTGTATTCCATTGTGTATACATCCCACATTTTCCTTATTCATTCATCCATTGGACAGATACTTAGGTTGATTCAATATCTTTGCTATTGTGAATGGTGCTGCAAACAACATAAAAATGAATGTATCTTTTGATGTATTGATTTATTTTCCCTTGGGTAGATACCTAGTAGAGAGATTGCTGGACTGAATGGTCATTCTATTTTTAGTTATTTGCGAAATCTCCATACTGCTTTCCTTAGAGGCTATACTAATTTACATTCCTGACAACAGTGTATAAGAGTTCTCCTTTCTCTGAATCCTTGCCAGTATCTGTTATTATTTTGTCTTTTTCATAGTAGCCATTCTGAGTGGGGTAAAATAATATCTTACTGTAGTTTTGATTTGTACTTCTCTGATGATTAGTGATATTGAGCATTTTTTAATATACCTGTTGGACATCTGTATGTCTTCTTCTAAAAAATCTCTATTCATGTCCTTTTCCAAGTTCTTTTTTCTTTTTCTTTTTCTTTTTTTTTTTGAGACAGGGTCTCACTCTGTTGCCCAGGCTGGAGTGCACTACAGCCTTGACCTGTGGGCTCAAGTGATCCTCTCACCTTAGCCTCCCAAGTAGCTGGGGACTACAGGTGCACACCACCACGTCTGGCTAATTTTTTGAAGAGATGGGTTTCACCATGTTGCGCATGCTAATGTCAAGCTCCTGGGCTCAAGCAATCTTCCTGCCTTGCCTCCCAAAGTGCTGGGATTACAGGCATGAACCACCACGCCCAGCCCTTTGCCCACTTTTTAATCAGATTACTTATTTTTTGTTGTTGTTGAATTGTTGGACTCCCTTGTGTATTTTGGATATTAGTCCCTTGTTGGATGAATAGTTTGCAAGTAATTTCTCCCATTCAACAGCTTATCTCTTCACTCTGTTGATTATTTCTTTTACTGTGCAAAGCTTTTTAGCTTAATTAAGTCCCATTTGTCTATTTTTGTTTTTGTTGCCTGTGCTTTTGTGATCTTAGTCATACATTCTTTGCCTAGACCAATATCCAGTAAAGTTTCTCCTAGGTTTTCTTCTAGTATTTTTACAGTTTTAGGTCTTATGTTTAAGTCTTTAATCCATGATGGGTTGATTTTTGTGTATGATGGGAGATAGGGGTCCAATTTCATTTTTCTACATACGGCTCTCCAATTTTGCTAGCACTATTTATTGAAGAGGATGTCCTTTCCACAATATATGGTCTTATCAGCTTTGCTAAAGATCAGTTAGCTATATGTATATGCTTTATTTCTGGCTCCTCTCCTCTATTACGTTGATTTATGTATCTGTTTTTATACCGGTTCTATGCTGTTTCGGTTACTGTAGCCTTGTATTAGGTTAGTGCAAAAGTAATTGCTGTCTTTTCCACTAAAAGTAACAGCAAAAATGGCAATTACTTTTGCACCAACCTATAATATCATTTGAAGTCAGGTAATGTGATGTCTCCAGTTTTGTTCTTCCTGTTAAGGATTGCTTTGGCTATTTGGACTCTTTTTTGGTTCCATATGAATTTTAGGATTGTTTTTCTCAATTCTGTGAAAAGTGAGTTGGTGCTTTGATAGGGACAGCACTGAATCTGTAGATTGTTTTGAGAAGTATGGTCATTTTAAAGATATTAATTCTTTTGATCCATGAGCCTGTGATGCTTTTCCATTTGCTTGTGTCATCTTCAATTGGTTTCATCAGTGTTTTGTAGTTTTTCTTGTACAGCTTTTTCACCTCCTTGGTTACGTTTACTCCTATGTGTTTTTTAAAGCTATTATAAATGGGATTGCCTTCTTGATTCCTTTCTCAGTTAGACTGTTATTAGTGTATAGAAATGCTACTGATTTTTGTGCATTGATTTTGTATCCTGCAACTTTACAGAATTCATTTAACAAATCTAAGAGTTTTCTGGTGGAGTCTTTAGATTTTTCTAGACATAAGATTATATTGGGAGTCAGTCATGGTGATGCATGCCTGTAATCCCGGCACTTTGGGAGGCCAAGGCAGGATGATCACTTGAGGCCAGGAGTTTGAGACCTGCCTGGACAACATAGCAAAAGCCCGTTTTTACAAAAGACAAAAACATTATTCAGTGTGGTGGCACATGTTTGTAGTCCTAGCAACTTGGGAGGATAAGATGGGAGATTCCCTTGAGCACAGTAGGCCAAGGCTGCAGTGAGCTATGATTACACCATGGCACTCCAGCCTGGATGACAGAGTGAGACCCCATCCCTGAATATATATACATATATATATCAGTGAACAGAGATAAGTGACTTCCTCTTTTCCAATATGGATGCTTTTTATTTCTTTCCCTTACCTCATTGCTCTGGCTACGACTTCCAGTACTATGTTGAATAGGACGGGTGAAAATGGGCATTCTTGTCTTGTTCCTGTTCTTTGGGGGATTGCTTTTAACTTTTTCCCATTCAGTATAATATTAGCTGTGGGATTTTTGTGCATGGCATTTATTGTTTTGAGGTATGTTCCTTCTATGCCTAGTTTGTTGAGTGTTTTTATCATGAAGGGATGTTGGATTTTATCAAATGCTTTTTCTGCATATGGTTTTTGTCTTTCATTTTGTTGATGTGATGTATCACATTTATTGATTTGCATATGTTGAACCATCCTTGCATCCCTGGTTTAAAACTGATTTTATCATGGTTTATTACCTTTTTGATGTGCTGTTGGATTCTGTTTGCTAGTATTCTGTTGAAGATTTTTGAATCTATGTTCATCAGGAATATTTATCTGCAGTTTTCTGTTTTTGTTGGGTCCTTGTCTCATTTTGGTATTAGGGTGATATTGGCCTCATAGAATGAGTTAGGGAGAATCCATTCTTCTCAATTTTTTGGAATAGTTTCAGGAGGCTTGGTATTAGCTCTCCTTTGTATGTAGAACTGGGTAGAATTTGGCTGTGAAACCATCCAGTCCTGGGCTTTTTTTTTGGTGGTGTTGGGGTGGGGGAGATTTTTATTATGGAATCAATCTTGCTACTCGTTATTAGTCTGTTCAGGTTTTCTATTTCTTCCTGGTTCAATCTTGGTAGGTTGTATGTTTCCAGGAATTTATCTATTTCCTCTATGTTTTCTAGTTTGTGAGTGTATAATTGTTCATAATGGTCTCTGATGACCATTTGTATTTCTGTGCTATCAGTTGTAACGTCTTCTTTTTCATTTCTGATTTTGTTTATTTGGGTCTTCTCTCTTCTTGGTTAGTCTAGCTAGCCATTTGTCAATTTTATTTATCTTTTCAAAGAACCAACTTTTTGTTTTGTTAATCCTTTGTATTGTTATTTTAGTCTCTATTTAATTTAGTTTTGCTCTGATCTTTGTTCTCTCTTCTGCTACTGTTTCGTTTGTTCTTGCTTTTCAAGTTGCTTGAGTTCATCCTTTAATTGTTAATTTGTAATCTTTCTACATTTTTGAGGTAGGCATTTATTGCTATCAACTTCTCTCTTAGCACTACTTTTTCTGTATACCATAGGTTTTGTTATGTTGTGTTTCCAGTTTTCATTTGTTTCAAACAGTTTTTTTTAAATTTCTGTCTTAAGTTCTTTTTTGATCCAACAGACATTCAGAACCATGTTGTTTAATTTCCATGTGTTTGTATCATTTCCAAAGCTCCTCTTGGTATTGAATTTTAGTTTAATTCCACTGTGGTCTGACAAGATACTTGATATTATTTTGACTTTTTAAAATTTGTTGAGACTTGTTTTGTGCCCTAACACAATATGGTCTATCTTTGAGAATGTTCCATGTGCTGATGAAAAGAATATATATTCTGCAGTTGTTGGGTAGAATGTTCTGTAAATGTTTGTTAGGTCCATTTGTTTAAAGTCAAGTTTAAGTCCAATGCTATTGTATCAGTCCATTCTCACAGTGTTATGAAGAAATACCTGAGACTGGGTAATTTATAAAGAAAAGAGGTTTAATTGACTCACAGTTCTGCATGGCTGGGGAGGCCTCAGGAAACTTACAATCAAGGCGGAGGGCACCTCTTCAAAGGGTGGCAAGAGAGAGAATGAGAGTGGGGCAAAGAGGGAAAAGCCCCTTATAAAACCACCCCCCCCCCACCCATGATTCCATTACCTCCACGAGATCCCTCCCATGATATGTGGGAATTAAGAGAACTACAATTCAAGATGAGATTTGGGTGAGGACACAGCCAAAGCATATCATTTGGCCCCTGGCCCCTCCCAAATCTCATGCTCTCACATTTCAAAACAGAATCATGCCTTTCCAACAGTCTCCCAAAGTCTTAACTCATTCCAGCATTAACCCAAAAGTCCAAGTTCAAAGTCTTATTTGAGACAAGGCAAGTTCCTTATGCCTATGAGCCTGTAAAATCAAAAGCAAGTTAGTCACTTCCCAGATACAATGGGGGTACAGGCATTGGGTAAATACACCTGCTCCAAATGGGAGAAACTGGCCAAAACAAAGGTGCTACAGGCCCCATGTAAGTCTGAAATACAACAGGGCAGTCATTAAACCTTAAAGTTCCAAAATGATCTTCTTTGAGTCCATGTCTCAAATCCATGGTGTGCTGAGGCAACAAGTGGGATCCCATGGCCTTGGGAAGCTCTATCTCTGTGGCTTTGCAGGGTAAAGCTCCCTTCCTGGCTGCTTTCATGTGTATGCAGCTTTTCCATGTGCACAGTGCAAGCTGTTGGTGGATCTACCACTCTAGGGTCTGGAGGATGGTGGCCCTCTTCTTACAGCTCCACCAGGCAGTGCCCCAGTGGGGACTCTGTGTGGGCTCCGACCTCACATTCCCCTTCTGCACTACCCTAGTAGAGGTTCTCCATGGGGGCTCTGCACCTGCAGCAAACTTCTGCCTGGACATCCAGGTGTTTCTATACATCCTCTGAAATCTAGGTGGAGTTTCCCAAACCTCAATTCTTGACTTCTGTGGACCCACAAACTCAACACCACATGTAAGCTGCCAAGGCTTGGGGTTTGCACCCTCTGAAGCAATGGCCTGAACTGTACATTGGCCCCTTTTAACCAGAGCTGGAGCTGAAGCAGCTGGGACACAGGTCACCATGTCCCGAGGCTGCATACAGCAGGGGAGCCCTGGGTCTAGCTGAGGAAACCATTTTTCCCTCCTATGCCTCCAGGCTTGTGATGGGAGGTTGCTGTGAAGGTCTCTGACATACCCTGGAGACATTTTCCCCATTGTCTTGGTGATTAACATTTGGCTTCTCATTGCTTATGCAAAATTCTGCAGCCAGCTTGAATTTCTCCCCAGAAAATGGGGTTTTCTTTCTATTGTGTCATCAGGCTGCAAATTTTCCAAACTTTTATGATCTGCTTCCTCTTGAATGCTTTGCTGCTTAGAAATTTCTTCCACCAGATACTGTAAATTATTTCTCTCAAGTTCAAAGTTCCACAGATCTTTAGGGAAGGGGCAAAATGCTGCCAGTTTCTTTGCATAGTAAGAGTGACCTTTACTCCAGTTCTCAACAAGTTCCTCATCTTCATCTTAGACCACCTTAGCCTGGACTTTGTTGTCCATATCACTATCAGCATTTTGGTCAAAGCCATTCAACAAGTCTCTAGGAAGTTCCAGATTTTCCAACATCTTCTTGTCTTCTGAGCCCTCCAAAGAGTTCGAACCTCTCTGCCTGTTACCCAGTTCCAAAGTTGCTTCCACATTTTTGGGTATCTTTACAGCAGTGTCTCACTCTCTGCAGTACCAATTTACTGCATTAGGCCGGAAGCAGTGGCTCATGCCTGTAATCCCAGTGATTTGGGAAGACGAGGTGGGTAGATCACTTGAGGCCAGGAGTTTGAGACCAGCCTGGCCAACATGGCGAAAATACAAAATACAAAAATTAGCTGGGCATGGTGGCATGCACCTGTAATTCCAGCTACTCGGGAGGCTGAGGCAGGAGAATCACTTGAACCCAGGAGGCAGGGGTTGCAGTGAGCCAAGATTGTGCCACTGCACTCCAGCCTGGGTGACAGAATGAGACTCTGCCTCAAAAAAAAAAAAATTACTGTATTAGTTTGTTCTTACACTGCTATGAAGAAATACCTGAGACTGGGTAATTTATTAAGAAAAGAGGTTTAATTGATTCACAGTTCTGCATGGCTGAGGAGGCCTCAGAAAACTTACAATCATGGTGGAAGGCATCTCTTCACAGGGTGGCAGGAGAGAGAATGAGAGCTGAGCAAAGGGGAAAAAGCCCCTTATTAAACCATCATCCCCCATGATTCAATTACCTCCCACTGCATCCCTCCCACAACATGTGGGGATTATGGGAACTACAATTCAAGATGAGATTTGGGTGGGGACACAGCCAAATGATATCAGTTACTTTGTTGATTTTCTGTTTAGATAATTTGTCTAATGCTATGAGTGGGGTGTTGAAGCCCCTCACTATTATTGTATTGCAGTCTACCTCTGTCTTTAGACATAGAAATTTTTTTTAATGAATCTGGTTGCTCCAGTGCTGGGTGTGTATATATTTACAATTGTTATATCCTCTTACTGAATTGATCCCTTTATCATTATAAAATAAACTTGTTTGTTGTTGTTTTCTACTGTTTTTAACTTAAAGTCTGTTTTACCTAATGTAACTATAGCTACTTCTGCTTGCTTTTGGTTTCTGTTGGCATGGAATATCTTTTTCCACTTCTTTACTTTCAGTCTAAATGCTTTTACAGGTAAGGTGAGTTTCCTATTAGCAGCATATAGTTGAATCATGTTTTTTTTTTTTTTTTAAAGAAATCCATTCAGCCAGTCTATAGCTTTTATGTTGAGCATTTAATCCATATATGTTTAAAGTTATTATTGATATGTGGAGTTTTGTTCCTTTTGTCTTATTGTTAATTGCTTTCTGGTTATTTTATACATTGTTTCTTTTTCTCTTACTGTTTGTCATTGTGGACTGGTGGAATTCTGTAGTGGGCCCATTTGATTCATTTCTGTTCCTCCTTTGTGTGGTCGCTTTAACAGTGAGTTTTATACTTTCCTGTGTTTTCATGATGCTAACTTCCATTTTTTTGCTTCCAAGTTTAGGATTTCCTTGAACACTTCTTGTAGGGCCAGCCTAGTACAGACGAATGCCCTTGGCATTTGCTTGTTTGGGAAATACTTTATTTCTCTTTCATTTATGAAGGTTAATTTTGCTGGATATAGAATTCCTGGCTGATAGTTGTTTTCTTCCAGCTCTTTGAATTATCATCCCACTCTCTCCTGGCCTGTCAGGTTTCTGCTGAGAAGTACGGTTATTAGTCTGATCGGGTTTCCCTCACAGTTGATGAGATGTTCTCATCTTGCTGTTTTTAGAATTCACTCTTTGACTTTAGACAGTTTGATTTTAATGTGCTGTGGTGAAAACTTTTTTTTTTTTTTTGCATTGTATTTGGGGAATCACTGCACCGCCTATATCTGGATGTTTAAATCTCTTGCTAGACTTGTGATGTCTTCATCTATTATTGCATTAAATAGGTTTTCTAAGCCTTCTGATCTTTTTGTCCTTGCGGATACCAATAATTCAAATATTCAGCTGCTTTATGTTGTCCCAAATGTCTTAAAGGCTTTGTTTATTCTTTTTTATTTTTGTCTTACTGGATTGTTTCAGACCTGTATTCAAGTTCTAAAATTTTTTTGTTCCACTTAGTCTAGTCTATTGTTAAATCTTTTGAATGTATTTTATATTTCCTTCAATAAATTCTTCAATTCCAGAATTTATGTTAGGGTTTTTTTAAAAATAAAAATCTATCACCTTGTAAAATTTTTCATTTATATCCTGAATTGTTTCACTGAGTTCTTTGTATTGGTTTTCAGATTTCTCTTGCACCTCACTGACCATATTTAAAAATCAGTATTTTGAGTTCCTTATCTGAGACTTTAAGAATTTCATTCTGGTTATGATCTATTAGTGGAGAACTGTTGTGTTCATTCTGGGGTGTCATACTTCCTTGTTTTTCATGTTTCCTGTGAGACTCTGAATTTCTATCAAGTTTCCAGTTGATGCCAATAATGCTGATTCCACACAGCCTTTCTCAACCAGCATTCATTATCTGAACCATGGAACACAGAGAATGTTTTGAGAAGCTCTTTTCTCAATTCTCCCAAGGATGGTACCTAACCAGAACCATTCTAGATACAAATCAGGACACTGATTCCTTACATGCAATTAGTGCCTTTGGTTTAGGGCTTAATTTTTTTGAGGAAACTTGGTTGAGAAAGCTGTCTTTGTAAAGCTGCTAAAGAGAAAGGCTCAGACTCTGAAAAAGCTAGCTTTATAGAGAAAACTACACCATTACCACCTTTAATTCTAACCGGTCTTTTGTATCAATAATATCATATCGATGATAATGAAATAATTGGACTAATAGTGTTTTGGTCTACGAAATATCATCTATTAATTCAGTAATTATTTGTGGAGTACCTGCTATTGCTTAGCACTGTGATGCTGAAAACATTTGAAGAATAAATGATGAAATAATTATTCATAACTTTTAAGCACCTTCTTCCTGTTGTTCATCATTAAACTTAAGTGAAATATCTGTACATGACTCAGATACTTTAGAAAAATATTCTCAGCAAAAAATCCCAGCACAATTTTAATTTAATAAGTTTTAATAAGATTTAATAAGTTTTTATTAAATCTTTTTAATAAATAATCTTTTTAATAAAATAAGATTTATTAAATTTTAATTTAATAAGATTTAATAAGTTATTTGTGATGCCTCCTCACATAATTCTCACAATTCTGGGGATAGCCTAATAATTGCTAGCTGTAGACAGAGAGAAGAAATAGCCAAATCCAACAGCTTCAAAGGACCATACCTCGAATGCATGATTGTTATAGAAGCGGTCTTCTACCTTACTCCCCCATTCTGCTGGATCAAAGTTGGTTTCTAAATAATAAAAATATAAGAACTTCAGATTTATTTGAATTCATTAAGGTAAATGTAGAATAGTGACACAAATGTAAGTTTCTTGTTTCAAATTACAGGTTCTTTACTGGCAGTCCAAAATCTTATTGACATTGTGCATAGCGTAGCACTGCAGACATTACCAGTGATTATTAAACATATGATAACCAACTGAACATTGGATGAGCCTTTGGGGATATTTAGAAAAGCACTAAAAACGTAATTTCTGCCTTCATAAAATTTATAATAAAATGGGAAAAAGAACAAATGCCAGTACTTAAATATAAATGTAGACACTTAGAACATGTATTAGTAAACACAGAAAAATGTATAAACCTAAATGCTAAGTTGTCAGAAAGTCTGGAAAAGTGAAAGATGGGAGAAATTTTTTTTAATGAAGTATATTATGTAGACAGTTGACACAGACAAGCAGAGGTATTTATTTTTAAACAATTTTTTTCTTTAACTTTATATTATAAAAATTTCAATACTTAAAAAGTAGATATGATAACAAACTCCCATGAGCATACTGTCTAGATTCAATGATCAACCCATGATTTATTTTATTTATAACCTTTTCTTCTGATTATTTTTCTGCACTTTTTTCTGATTATTTTTAACCCAACCCCTTGCATCCTGTTATTTTATCTACAATTATTTATTTCAGAATGTATCTCAATATATACTCTTTTAAAATATAACCACACCACCATTATCATACTTCAAAATACTAAAAATATTAATAATTCCTCAATATCCTCAACTATTCAGTCAACTATCCAAATTTCTTCCATTGTCTATTTATTTGTTGGTTCAAATCAGGACCCCGAAAACGGGCACACACAGCTCTTTGTATGTCTTTTAAATTTCTTTTAAAGGAAGAGCCCCCAGCCCCTATTCTTTCCTTGCAATTTATCTGTTGATGAAATTACGTCATTTTCCCTTTGGAGTTTTTCACAGTTCAGATGTTTCTGACTATCCCCATGGTGGCTTTTAACAAGTTCTTCAGCCTTTGAATTTCCTGTAAACTGGTAGCTAGCTGTATAGGTTTGATCTAATTCGGGTTTGACGGTTTGATTTTTTTTCTGCAAGTATACTTGATTGGTAGTGCTGTGTAATTCTGTCATAAAATTTATAATATCTGGTTACTCTTTTTATAATTTTTATCGGCCCCCTGATGATCCTTGCTTAGATCATTTCCTTAGGGGTTGTGAAATGGTAATGCTCTAATTTGATCAATACTTCTTTATTTTCTGGAGTACTCATTAAGGAAAACTTTTCCTCATCAACTGTTTGGTTACTCCGAAGAACAGTTGTTACAGAAAAGAAAGGTTAAAGGTTTAGTTCTTTCCTTTCCTTTTATTTACCAGTTTTCAGAATAATCAGTTGGATTCCTAGGATCCTCTCAGGATGACCAATGAGTTTTTTTTTAACCATCACAAATTCACGAATGTTTAAGAAAATGGATGCATTTTAATCCAATGCACGTATTATTCTTATTGATGCTCTAATTATTAAACATTTGTCCAGTGGTAGCTTATTCAGGTGCTCAAATGTTCCTGAGTCCTTTGGAAACACCTCTAGTAACCTTTGATAGCTTCCTTGTTCTCTGGTATGGCAAGACGTTCAGCCTAATCTGGTATATTCCCTGCCAAGTTCATGAAATTAGCTTGTTTTCCAAGAAGCCCTCATTCCTGGGAATGGTATTTAGAGATGACAACCTGGAAGCTGGGTGCTCACTGGTATTGGGTTGGTCATTGTTTTGAGACCTTTAATGTACAGAGCTAGAAAATACTTCTTTCATTTTTTAAAGAGAAAACATGAGGTCACACTGATATTTTTCAACTCAAATTTAAGATTACAGGATTTTATTAACCTCTTTCATTTTCATAATTGTATGTTGTTTTTCCTGCACCAAAAATCTTATTCCTAATAACACTAGCTTAGTTGCTTACTTGCTTTGTTCTACAATATATAATTTCACTATATAATTTCAGAATAACCATACCATAATATGATTAACAATGATTACTGAAAACAGCTTAAGGGTTTTTTTTTTTGAAGTTCATTTTGTTTTTAGGATATATGCACTAGGCATGTACGGTCAAATTACTCCATTTTAATATCACTTGAAATAATTCCTTTCTGTATGGTTATGTCACGCAGTCTATACTAGTTAGGCTCATATGTTTCACTTTGCTTTTACATTTTAGAAATTGCTTTTTTTTTTTTTTTGAGACAGAGTCTCACTCTGTCACCAGGCTGGAGTGCAGTGGTGCGATCTCGGCTCACTGCAACTTCCGCCTCCTGGGTTCAAGCCATTCCCTTGCCTCAGCCTCCCGAGTAGCTTAACAATTTTAAATTTAAAATTATAACTATGTTAAACTTTTATGATTCGAAATTCAAGATATTTTCTATCATGTTCTCTCTACCCTGTTCACTTTCTCCTAAAGGCAAATGTTAAGTTTTCAAAGATTTACTTTTCCATTTAAAAATATAAACAAAGTTGGGCATGGTGCCTCATTCTTGTAATCCCAGAACTTTAGGAGGCGGAGGCTGGCGGATGCTTGAGCTCAGGAGTTCAAGACCAGCCTCGATAACATGGCAAAACCCTGTCTCTGCCAAAACAAAAAACAAAAACTCCCCAAAACAAAAATTAGCCCAGCGTGTTTGTGCATGCCTGTAGTTCCCAACTACTTGGGAGGCTGAAGTGGGAAGGCTGCTTGAGCCTGGGAGGTTGCAGTGGAGCCACGATTACACCACTGCACTTCAGCCTGGGCGACAGAGCCAGAGCCAAACCCTGTGGCAAATACACACACAAACACACACACACACACACACACACACACACACAGTTATGTATTCATATCAACCTCTTTTGTTAAATGATAGCATACTGGCCAGGTGTTGTTTCTCACAGCTGTTATTCCAGCACTTTGGGAGGCTGAGGCAGGAGGATCATCACTTGAGCCCAGGAGTTTGAGGCCAGCCTGGACAACATCATGAGACCCCCGTCTGTGTTTAAAAAAAAAATGGTAGCACACTAAGCACACTTTTCCCCATCTTGCTGTTTTCACTGAATATATCCCGAAAATCACTCCACAGTATCATCCATAGTATTATCGAGAGATAGTTCTCATTTTTGAAAACAGCTATATATATAATTCAGTTGTATAGATGTATTATAGTTTGTTCACTCAAACTCCTGTGGATATTTGGGTTGTTTCTACAAAGAATGATGCCCTGAAAAGTGTAGAAGTGGCACCTCCGGGTCAAAGGTTAAATACATATATAATTTTGGTAGGTATTGCTAAGTTCCCCTCCTGGAAGTTATGGCATTTTGCTTATCTACCAGCAATGTATATAAATGCTTATTATCCCACAGCCTACAGAGCATGTTGGCTTTTTGCCAATGTAATGGAGGGGTTGTTATTGGTAGCTCAGTGTAGTTTTGATTTGGACTTCTGTTATTATGCATTAGTTTGAATATACTTTCATAAGTGCCATTTGCATTCATTTTTGTGTGAATTGTTTGCTCATACCTCTTGCCAATATTTTCTGTTGGATTCTATAAGCCTATAACACACTGTTTTTACAAACTATTTATTTATTAGGGCTATTAACCCATTGGGATATAAATTGCAAATATTTTTTGTTTGTCTTTTGTAGTTTTGTTTTCCTCACAGTGCTTTTTCTCATGTAAAAGTTTACTTTTATGTTGTCAATTTATAACAATCTTTTCTCTAATTGCTTCCGAATTTTTGAAGCAATTAAAGCAATTTAGCTAGCAAAATTTTTTCTTCTCTTATAGAGAAATTCATCCATATTTTCTTCTAGTATCTGTATGGTTTCTTTTAAAAAATATTTATATACTCGACTAATTTGGAATTTGTCTTTGTGTATAAGAAATTGATCCAATTTTATCTTTTTCCTTTATCTTAAAATAACAAAAAGTCCACCTTTTTCCTAGTGACCTGAAATACCATTTAAATCATATACTAACATGTTCCCCATCACAAAAATAAAAATTAAGAGTAGTAACCACCTATGATGAATGCTGGCAAGGGAATTCTTGCATTGTGTGGGAGACTGAGCCAGAGGTCCATAATGATTGTTTTTTTTCCTTTTTGAAGAGACTGAATTCTGATACTTGTATCTTCTAGATAATTTGTCTTTGGTTGACATGGGTGGAATTGGGTGTGGTGCTTACAATTTTTTCAAATGGTTTTACCCATTGTTTATTAGAGAGCTAGTGTCCTGAGACCACTAATCTGAATCATCATTTGCTTTAATTATTGTGATCCAGTAACAATGACGCAAATGTTTTTATAATGGAATATTTCTGAGTTCTAAAATTAAATAAATGACTAAAGACTTTTACTGCAAGAATTTGTAGTTAATCTTATAATAAAATTGATGTTCATTATAATTCACCTCTTTTCCCAAATAATTTTAGTTTTTTCCCCTTCCAACTTTTATTTTAGGTTCAAGGGATACACGTGCAGATTTGTTACATGGTTAAACTCTGTGTTAAGGGGCTTTGGTGTAGAGACAATTTTGTCACCAAGGTAATCAGCATAATGCCTGATAGGTAGTTTTTCAATCCTCACCCTCCTCCTACCTCTGCTCTCACATAGGCCCCCAAGTCTATTGCCAAATGATTTCTCTTAATAACGTTCCTCTTCTAAATATAGTTTATCAAATGTTTTCAGTGGAAAATATTTAAAGTTTCAGATTGTGCAACAGATATTCACCCTGACCGGATATGGAAAAGACCAGCAACATTCAGGAAATTGGCAGAGATTTTGAGCTCTGCTAGGGCAGGGCAAAAAAAGCAAGGGGTGGAGCTATGCAGTGTGTGTGGGAGTTGTTTTAATTCTACCCTTGTGCTAGGTTTTCTTCCACTATAAAATGATTACAATAGAATGTTTGTTTGCTTGTGCCTATTTCTAGTCACCTTTACCACTCTGTTAGAATACTGTAATAAAAAGTAATGATGACAAGAATTTATACAAAATGGATGTTCTAATCAACAATGGCTTTCCAGGGGTTGGGGCAGGGGTCGTGGGAGTGCCCAGGATGGAGTGCAGTGGCTATTCACAGGTTTAATCATAGCTCACTACCGTCTTGAATCCCTGGGCTCAAGTGATCCTCCTGCCTCAGCCCCTGAGTAGCTGGTACTAAAGGTGCGCACCACCATGCCTGGCTTAGGATAGGTTTTTAGTACAAAACTGGTAAAGTCCTGACAGTCATAAACCTTCAAGGTTGGGGATTTGTAAATTTTATTTATAGGAGTGAAGGAATTTTGCCTTGGCTTTCAACCAAATAGTTATTGTTAGTGGGCATCTGGGTCTCTGTGCAGGATGGAATTTAGCATAAAGAATATAAATTACCTTTCCAAACTGGTATTCCACCTTTCAAATCAGTTTGTCTGTGCCGTTATTGCAGAACAGTTTCATATACCCCAGTGAATATCAGTTTATTTAAAGAGTGCAGAATTCTTTTTGCAGTACTTAAAATACTTTCAAATGGAAGGAATCAAAATTGAAAGGAAACCACAGATACTCATCTCAGGAATAACAGTCAGCTGCCAGGGATGCATAGGAACAGTATGCTGGAACGTGGCGAGGGTAGACTGTATGATCTTTTTTTCCCCCACTGATTTCTCCCGAGAAATGTATGCTCTTTTGCAGTTACCTTCCACGCTGTATGTCCGTGAGAAATACAATGAAGACGGTCTGAATAATGAACTGGTAATCTTCGATAATATGAAACGAATTTAAGAGAACATATCAAAGAGGTACATACTGTTTCAAAGAGCAAGAACTGTTATCTGAAACTCCCTGCCTCATAAAAGGCTTTCTGCAGAATGGAGATGGTCTTAAGCAAGTTTTACCATAAACAAATGCTTAGTTTCTTATTTTAAAAAATGACTAATTTTAGAAAGCTTACTCTCTCTTTTCTCTAGAAGGCTCTCAAAATAGGCTGCTGCAAAAGCTGGTATATTGTCCGGTTGCTCTCTCAGAATCTCGCGTGTCAGCCCTTCAAGAAGATTCCCAAATCCTTGTGGAATTCGGTAGTGGGTGTTGGAGAATGGAATCGACATCTTCTTGGTAAGAACTGCCTATGGAACCTAAAGATTCATTAAAGAGTACTGTCTTTAAATTTGTCTGATTTTACTTATATAATCACAACTATGCCAACAAATTATTTCTGAGACTCATACATCTGGACTTGAATTCTTTTTTCCCTAACACAACCCAAGCCCATCCATTTCTTCCAAAGAGTTTTGAAATCTCCATTGTGAATTAGTATAATACAAACACAGACCCATTCACTAGGCCAAATCATTTAAAATCCTGCAAAAAACCCATAATTTTCAATATGACTTTTTCTCTCTTTACCCTTTATATGCTCAAAAGGTAAGGGTAATTTTTGCTATCACACAGGAATTTAGAGAGAATGATTGCTAAAAAGTTAAATTCATTGTCAATTGCTGAGAAGACCTTCTTTGAGGTCTATTTTTTTTTAAAGAGTAGAAATTAGTCCTGGTTCTAGAAATTAATTTGTTGAATGAAGAAGTTGCACAATCTTTCCCCTTGCTGCCACTTCTGAAGCATGACCCACAATGCTTCGAACACCTTCGTACTGTGGAATGGGGTTGTGCGTGCGTGTGTGTGAGGGAGGGATGGGATGGGATGGGGCTGTGTGTCATGATTTTGAAATCCCAGCCTCTAAAGTTTTAGAATTCTTATATTTTTCGGTTTCTTCTTGATCAGGTTGTCTCTTTCTGTCTTGAAATACAAGGGCTAGATTAAGGGTAGCTGCTAAGCAGCGGGCTGAGCTACTACTGAGTATGAAAAGAATCCTCCGGGACCTGGCCTGTTAATGTGAGAGTGTGCGTCAATGCGGAATAGAGGCGGAGGCCGTGGTAGGGGTCCAGGTTGGGAGAACTGGACGGTTTAATGAGGCTCAGACTATGGAGGGTTCTCGTTTCATCGCTTTTTTTTTCTTTGAGAGGGGGTCTCTGGCCTCGAACTCCTGGGCTCCAGCGATGATCCCGCCTCAGCCTCCCGAGCAATTGGGATTACAGGCGCGCGCCACCACGCCTGACTCCTCTCTTTTGCTTTTTCTGAGGGAGCAGTAGATGGGGGTATCGAACCATTCTAGAGTGGTGAAAAGAGCTGGCGAGATTCTGAACCAATGTGGGCAGAGGAGGGCGGGCGGAGGGGGCAGACGGGTCTAGTCGGGGGCGGGATGTTGAGGACCTGGGATTTCAGACTCGCGCAGAATGGGCTGCCTCGGCTCCCAAACGGCCCAGGGCTCCGAGGCTGTGTCTGGGATGCTGAGAGAATAAGAGAGACGAAGGGAAAAGGCTAGGTCTTGGTATCGGAGAGGAAGTGGGGAAGCGGCCTCACCTCCTTTCTCTCCGAGCTGGTGCCGCCGGTTCCGGTTGTTTTTCTAGTTGCTGGGTAACCGTTTTTTCTTTAAAAAAAAAAAAAAACTACGGCGGCCGAGAAGGGGCGAGTACAGCCCAGTCCTGAGGTCGCGGGAGGCTGCGAGGACTGCAAAAGGGTGGAGTCGGCCTCGCCCCCGCCCAGGCCCCGCCCCTGCCGGGAACCCACTTTCCCAGTCCTAGGCGGCGGTCAGATCCTTGCAAGCATGGTCGCGCCGGGGCTTGTACTCGGGCTGGTGCTGCCATTAATCCTGTGGGCCGACAGAAGTGCAGGTGAGGCGGCCCGGCTCGGCCGGACCCCTGCCCCTCAGCCTGTGCGGGCTCCGAGACCCCGTGTCCTCTGCGGGACACGGATCCGCGCCCCTTTCTCAAGGTCGACGAAGGAACCTAGCTAGGCTAGGGGCTCGCGTCTCCGACCGAGGCCCGGTCTGCAGGAGTCTGCTGGGTTGAACCCCGGCCTCTCCACTTTCTCCACCCCCCACTTACCATCCCTGACATGCAGCCTGTGAGCAGGGAGAAAGTGCGGCTTGTCTGAGTGGGGAGGCCCAAATGTGCCCAGAAAGAGGCCTTCGGGGTCCTGGAGTAACTGCAGGGGAGCTCGGAGGGAAGGAGGCGAAGCTAGTTAGGTAATATTTGGAAACAGGTGACTGAATCTTCCAAAACATTTCAGCGCTACCCCCTCAGTGGTGCCCTTGGGGAGGGTTTGCTTCAGGCGGGGTTCCTTAGGGGAATTAAATTTTACTCGTTTAAGTGGTTATCAGGGCTAAGAAATACAACCCCCTCACTAGCTCTGACTATTTAAGGCTCAGTTTTGATTTCTGGTACCGCTTACAGATATTGGTGGTGGGAAAATGTGAGTGGCATAGGGGAGGCTGGTGGCTCCCTTTGGCTGTTGCGCAGGTCAGATCTTGCCATTCGAATACCCTAGGCTGGACACTGGGTCACAGTATGGAGAAAGCAGAAGGTGCAATCTGTCTGATAATGCAAACTAAAGTGATAATGTTGGATTTCTTCCTTTCTGTTTCAAAACACTCAAAGAGTGGACCCCAGAGATCCCTGTTAAGAAATGATAGTTGGGGTAGGAGAACAGCGTGCAGAAAAATGACTCCTGCTCTACCTGAGAGCCGGAAAAGTACCTAGATTCAGACAAACTGCAGCCCATAAATGATTGTTCAGAGTCTAACAAAAGTGCAAAATGCTAGCACTCTGTATGCCATTTCCTGACTCTTATCTCCACTCAGTGACCTTTGAGATCCATCTTATGAGGTGGGGAAAAGATATTTTATTAGGTTTTCAGTTAAAGGCTGTTTATTTTAGTGTCAGTATTTTATCTCCTCCTTTGGGTCTTATTGTTACATCACCTTCATTAACATTGATCACATTTTTCATTCATTAGTACTCTACTTGGTTGCGTATCCTGACGTTTTTCCTTTAAGTCATTCTCCCTGTGCCCATGTTTACCATGTAATGCTTGAGATGTACAAAATTATATGTAACAATGACACAATAAAATGAACACCCATGAGAGCAGTACCCAACTTAAGAACTAGAACATTGCCAGTCTATTGAGCCTGCCATTGTGCTCCTCGCCAATGCATCCGGAGCTCCTCACCAGAGGCAACCACTGCCCTCTCTTCCCCATAACACTAATTCCTGTTTTTCTACTCCAGCCCCAAATGAAGGAAAAAACTGAAGACCTAAAAAATCCAAATGTTGGCTCACACCTTTAATCCCAGCACTTTGGGAGGCTGAGGTGGGCGGATCACTTAGAGTCAGGAGTTCAAGACCAGCCTGGCCAACATGGCGAAACCCCGTCTCTACTAAAAATACAAAAAAATTGGCCAGGCGCGGTGGCTCATGCTTGTAATCCCAGCACTTTGGGAGGCCAAGGTGGGCAGATCATGAGGTCAGGAGTTCGAGACCAGCCTGGCCAACGTAGTGAAACCCCGTCTCTACTAAAGATATCAAAAAAAAAAAAAAAAAGAATTAGCCAGGTGTGGTGGCACATGCCTGTAATCTCAGCTACTCGGGAGGCTGAGGCAGGAGAACCGCTTGAACCCCAGAGGCGGAGGTTGCAGTGAGCTGAGATCGCACCACTGCACTCCAGCCTGGGTGACAGAGCAAGACTCTGTCTCAAAAAAACAAACAAACAAGAAATCAAATGGTAAATGTATGTGTCTTGTGTTTGGCACAAGGAATGACCAGCCTTGCTCTCTTTCTCATTCTCTCTCTCTTTTTTTTTGTCCATTGCACAATTCCTTGATGTTCCACTGTCTACTCTAATGAACTTAGAATTTAAACTTTACAAAGATGAGGAATATGATTTTTTCTTTGATTTGCCACAAGTATCTAATTTCGGCAAAGTGGGAATTTCAACTTTGGAATCAAGTGACTTGTTTTCTAACTTGTCATAAACTGTGTGATTTGAGACCAAAGAACATTAATGTTTGTGGTGTGTTTAGCACTGTGCCTGCCACAGGTAAAGTCTCTAGTAGAATGGAAGCTCCCTGTGGGCAAGGATTTTTGCCTGCTATTATTATTATTATTTTTTCATCGTTATATCCCCAATGCTTAAAATAGTAGGCATCAATAAATATTTGTTGAATTAACTAATGAACATGCAAGCTATTTTAAAAAATTGTTTCATCTGCTTTGGTCTCAGTTACTTGATCAGTAATATGATTATACTTCTTGATCAGTAAGTAGCGTGTTTATACTACGATTATGAAGATCCTTTCCACCTCTAAAACTCTTTAGCCCAGCACAGAGTCATCCACAAAGATGTTCACTAAGTGTATGTTGGTGAAAACAGACAGACTTGGGAAGGTATTTCCCCTAGCCTATGGACTACTGACTGCACACAAATGTGCAAGCTGCAGCCATTCCCCTACCCCCACCCTCTCTCTACTTAGCTCTTATTTATGTCTGTGGTTTTCCTTTTTTTGGTTCCATATGAAGCACCTACCCAAGACAAGGCCCTCCCACACATGTGCCTCCCCCTTCCCTCCAGCAGGCTGCCAACCTGCTTATGCAATTCTGGGGCGTTGTATTCTTTTCTTAGAGCATTTTGCTCATGGTAACCGTGCATCTCCAGCCCAGTAGGCCTTCTGGGTGATCTTTCATTGTCATGTAGGTTTCTTGATCACACTAGCTCATAAGAGAGCGCTGAGGATTTTTAGGGACTGGGCTGTTATTCCAAGAGCAGGATAAATAGGCCACGGAGCTGTGTAGGCGACTCCATTAGCTGTGCTGCCCTGTTAAGTATAGCCGAAGGGGCCCTCATCATTTGTAGCTTCCAGGGAGGAAAATGTCAGCCTTGTTAATTCTGGTTCTCTTTTCTGCCTATCATTTTTGTTTAAAATGCTTAAAAAGATCTAAATTTTGTTAATTATTTTAGGTAGTTTGGGGTCTGTTTTATTCAGATAAATTGGGATATAATTTGTTTTATTTTTTTCCTTGTTAAGTTTTGATGAGGAACACGCTGAGATAATTTGGATGGATGTTTGTATTAATAAAATACTTTTATATAGGCTGGATGTTAAAAATAGGAATGATGTCGTTAAAGCGAGTTCTTATTCAGTCTTGTTAGTGACTCTCTAGAATAGAATCCAGTTTCTAGTGTGCTTTCTCTTGTCCTTTTAGTATAATTTAGCTTGTGGAATGGGTAAAATTGTGACAGAAGACCTTTGTTCAGACATGTTGACCTTCTATCTCTCACTGACCTTATTTATGTGTCTTGATTTATTTGAATTTACCTGAGAAGGAAGCTGACTTGTCATGAGTATTTATAAGGGCTTATTTAGAATTTTTGATGCAGTACACTGGGTTGTCAAAAAACCATGATAAGGGGCATTATTTGAAGGAAATTGGCATTAGTGGCATAGAAAAGGGGAGATAGAGAAGGGGAAAAAGATTAGGGAAGGCTGTTTGGAGAGAGGCATGCTGTTTTATTCCCAGTCATTAGGAGCAGGTGTGGTAATGGAAAGTAGGGAAAGGAAGTGGTTTATTTTTCTCATAAACACCATCTATAGGTGCATGAAAGGAGCATTTTAGTGATTTTGCGGGAGAGAGCCCAGCGTTAGGGCCAAGCCCAAGAGCAAAAAAAGATCAAGAGCTCTGAAGGAGAGGGAAGACTATGGTCCATTGGTTGCCTTGGGCTCTGGGAATTTTCCTTAGTGGTCATCATGTGCTATGATGCATACTGTTGGAAACTGTTCTTGTTATGTTGCTTGCCTAATTAGGAGGAAGAAGAGCCAGTTTTAGACGATTAAAGGGACTTAGTATGTTAAAATTCTCTTGCATAAAGACTGTATGTTCTTTGCTGTTTCACTTGATCCAGTTGGTGCTATATCTCTCCGATGATGCTTCCCTCAGTGTTTGTTAAATTTTTTAGGTATTGGTTTTCGCTTTGCTTCATACATCAATAATGATATGGTGCTGCAGAAGGAGCCTGCTGGGGCAGTGATATGGGGCTTCGGTACACCTGGAGCCACAGTGACCGTGACCCTGCGCCAAGGTCAGGAAACCATCATGAAGAAAGTGACCAGTGTGAAAGGTAAGGCAGCCCATCTTCCGTTCAGCTATTGCCCTCTTCTGCCACCTGCTGGATTATCTGAAAATGAATGCTAATGCTGTAGCTCACATTATCCATCCGTCCCTACATCCGTCTGTCCATTCATCCATAAAAGTTATTTGAATATTTGCCATGTGCTTAGGCACTGAGGATACAAACAAAAATAAGACTGAGTCAAAGTTCCTGTTCTCAAGGAACTTACAGAATAATGGGAATAGATACCAAGTTATATAGGACAGCGTGATGAATGCTATGATGAAGGTACATGTGGGGTGTCTTGGGGTACAGAGGAGAAACATTGAACTCAGACTGGGTGGTAAGGGAAGGTTTCCACAGAAGATGGTATTTGAGCTGAATCATATATAGAGGAGAGGCAGTATGGAGGAGAGGGTAAGAACTCTGGTAGTCCTTGCCCAACAACCTTCTTACCTTCTTACCTTAAAAAGTCTTAAAACCCAAGACTAGCACCATGTAAATCCCATTTCTTATTTTTAAACCAATATATTAGAACCAGCAGTTCTTTGGATTTCTAAGTCAGCATCATTTACTGAGAGTGCCATAATGTAAGAATGTAAGACTTCATATTGGTAGTCTAAGGCTCTGGAAGTCACTGCTTTCAGGCCCTGATTCTGTCATTTATACGGCTGAATAATCTTGGACATGTAATATAACATCTCCATGTCTCAGTTTATATGTGAAATGGAGATCGTCATGATACCTACAGGATTACTGTGAGAATTAAACGAATTAACACTGGTAAAGACTTGTAACAGTGCCTGGCACACAAGTGCAGAGTCAGTTTTAGCAGTCATGATTGTAACTATTACTATTATTATTTAGTCAGTCATTCAAATATCTATTGAGAGCCTACTATGTGCCCGATACTGTGCTAGGTACTGGTGATACAGTGATGAGTAAAACAGATATGTCCTCTTCCTTAATGAGGCATGCAGGTTAGACAGGAAGATAGTAAGCAGTTATCGTTAAGTGTGATAAGTGCCACAGTGAGGAAGAACAAGGTGCGATGGGAGTGCTTTGTAGAGAGTAGGGATAATTACGTAGTCTGAGGCTCATCTTGAGAGGTGAGCAGGGCACACTGGGTAGTGAGAATAGCCTGGCAAAAGCATGGAGGCCTGAGTGTACCTGGGCCATGGGAGAGATGCCAGGCAGGTTGGTTGGTCTGGAACACTGGGGGGTGTGTGACTGGGCAGATGACAGGAGATAGGTTGGAAAGACAGGGAGACTTGTTTGTCATTGCTAAGGAGTGTATGTTTTATTCTAAACGGACAGATTTTTAAACAGCAAAAGAATATGATAGATATTTTAGAAAGTTCGCTGTGGCAGCACTGTGGAAGATGGATTGGAGATCAGTAAGATAGAGGTGGTGGGCAGGCTGCTGTGATATCCAAGCAAGAGATGATGAGGGTTTGACCTCATAGAGTGGCTGTGGGGATGTTCAGGAAGGTGAGAATTAGCAGTTTTCATGAGCAGGGAGATATTACAAAGGAGTGAGTCTCTGTCTAGAAGAGATAAAGATATAGAAGCCGGTGTGGAGGAGGCAAAGCTAGAAGTTATGGGATGAAGGAAGGCATGCTCAGGGCTGGATGTTACAGATAGCGCTATAGCTGTGTGATGTGGAGGTGCGAATGAGACAGATGAGGAGGCTGCTCAGAGGTGGAGGTGGAGTTCAGGTACAAATTGGTGGTTTGAGCAATGGCTAGCATATATATGTGACAGGGATGCTTGTGGGAATTGTACTGGCCCCCGAAAGCAAGGATTGTCTGGTTGGTTTTATCAGTATACAAAACTGATGATCCAATCCCGAGTGATCCAGACCCTGATGCAGTCTCTTCAAAATTCATTTCCATTCAGCAAACATTTAAAAATACTATATGCCAGGCATTGATGTAAGGTAAGTGCTTCTAATTCTTGGGTTTTAAGACTTTTTAAGGTAAGAATGTTGTTGGGTAAACTAAAAGACCGAAAGGGAAGCTTCAGCTGATTGAGACATGCTTCTCTGTTGGATCTAAATGCCGTCAGTGACTTGCAGGATGTCCTGAAAGTGAAGGATTCAAGGGACTCTCAGTGCTTTCTGTTTGTGCTGGGTCACCTTAGAAATAAGGAGCATTGTGTACAAATAATGGCACTCTCAGTAAATGATGCTGATTTGGAAATCCAAAGAACTGCTGTGGTTTAAAAATAAGAAGTGGGATTTACATGGTGCTAACAATTAAGTTACCAATAATATTTAGGTGACAGAGATAACACAGTGCTGTAGAAATACATACAGAAAGCATACAATATTACATAGCATTTCAGTTTAAAAAATCCTTTTGCATTATTTTTAGAGTTTTTCTCCCTTCATGCCTGTTTCAGAACTAATATTTGAGGTGGGCAGAGATGAGGCAGGAGGCTAGGTGGAATGAAAGGTAATAATTAGGAGGGAAGCCTCCCTTTTCCTTTACAGTGATTGTGAAGCTGCTCATTTATCTTGAGTTTAATTTGATAAAAGCCAAGTGAGGGCTTACTATGTCTAAAACACTGAGCCAGAAACCCTAGGAAAGTATAAAGAAGAATACAAATAGTGCCCATCTTTCAAGAACTCACTGCCCCATTCCATCCTTACACATTTAGTAGTTTAGGCTCAAGTAATGCTCCAGCTGCCTCACTGCAAAGGGATGTATCCTTCATTTGTAGTTAAAATAACCAGCAGCAACTTAAGAGAATTGAGTGATTCATGGATACTGATGATAATTTCACAGGAAAAGAGGTTGATGTTATTGGTGGTGGTGGGGACCTATTTATTAGACTTTCCACATTTACTTGGTAGAAAAGGGGAAGGTATTTGAGTTTAGAGAGATCTGCAAACCTGCTTCAATGGGTATCTTGCTTTGTTCTGCCCATCAAGCAAAATAGATGAAGTGTTAATTGGAGTAAAGGAGGTAGACATGTAAGAAATTTCATAGGCAGAAAATGTCTCTCAAAAGAGATACCACAGAGAATATTGGAGGGTGGATTTCTGGTTTAGATTTTAATGAGGACTCTGAGATTTTCAGCCACATTACCTCAATTTGCTGCTTTGTCTGCCTCTGGTAATATTTAACTTATTACCCATAGTCCCCTAGGTACCCAGAACAAAGTAAGATATAACAGCATAAAGGTTTTTGTCCAGCAGACTGACACTTAGACATTGGGAAAATTAATACCTGAGGGATGATTGGCACCATGGTCAGGTACTGGGTTGGTTCAAACGATGTTGTCAAATGATGTAAGAGGATTCTTTCAGACACAAGGAATACGAGCAGGGAAAACCAGGCATATCCTCTCACTTTGACATACATGGTAGGGGTGTGTGTATGTAGGTGATAAAATGAGGGTGTGTCTGTCTATATTTTTGTCATCATGATTGAGGTAAATAGATATATTTTCTCTACCTTAAAATAATACAGAAGCCTAAAACCCTCCCTGCCCCTGGTTGGCATGCATACCAATTTTCTTTTTTTCTTTTCTCTTTTTTTCTTTTGAGATGGAGTCTTGCTCTGTCACCCAGGCTGGAGTGCAGAGGTGTGATCTCGGTTCACTGCAACCTTTGCCTGCCAGGTTCAAGTGATCCTCCTGCCTCAGCCTCCTGAGTAGCTGAGGTTACAGGCACCCGCCACCATGCCTGGCTAATTTGCATACTAGTTTTCTATGCTACATAATAAATTGCCACAAACTTAGGTGCTTAAAACAACACGCTTTTACTATCTCACAATTTCTGTGGGTCTGAAGTCTGGTCATGGTTTCGCTGGATTCTCTACTGAGGGTCTCACAAGGCTGAAATCAAGGTGTAGGCCAGGCTGCGTTCCCACCTGGAGGTGCGAGTAGGGAGTTACCTGTTTCCAAGCTCCCTTACGTTGCTGGCAGAATTCATTTAGGTGTTGAGCTCATGGCAGCACCTCTGCTGTTTCACATCTCTGACCTCTATATCTTCTTTGAAAGAGCTCACCTTATTATGTATGCCAACCCAGGAAAATCTCAATTTTTATTAACTTAAAGTGAAATGATTAGGGACTTTAATCACAACTGCAAAATCCCATCTTTTCCATATAACATTATCTAATCACAAGAGTGACATCTCATTGCCTTTGCCATTTTCTGTTGGTTGGAAGCCAGTCACAGATTCTGCCAGCCACACAAGCATGTGACTTTGGGGTGTCACCTTAGGCTGTGTCTGCCACCACAGGCTATAGTGTAAGTAACTTGCATGAGCAGTTTTATTGATACAAAAGCACTTAAGCTATTTTTCCTTTGCATTCATATTTGATGGTGGAGATGAACTTCAGGTTACAACAGAATAAATGTAGTTTGGTGAGGGGCAGTGTAGGCAGTAAGGCCTTCTTGACTTCCAAGCCAGTTCCACAAACCACTGAGCCACTTTGCAGCCAGTGAGGAACTAGGGTTCTGTTGGGTGGGGGTGGGGGGGAAGTGAACAGGGGCGCTTTTTTCATTTCTAGGTTGTTCTTCTCGGGAAGGGAACGGTCATGGATAACTTTCCTTTTTCTCTTCTTGGCATCAGATTTTGGCACAATAATAGAACAAAATAATTAACATCTGATATGAATGGCAAGAAGAAAAAACAAGAAAGCACTTTATGACTATGTCTCTAGACAAATTATTTTCATTTTTTCCATTGATTGTTTGCTTGTTCTTCCCATTATGAGGTGGGAGTTAATTGGGAGGTGGAGAGAAGGTGGAGACAGAGAGTTTTTCACTGCCCTTGGCTGGAATGTGAGAAGAAGAGCAACAATAAGAAATAGGCCACTAGAGGCCGGATGCGGTAGCTCATGCCTATAATCCCAGCACTTCGGGAGACTGAGGTGGGTGGATCACAAGGTCAGGAGATCGAGACCATCCTGGCCAACATGGTGAAACCTCGTCTCTACTAAAATACAAAAAGAAAATTAGCTGAGCGTGGTGGTGCGCACCTGTAGTCCCAGCTACTTTGGAGGCTGAGGCAGGAGAATTGCTTGAACCCGGGAGGCAGAGGTTGCAGTGAGCCAAGATCGCGCCACTGCACTCCAGCCTGGCGACAGAGTGAGACTCTGTCTCAAAAAAAAAAAAAGAAATAGGCTACCAGAAATGCTAACCCTAGACATGAGAACATAAAGCCCTAGTCAATTTGCATGGCTCTCTTGTCAGTGTAACCCAGGGATGGGGTTTACTTCCTACCATTTAATTGATGGAGTGCCTGGCACACTAAGCACTCTAAGTAGCTGTATAATGAAGGAAGGAAATTAATCTTCCTAGGTGGTACGAGAAAAAATGCGAGGAAGCAGAGATTTGAATGCACTGAAAGTGAGAATTTACAGAAACCTGGGCCTGGCCTGGAATAGCTAATAGCAAGTGATTAGGGCCCAGAAGAGGGATGCAGAGCAACTTGTTGGGAAAGCTGATCTCTATCAGCAGAAAGGCAGCTGGATGGTAAACTCTTTGTGGTTAGTGGCTCAAGCTTCTTATTTGGACTCCAGCTTATGGACTTCGTGGGTCAACACTGTTTCTGAAAACTCTTAACTGGACTTAACTGGCCTGTGGTGAGCTCCATTTCAACCAACCAGTCCTGAACGGATAAGCTAAGGACCAGCCAGTTCTTATGAAACATGGTGGCTTTTGCCTTTTTAATCCCACCCTTGCTTTTGGTCTAAGAAACAGTCTTCACAGGTGCTGCTGTCCTTTGTATATGCTTACATAGGAGTAAATCCTTATTTATTTTATTTTATTTTATTTTTGAGACAAAGTCTCGCTCTGTCGCCCAGGCTGGAGTGCAGTGGCACAGTCTCGGCTCACTGCAAGCTCCGCCTCCCGGGTTCACACCATACTCCTGCCTCAGCCTCCCGAGTAGCTGGGACTACGGGTGCCGCCACCATGCCCAGCTCATTTTTGTATTTTTAGTAGAGACAGGGTTTCACCTTGTCAGCCAGGATGGTCTCGATCTCTTGACCTTGTGATCCGCCTGCCTCGGCCTCCCAAAGAGCTGGGATTACAGGCGCAAGCCACTGCGCCCGGCCAATCCTTATTGTTTTAAATGAACTGTCTCTGAGTTGGTTTAACCATTAGTAACCTCTCTGGAGTGTATCAAGTTTTCCCTGCCTTGCCTGGAAGTTAACTCTTCTTAACACTTGTGTTATTGTCAGAGTTTACATGACTTTTTTTTTTTTGAGATGGAGTTTTGCTCTTGTTGCCCAGGCTGGAATGCAATGGTGCAATCTCAGCTCACTGCAACCTCCACCTCCTGGGTTCAAGTGATTCTGCTGCCTCAGCCTCCGAGTAGCTGGGATTATAGGCATATGCCATCACACCCTGCTAATTTTTGTATTTTTAGTAGAGACAGGGTTTCACCATGTTGGCCAGGCTGTTCTCAAACTCCTGACCTCAGGTGATCCACCTGCCTCGGCCTCCCAAAGTGCTGGGATTACAGGCATGAGCCACTGTGCTTTGCCAGAGTTTACTTTTCTTTTATCAAGTAGGAAAGGAAAAAAAGCTAGAAACTAACATCTTGAGGACTAGCACAGAAGGAAGTTTTCTGAGGTCTTTGAGGAAGTTGGAAGGAGGTTTCTCTGGGAGGCAGTTCTTGGGAACAAGGCTCGGGTCTTGATGCCTAGTTCTCTCGATTCCTTAGGCCCTAGAGGGAGTGCATCCTCTGGCTGTAGCAGGATGGTATTGCTATGTTTGGCCTAAATAGTTTGGCATTATCTTTTAATTACTGGGTAGCAGAGTGTTTTAGAACCTCTGGTGAAGGTAGTTTTCTTCACCAGCCACGTTGCCTGGATTGAGGCTAAGTGTAAATACCCAGTTAATAGCAGTGAATAGGAATAAATTGTATAGCAATAGAAGGCTAAGAAATAGTCCTTGGTTTTCTGGAGGTTGACCTCACCACCATAAGTAAATAACGTTGGTGGCAGAAGGACAGAGCTCCAGTAAGATGTGTCAGTGCAGGAAGCCTGGAAAGACCTTGGCAAGCCTGGAGTTGGGACAGATTGGAGTGTCTGCCTGCTCAGAAGTGTGAGCCACATGGAACACATCACACCTGTGCGACACAATCTGTCCTAGCTGCCCACTGTTTCCAAAACAGTGATTTTTCTGGTTTAGGTGAATTATACATTTAATACGTTGACGTGTGGCTACTGATGGTATAAAAGCAATACTGAACATTTGGTCTTAGATTTAATTAACCTCTTAGGGATGGGAGTAGCAAGCTTAGTTGCTTATGCTTTTAAGAGGAGCAAGCATGCACCCTTCCTCTGATGTCTTGGGGCTTTTGGACATTTTCCCCAGGACTCTGAGAAATCCTTTATGAATTGAGTTTTTATTAGTCACCTGTTGTACATTAGGACATCTCATGCTTCTGCTTAGCTCTTGCTGATTAGAAAGAACTTTGCAGTGTCTAGCACATAGTAGGCCCTTGGATAGTATTTTTAGAATTATTATTTCCCATAGATTGGATGTAATCATTTTAGGATGCTCCATTTCCAGTTCTTATCATTCTTTCCCTTTGAATTTACATTGATCTGATGGGTATGAATTATAAATCAGTTCATATTCTTTGGCATAATGCCAAGAGTATTTATTTTAAAATGTTAATTTCCCATTTTTTTTCTATTTTCCCATGCTTGTTTTATCAACTTTGTTCATGTTGCTTGATTCTCCTTGGCATAATTTTTGCCATTTTGAAGATATTTTTCTGAAGCTTCTAAGTATGTTGTTGGCAGGGGTGGTCTGGTGAGTGATGAGAGGTAGGAGGGTGATGGGGTGGTTCTAGGGAATATGCTATGAGTTTCTGAAATAGGGTCTCAGACAGCTTCTCATTTCCCTAATTGAGTCCCAAAGCCTTAAGTCTTGTAAATAAGTCTGTGAAAATAATTAATTGGGCAAATTGGAATATCTTTTTCACAGAGAGATTAATTTATATGCCTCCCACTACTTTTTGATGTGTCGGTTTCTCCACTCAACAGTTTGCTGTTAGGAAAACCCAGACCACTGGTAGTGTTAATCCTTGTTAGCAACAGAGGAGGAGACGGGGAGTGAAGGCAAGGGTGATACTGTCAAGCCAGGGGAAGTTCCAGATTATCATTGATTTTCTATACCCTGTGGTCACATTCAATTGAGTAATTGCAAGTTAGTTTGGGGCACTATAAGATGAAATTAATGTTAATTTTGACAGCTGGATAGTATAATAAGAATTTCTCTTTTATGTTTTCTATTAAACTCTTGAATTTTAATCTGTGTGTATTTTTGTCTATCCTCATTTAGGATTATAACTGGGTAACTTACTTTTTTTGTAAATGCTTCAGTTAAAAGTAAGGAGGGATTGGTACAGATTAAGGATAAAAATGCTGCTGCTCGTGTTAGTTCTATCCTCTTATCTGAAATTTGGCCAATCTTCATAGCTTTGAATTCGGTTTATTACAGAGGCTGGGAATAGCCACAAATGAGTATAATTGGGCTTTGATTTCACTTTAATTGATTGATTAATTCCTTGGAGTCCTGTTACTATTTCAGCTCACTCTGATACGTGGATGGTGGTACTGGATCCTATGAAGCCTGGAGGACCTTTCGAAGTGATGGCACAACAGACTTTGGAGAAAATAAACTTCACCCTGAGAGTTCATGACGTCCTGTTTGGAGATGTCTGGCTCTGTAGTGGGCAGAGTAACATGCAGATGACTGTGTTACAGGTAATTTGCAGAGTCTCAGCAATAATACACAGTGTTGGTGATGAAGAAGGAAAAGAAGGAGGAATAAGGGGGCAACAAGGAGAAGCAGGGCTGTTTCTATTTAGTGAGTACCATGAGCCAAGATATGTTCTAAATGCTTTGAATGAATTCATTAATTTGACTTAACAATCTTAAGAGATAAGCTATTGATTAAATTGGTAGTTATTGATTGGTGCTAATGTATTCTATATAGGTTAAGAACTTAGAAGGAGTATTGTTTTCTCTAGCACTTTCTCCAAAACTGAGTTTCTTCTCAAGTTGATTTTTATTTTCTTGCTTTTTTTTTTTTTTCTTTTTTGAGACGGAGTTTCTCTCTTGTTGCCCAGGCTGGGGTGCAATGGTGCAATCTCAGCTCACTGCAACCTCCACCTCCCGGGTTCAAGCGATTCTCCTGCCTCAGCCTCCCAAGTAGCTGGGATTACAGGCATCTGCCACTATGCCTGGCTAATTTTTGTATTTTTAGTACAGACGGGGTTTCGCCATGTTGGCCAGGTTTGTCTCGAACTCCTGACCTCAGATGATGCACCCGCCTTGGCCTCCCAAAGTGCTGGGATTACAGGCCTGAGCTACTGAGCCCGGCCTGTTTTCTTGCCTTTTAATCATTCCTTTGAGAAATATTAAATTTGAGATGTAAACCTGTATAGAACTAGACCGTTAACTCAATTCATCTCTTTTTGAAAAATTTATGAAATACAATATGTTTGTATACTCTATGATTTATTGTTTTGCTTCTGTTTCTTAGTTTTTTCTATTTTTTTCTTTTTGTAGTCTTCTACTAAATAATGCTACTAAAATGATCTTACTCTGAACATATCTACTTCATTTCATCATTAGTTTTCTGATTTAGAATTTAAATTCTTGCATTGAAGTCTTCCTTATCAACATTTTATTTACTCTTACATTCTGTCTTATTTATATATACGGAAGCCCCCCCCCCCCCTTTTTTTTTTTTAAAGAGATAAGGTCCTTCTCTGTCACCCAGGCTGAAGTGCAGTGGTATGATCATAGCTCACTGCAGCCTAGAACTCCTGGGCTCAAGGGATCCTCCTGCCTCAGCCTCCTGGGTAGCTGGGATTGCAGGTGTGAGCCACCATATCCAGCTGATTTTTTATTTTTTATAGAGATAGGGTCTTGCTATGTTACCCATGCTGGGCTTTTTGAATTAAAATGTTTATTAAACTGAACTTTGGACTCTTTTAGCATAAGAGAGTAGAAGCAGAATCAAAGTTTTATTTCTTGATAGAAAGGATGGTTTTGTGTAGAAGCAGAATTGCTGTTAACTCATTAAGGAAAACAGTATTTTTCTTAATGCTGTAATTGCAGTTCCCTGTTTGCACAGAAAGGCATGGACCAGATCTGTTTGTATCTATATAGTCGCTTTCTCAACAGCAGTCTATGCCAGGGGATTCCATCCCATTTTCTGTCAAGCTAAATTAGATTTTGATTGTTAAGAGTAAACATATTTTCTCTGCCTAGAATTTACCCCTGAGCATCTTCTGTATAAAGCTAGGTCTCTAAGCTCTGAGATATAGGGGAACAGAAAAAAATTCTGTCTGAAACATCCAAGTGTTAATATTTATTTTTTATTTTTGTTTAAATCATGCACTTAGTTTGCAAGATAACATTTTAGATGCTGACAGTACCAAAAGCCAAGTTTCTAGTCTCTTAACAGTCTATGGAACCTTGTTTTTTGATTAAAAGAATGTTCTACATGGCTTTCTGTTTATTCCTTTTGCTCCTTTCCTCCTACAAACCCCCAACACACACACATACATCACACACACACACACACATACACACACGAGTCTTTCTCCTTCCCTCCTTCCATGTGACTTCTCTGAGGAGGTAAGAGTTCCACTATAACCTACCACTCTTCACATTCAAATCAAGGAAATGGCAGATTGTGTGCCCATCTTGTTGTTAGGGTAAAGTGGAATTTTAAAATTGAGTGTTATTTATAACGCTGAGTGAGATGTTTATAAATGGAGAAGAGTCTAAATGTTCATCTGTCGCCTCCTAAGTCAGGGTAGGTCTTAAGATTTGGATATTTCTAGTTATGCTCAGAAAAAGATGGCCAATATCCATCAGGAAACCCATTTTTCAATATCTCAGAACTCCCCACATTCCTACTTTACAAATAGAGAAATTAAGATCCAGAAGAGAAGGGCTGGTACCACATTCCAACAAAAGATTCACAGGACTTATGAGGCTGGCTTTTTTTTTTTTAATAGTTATCTCCTCAATTTTAGAACTGCTACCATAGTAGAAGGTAAAGTAACTTAGAGCATTTCCAAATTCTTTTAAGTAAATAAAGTTTCTGTCCTTCTGTGTGTGTGTGTGTGTGTGTGCACAGACACACACTCACACGCATGCTTTGCTCCCCTATGCAGACCCCATGCCAAGATTCTCTGAGGAAATAGATTCTTGACGTGTCTTCATTAATTCAAGAATGTGGTATAAAGGTTACAAAATGAACACCAGTGAGCAGCTGCTTTGATGGTGAACGGTCCAGTCCCTAGAGAGGCAGCGGTGCTCTCTCCCAGCGTCTGTGGTGTTAATGACTTCAAATACCTTGGTATTCATTTACATCCTCATTTAAATACTTGGTAAAAAAATAATAACACTGCAGTGTTTGATGAGATGAAATCTGATCTCAGCAGATGGAGTAAGGTTTCCCCTTTCATCAGCAGGGAAACCAAATGTCATTTAAATGAAAATCTTCCTGCAATCTCTTTATTCCTAAGTTTGCTGCACATATCCCCGAGGAAATGCTTTCATCAAAAAGGCCTAGTTATTGGGGAAGGATACCAATTTCTGAAGTAATTGTCATTATGTTGTCAGGTACAGAAGGAATGGTCCCCACCCCCATTTTTGCTGACACTCTCTGTGGCTTTCAAGTTTGGGCTTGAAATTACACACAAATGTGAATTTGAAAATGGAAGTTTTCCAGTCAATGTTTTGGATCCACTTCCGTGTGCTGGTATCAATATAGGAGAATGCCAACCATTCTGACTCTATTGGCCTCACAGTACTCTACAGTGTTAGCAACGGGTCTAAAAGACAAGTAGCATGTTCTCTCATACTGCCTCCCAAGCTGGCGTCTCACTGTGATGAAGCACTTGAGTTCCCAGTCAGTGCGGAAGCTAGTGTGGGTGGAGAGAATGAAAGCAGTTTCATCCACTGTTTCCATGGAAGCAACATAGGATCCTGAGTGCTTAGTGCAGAACTGAATTCCAAAGGAGGCGGCTTTTTACAGGTACTTGCTGCTGAAAAATAATTTCCCTGCCAGATACACTGTGAGTGCATTAGCCTGTTCTTACTCCTTCGTGTTTACTTTACATTAACCTGCCAGGTATGATCCTGAACAAACAGGTCTGGATTTCCTGTGGAATTTTCTTGAGACCATGTGTAACCTGTCCTGAGAATGGGAAGACCAGTCAGTAATCCTGACAGCCTAGAGCTGCCACCACCAAGGGAGCATTTCAGGTTGTGGCTCCCACTGTGATCAAAAGAGCTATCTCATTTCCATCTGGCCATCTTATTGGGCACAGCCGGCTCAGTGGCAAGTCCAGAGAGATTCAAGGGGCAGCATCTTTCAGAGTTTCTCTTACGCTGTGGCTGGAGGGCCAGCTGTATTCTCTGTGGTGGGTGGGTGGGGGTGGAAAGCGAGCCAGCTGCACACTCTGTGACCAGCGGCCAATGGAACGTACCCGGCCTCCTGTGCCTCTCACTGCTGTGGCAGCCCCGACTCAGCTGGAGCGCCTGCTCCCTGAGGCAAGCGGTAACTGGGCTTCCTGATGCTCCCGTTGGCCCTTTGTTTTGGGAGAAGCTGGGCCAGTCCAGGGGGATAGAAAGGACTCAAGAAGAAATACACAAATAAAAAAAAACAAAAACAAAATATTTCTGATATATTTGTTTTAAAATAAAAAAATAACTAAAAAGTCAGGATGAGAGGAAATAGCACTTGTGCATAAGTTCATAGAGGAATGATGCTTTACTGGACTAACAAAGAAGGAACTGAGTGTAGCATACACATTCTTTTCCAGAAAACCCTAAGCCACTCCTCTCATACTCCTGACAATTGATGAGGTTTAATACAGTGATTTGGGAAAATATGATTTATCTTTGGAGGGACCCTCTTCTTTAATTCCTTGGGACTGTTCTGAGCTGTTACCCTGAACACCACCTTTCTAGTCTCCATGCCTCTCTTGCTTTTCTTTGGTGATTTACCAAGACCAAGATGAGGATACTGTCAGCCTGTGGTATCCACCAGTTCCACATGTGCAGATTCAACCAGCCATGGATATAAAATATTTGAAAAATAAAAATTAAAAGTGGCAATACAACAATAAATAATACACATTGAAAAAACAATACATACGGGTTGAGTATCCTTTTTCTGAAGTTGCTTGAGATTGGAAGTGTTTCAGATTTTGGATTTTTTTTTGGATTTTGCAATATTTGCATAGACATAATGAGATATCTTGGGGACGGGACCCGAGTCTAAACCTGAAATTCATTTATGTTTCCTATATACCTTATGCACATAGCCTGAAGGTAATTTTGTACAATATTTTTAAATAATTTTGTGCATGAAACAAAATTTGTCTGAAGTATTTATGTGTGGAATTTTCCACTTGTTGACATCATGTTGGCACACCAAAAATTTTGGATTTGGGGGCATTTTGGATTTTGGATTTTCAGATTAGGGTTGCTTAACATATATAATAAATATTTACATAGCATTTACATTGCATTAGGTATAAGTAATATAGAGATACAGGAGGATGTTTGTAGGCTATAAACAAATATGCCATTTTGTATAAGGGACTTGAACATCTTCAGATTTTGATGTGCTGGGGTTTGGTGTGGGGGGGTGTGGTTCCTGGAACCAATGCCCTGTGGACATGAAGGATAACTGTATATGCATTTTGAGACTTATTCCAGTATGTTTCAGTACTTCAACTATGTTTCAGTAGTTCAACAGTCATGTCTGAGCTGTGTTTCTTTTAAGCATGCTTCTCTTGTGTGGTATGGATTAGACAAATCTACCTCCCCACGGCCTTTTTGGTTCCACATAATATCCTAAGCACCATTTTAAAAAGAAGTTAATTGGCTGGGTGCGGTGGCTCACACCTGTAATCCCAGCACTCTGGGAGGCCAAGGCAGGCGGATCACGAGGTCTGGAGATTGAGACCATCCGGGCTAACACGGTGAAACCCCGTCTCTACTAAAAATATAAAAAATTAGCTGGGCATGGTGGTGGGCGCCTGTAGTTCCAGCTACTCGGGAGGCTGAGGCAGGAGAATGGTGTGAACCTGGGAGGCGGAGCTTGCAGTGAGCTGAGATTGGCCACTACACTCCAGCCTGGGCGAGAGAGCAAGACTGTCTCACACACAAAAAAAAAAAAAAAAGAAGAAGTTAATTGGTCTGGTTTTGTGTTATGAGATACTTTTTCAGAGTAGAAATATTTCAGTTTCAAGGTATCAGAGTGTTGTAAGTGCTGGGCAATATTCTTTAGCCTCAGCTACTTCACGGCTCCTCTTGTCTAACATAGACCTGCTCCTTAAGATCACAGATTTCATTATATTTCTACCCTCTTTGGGAACATGATTCATCCTGGTCTCTTTTGGTAAAAGTGGATCAAGGTGATTCAGTGCAGCCCATTGGTTTTGGTTATTAATTTGATCTCAGTATATTGAAAGCTCAGGAGCTCAGAGGACTGATGTTTACTAAGAGGTGTCAGGCTAGTTCACCACCTGCTAGGTTAAATGACGTTTCAATTTCTTTTCCAGATATTTAATGCTACAAGGGAGTTGTCTAACACTGCGGCATATCAGTCTGTCCGCATCCTCTCTGTCTCTCCCATTCAAGCAGAGCAGGAGCTGGAGGACCTTGTTGCGGTTGACTTGCAGTGGTCTAAGCCCACCTCAGGTATGTGACGGCTTGAACGTGCTGTCTCTTATATAATGGGTTAGCGCCCTAAGTGGAATCTGTAAGACTGAATTTGGTTCTTATGTGTCTATTTATTATTACTCATGCCTTTTATTCCTTTCTTATTGACTCTTCATCCTTCCTGATGGTGACTATTTCAGGTTTCTTCCCAAGACTACCAACAAATCTTCCCTCTTGCTGTGGGGAAATGAGTCTTCCTTCAACATCTTCAGTGAAAATATCAAGGCCCTTCGGCATGGGCTCCGCCAGCATCTCTCGCCGATGCCTTCACTCCAAATCCTCTCTTCTTTCTTCCCTTGTCTCTGTGTCTGTAGACAACTGGTCTCTTTTCAGGGCTAACTCTGATTTGGGTTCTCCTTTCTCCAGAGCCTTCTTTAATCCCTTAGGCACTGTGGTTTTCCCCTCAGTCCATTCAGCATGAGCTCTCCATTTCTTTTTTTTCTTTTTCTTTTTTTTGAGACGGAGTCTCAGTCTGTCGCTCAGGCTGGAATGCAGTGGTGTGATCTTGGCTCACCTGCAACCTCCGCCTCCTGGGTTCAAGTGATTCCCCTGCCTCAGCCTCCCGAGTAGCTGGGACTATAGGCACCAGCCACCACGCTCAGCTAATTTTTGTATTTGTAGTAGAGATGGGGTTTCACCATATTGGCCAGGCTGGTCTCGAACTCCTGACCTCATGATCCGCCCACCTCGGCCTCCCAAAGTGCTGGGATTACAGGCGTGAGCCACTGCACCCGGCCACTCTCCATTTCATGACTGCTTTGTGTCAGGATCTGTGCCAGGCCCCAGGGATACAGCAGTGACCAAACGGACACACAGTCCCTGCTCTCTGAGCTTAGCCTTTCTTCTATTCTCACAAAATAAAACAAAACAAAACAACAGTAAACATCGCAAACACCCTTCACAGATGCTTCATCTTTCTCCTTTGCTTTGTTAAACCTTTCTAGAACGTCTTCTGTTTTCATTCTTTTCACTGCCTTTCCCTGTGTTCACTCTTCAGCCCTTTGTCACCTGGCTTCTGCTTCCACCTCAACAATTTGTTCACCTTGATGTTACTATCATTCTTCTAATGATAAACCTAGAGACCTTTGCCGCATTCAGCACTGCGGACCACCCCCTTTAGAAACTGCATGTCCCTCCTTGCTTGCCTGGTACTTTCTTTTCCTACTTCTCCTCCTCTGTCTTCTCTGTCCCTTTTTCTTTGCTTCTTCATTCCCTTCCCTCAGAGGTGGTCCCTGTGTTCCCCCTGGACTTTTTCTTTTTCTCCTGTGCATGCTTTCCTTGGTGCTCAGATGCTCCTACATTTATAAGTAGTAATTCACTTAACAAATATTTGAGTGTCTACTATGTGCTCGACACTGTTCTAAGTGCTGGGGATATTGTAGTGAGTAAAACAGGCAAGAATACCTGACCTCATGGAGCTTACAGTCTAGTGTAAGGGAACTCTGAAAGTGAATCATAAAATAAGCAAATTATAGACAAAGTATCTGATGCTATCCAGTCTTACACTATCCGAACTCTCCCTATAAAAGAGCTCAGGAACTGAATGGATTCAGGTAAATTTTTGGATGAATCCTTTGCTCTATGAACTCTTACTACATGGTATCCAAAACTCAGGACTCAATCAAATTTGGATAATGTATTATGCCTTGTTATCTGAACTTGTTTTCACTTTGTGAAATCAGAAACTGAATGAATAAATGTGGATATCACAGGATAGGTTAATGGGTGACGTGCTAATGAGACAAAAACAAATAAATATATCAGGGAAGGGAGGCAATAGGAAGTGTTCGTGCTGGGATGGGGAAAGGCAACATTTCAGTAGCAGCCTGAAAGAGGCGAGGCAATTCAGATACCTAGGAAGGGCACAGAGGATCCATCTCTCCCACGTTGAGAATCTCTCCTGCCTGCTGTGCTCTTCCCCCTTTTTTTTTTTTTTTTTTTTGACCGAGTCTCACTCTGTTACCCAGGCTAGAGTGCAGTGATGTGATCTTGGCTCACTGCAACCTCCACCTCCCAGCTTCAAGTGATTCTTCTGCCTCAGCCTCCCGAGTAGCTGGGATTACAGGTGTGCCCCACCACGCCCAGCTAATATTTGTATTTTAGTAGAGACGGGGTTTCACTATGTTGGCCAGGCTGGTCTGGGACTCCTGGCCTCAAGTGATCCATGATCTGCCTGCCTCACACTCCCAAAGTGCTGGGATTACAGGCGTGAGCCACCGCGCCCGGTCTCCTGCCTCTTCTGTCATCACATCACTGCTGCTGGGAAAGGTTTTCTGATTTTAAGGACTCTTGTAATTAGATTGGACGCACCTAGATGAGCCAGGACACTCTCTCCATCTCAAGGTCCCTAACCTTAATCACATCTACAAAGTGCCTTTCGCCATGCAAGGTAACACAGCCACAGGTTCCAGGGATGAGTGTGTCGACGTCTTTGGGGTCTGTTATTTTGCCTACACCCCACATTCTCATTCTCAAGCATTTTCAAGTGGGTTTCCATTTTCTTTACTCCAAGATGTGGCTCTAACCTCCCCTCCAGTCTTATCTTCCACTGTTCTCTTTTATAATCTCTGCTCCAGCCAAATACTCTCAGAATATTTCCTATTCTGTGTGCCTTTTCACGTATTTTTTCTTCTGCCTTGAGTGCCAGCTCTGTCTGTTAAACTCCTGTTGCTGGTTTAAGGCTTCTCCAGCTCTCTTCTTCCCTCCTGTTTACCACTCCCCTCTACCTACTGTCAGTGAAACCACAGCCACCCTCAATCAGTCAGCAAACACTGACTCTCCATCATGTCCTGGACGCTGGGGATACAGACGTGAATCAGGTGAAGTCTCTGCTAATAGTGTAGTGAGCTAAGGGAAACACTGAACAGATGGTTATTGCAAGGTCTAGTGATGGAGCGATGCACAGAGTGTCGTGGAAGCACGGTGCGGGGCGGGGAGGTCAGTGTTTATTAGGCCTTTTAGGATCTGCCTCTCATTTGATATTCTTTCTTTGTGTTAAAACTCCTTAATACTTGTTTGTACTTACCATCTTTTGCCATATATTTTATTCAACTAAATACTTGTCTTACTCTTTTTTTTTTTTTTTTGAGACGGAGTCTTGCTCTGTCGCCCAGGCTGGAGTGCAGTGGCACGATCTCAGCTCACTGCAACCTCCGCCTCCCAGGTTCAAGCGATTCTTCTGCCTCAGCCTCCTAGGCAGCTGGGATTAAAGGTGTGCGCCACCACACCCAGCTAATTTTTTTGTATTTTTAGTAGAGATGGGGTTTCACCACGTTGGTCAGGCTGGTCTCGAACTCCTGACCTCATGATCTGCCTGCTTCAGCCTCCCAAAGTGCTGGGATTACAGGCATGAGCCACCATGCCCAGCCCTACTTGCCTTATTCTATCAACTAATAGACCTATGAGGAGAGGTTCCATGTGTCTCTATATTGCTTTCATCACTGTCTCCCATCCATCTAGTAGTTCCTGATACATGGTAGGTGCTCTGTCCATTTAATTATTTTGGAATTGATTTGAATCCTCACTATTGCACTGTCTACTTTTGGAGTGCCAGTGACTTAGCCATAGTCAGTCTTTAATAAACCTTGGGCTGAACTGATCCCATCCTTGTGTGTACATGCATGCCCCCCTCTTCACCAGCTTTCTTCTAACATGAAATTGCTCACTCTTGCCTCTGTTGGTTACTGGGCAGTGTAATTGGATGAATGAATTAGACTGTGCTGAGAATTTAAACACTAGTTTTGGCTTCTGTGGCTTTCCCTTTGGGCCGAATTTCCCATCACTTATCTGTCCATGTTTTCTTTACCATAGCTATTTATTTTTATTTTTTGACTTTTATTTTATTTATTATTTATTTTTTTGAGACAGAGTTTTGCTCTTGTTGCCCAGGCTGGTGTGCAATGGCACGATCTCAGCTCACTGCAACCTATGCCTCCCAGGTTCAAGCGATTCTCCTGCCTCAGCCTCCCGAGTAGCTGGGATTACAGGTGCCCACCACCACGCCCAGCTAATATTTGTATTTTGGGTAGAGACGGGGTTTCATCATATTGGCCAGGCTGGTCTCGAACTCCTGACCTCAGATGATCCACCTGCCTCATTCTCTCAAAGTGCTGGGATTATAGGTGTGAGCCACTGCGCCCAGCCTCTTTAGCATAGCTATAAAATTGGGTATAAAGCCACCAGAAAAAAGAAGAAATACACATTTCTTCTTAAGTTGCCCCCTCCTTGCTTTTTCCCTTCCACAGAGCTAAGTGGGAATGAGTGGCTGAGTAAGAGGGGAGACACAGAAGAGAGTAGCATGGGGACATGATGGCCCTCCCACCTCTCACCTATTTGAGGGAGAGCATTGATTATCCGAGAGTCTGCAGATCCTGTAAGTGATGGGAAGCATGGGGAAGCCTATTGCCTAGCCAGAGTTTTAACTTCCATGTTATGTAAGTGAATTATTTATAATCAGACTGAGAGCAAAATCGCTATCATATCTGCCTCTCTCCCAGGCAGAGAGAGCTATTTCCTTGTTATGAGAACAAGCATTTTGAGTAACTGAAAAAACATGAAGACAGATAAAAGGAAACTATCACTAAGGTTACAGTTTTCTCCCTTGGAAAAGATTCTCCTTAGGGAAGGTTTGGAAGAGATAATAGTGTTCAGACCAGCATATTGGTCTTGATGCTGTATCTTCTCTGTGCCTCTCAATCTTATCCTACTTTTGAAAGTCTTAGAAAACAACAGAAGAATGACCTCTGCCCACCCTTCTCACCTCGACCCACCTAGCAGCTGCAGTTTGTATCCATCAACCTTTCTCTGGCTCTTTTTCTTTAACCATTTCTCTGAACAGAAAACTTAGGCCATGGATATTTCAAGTACATGTCAGCAGTGTGCTGGCTCTTTGGACGTCACCTTTATGACACTCTGCAGTATCCCATCGGGCTGATCGCCTCCAGCTGGGGCGGGACACCCATTGAAGCCTGGTCATCTGGACGGTCACTGAAAGCCTGTGGGGTCCCTAAACAAGGGTAAGACAGCATTCTCCAGTCTGAGAAAGAGCCTACCAGGGAATTATGCAAGAGAGAGGGTCATCGTCCTCTGTGGGGAGTTAAGTATATGGTGAATGTCCCAATATGTGTTGAATGTATGTAATTTATTCATGTAGAGGGAAAGCATTATTTTCACTGTCACTGCCACCACAATCGTTTGAGAACATGTAAAAAAAAAGTATCTTTTCCCCCAGTAATAGTAATAGCTAGTGGTTACTGAAAGCTTTTTATATGCCAGACACTGTGCTAAGCACTTTATATATATAAATTATGAATATATTGAATATATATTATTATATATTAATATATTGAAGTGTAGATATTAAAGACCATGGGTGAAGACACTACATTTCAGAGAGACTTAGTAACTTGCTCATGAGCATGACTAGTAAGTGGCAAGTCTGGCTTCAGTGTCTGTGCACCTAACCATTGTGCTGTATTGCCTAGAAGAATAAACAATCCAACAGGAAGAACAAATGTTATAAACATGTACTCAAAGAAATGTATCAGTATACTGATTATGAACACCTGCTTAGGAAAGGCTGGATCAGGAAGAATACTTGGGGAGGGAAAGGGCTAGTGAATACAAATCCCGATACTAACATCAATGTAGAGATGAGCAGTATGTGACTTGCTTTCATGGACCATGTCTCATTCACGCTGGGAAGCCCTGTGGGAGGAGGATGGGCTTGAGCTCTGGGTATAGTTTGGGTAAAAGCTTGCCTGTGGGGGAGTGAAGATATTCAACTTTGGAACAGGAAGAATGGCCTGCAGTAGAGTAGGAGTGAGCGTTAGACCAGATCTCTGGGGGTGGAAGGGATAATCCCGAGGGTGTGGGCAAGTGGGCTTCTCACACGCAGCAGCTACAGGATAAATTCATATAAATATTCTACAGAGAAATTTGAGAACGTGTTCAGAGCCTTAAAAAAGATGCCCTTTGACACAGCAGTTTCATTTCTGGGAATTTATCTTATGGATATAGTTAAGCATGTATGCAATGACTTAGCTATAAGGAAGATGATCTTGGCATTCCATATAAAAGCAAAAAGTTTAAAACAACCTAAATGTCTGTGCATTAAATAAAGGTTTATTTAATAAAAGTTAGGTAAATTTATTGGCCCCCCCCCACAATGTGAGAAACTCAACAATAAAGCACTCCTTCCCTGTGGCTTTAATTACCTTAGAAATTACCTTTAATTACCATAGAAAGCTGACCGATACACTTATTTTGGGAATAACCTGGAGGTGAAATTCAGAGAATATTCATATGTTTTCAAGAAAAAGAGTTTCGATTCAATTTTAATTCTGTGTTGCTTTCATCAGAAGTTTACCACAAGTGAAAGTGGATAGATGACCAATTAGGGACCCTTATGTGATCAATCACTGGCTCTCTGGTGACACTTGTGCATCATATGATTTCAGGTCCATTCCATACGATTCTGTAACTGGTCCCAGTAAGCACTCTGTTCTCTGGAATGCCATGATCCATCCACTGTGCAATATGACTCTGAAAGGGGTAGTATGGTACCAGGGTAAGTGTTCAGTGTACTCTTTCTCCATTGTATCAGATAGCGTTTGCTGTATAACACAGCACCCTAGAACGTAGTGGCTTAAAGCAACAATAACTTTATAATTTTATTCAGCTCACTGTTCTGTGGGTGAGCAGGGTAGTTTTTATGTCTGGGCTGCTTCAGCTAATTCCTGCTGGGACCTCTTATGTGTCTTTGGCCACCTGGCAGATTGTCTGGTGGCTGGATGACCTAGGATGGTCTCTCCCTAGATGTATTGTCTGGGGGCTGTTGCAACATGGTTCTGAGGTGACCTCTTATCCTTCAGCAAGCCAGTATAGACTCATTTATTATTTATATAATAGTCTCAGGATTCCAGGGTCATCAGGAGAGGACAGAGCCCAAACCTGAAGTACTTTTCAAGCCTCTGTTCGTACCACATTTGCTGATGCCCCACTGGCTGGAAAAAGACCAGTCCAGAGAGACCGTGGGAAGACCACTACCTCAGGGCATGGATGGAGGGAGGAGAGTAATGTGTGGTCATTTTTGCAGTCTACTCCAAACTCCCTTTACAATTTGGACTGTTTTTAGGGGAGTCCAATATAAATTATAACACGGATCTGTACAATTGCACATTCCCTGCACTCATCGAAGACTGGCGTGAAACCTTCCACCGTGGTTCCCAGGGGCAGACGGAGCGTTTCTTCCCATTTGGACTTGTCCAGGTACGATGTGGGTAAAGGCTTCTCTGTTCATGTCAACACCTGTTCCTGTGTTGAGAGGAAGAGGTTTATGGGCATTGGTGTGGGGATGTGCTATTTGGATCTCTTTCCTGGATTTCATCTTCCTTTTTTGTCCTCATAATGTGCTGGTCAAGAACTGAATGTAAGGCTTACTTCATCTCAGTTCACTGATAGGACAATTAAATCTTCAAAAAAAGTTGATAAGTAACTAATATTTCTTATTTAAAAAGCATTACAGTTTCATTGAGGAAATATTAAAAAGATAAGCAAAAAAGAAGCTAAAAAAGTTGATAATTTTCCAATCCAAAAATAAGCAGCTGTCTTCTGCTCATTTATTTTTGAAATAGATCTGTACTATATCTTGCATTTTTCTCTAAAAGTAATATTTCAATTAGAGATAAGTAGTAAACGATTTTTCATGTCAATAAATATTAATCTTCAATGCAGTTTGTAATGATTGTAGAGCCTGAAATATGGTTACATTGTAGTTTATTTAACTAGCTGTCTATAGATTGGGCATTTCGGTTGTTTTAAACGTTTTGCTTTAATAAGCTTTGGCATGTTTATTTTCCTTGTTGCTAAATCACTGCATATATGCTTGATTATTTCCCTAAGGTAAATTCCCAGAAATGAAATTTCTGGTTCAAAAGGTACACCTTTGTAAGGCTTTGAACATGTCCCCAGATTTCTCTGAAGAAATTCATGAATTTGTATAAATTTATGCTCTTAACAACTGTCTGTGAGAATGTCCATTTCCCCACCCCCTCCCCAACTTGGTGTTATCCCTTCCACTCCCTGGAATCCACCGTGCTCTCTCACTCCCTGGCCATTGCACTTGCTCCTTGCCTTCCATACTTTCCTAGTTAACTTTAATCATCCTTTAGGTCCCAGACAGCCTACATATTAGTTAGGAAGCCTTCTGTGACTATCCAGATTAGTTAGATGCCCCCTTTCTCTCTACTTCCCCTTTTTATTTGCATGAGGTTGCCTACATGACTACATTTTCCTGGGTCACACTTAACATCCCTAGTACGTATGTAGTTGATTGGCACTCGTTAAATAGTGGCTTAACATGTGAATGAAAAAAGATAGCAAGAGAAACCATACATTTAATTAGAGATAACTAGTCAGAAAGATTCTGCTTTCAGCCTTGCATAAAAAGAATAAACATATTTGACCAAGTTCATAATTGCCTAGCCTCCACATGTTCATATGAACTACACTTTTTAGCACGGTGGTAGTGCTGGTTTTTCTAGAACATAAGAAATCAAACAAGTAAGGTGATATAAAAACAATGCCCATCTTAAAACATGACAACAGAGTAGGCTTTCCTGTGTAAATGGGACATCCATGGTCCCAGACACCACCTCCGCACGCCCCACAGATGACTTCTCACCATCCTCCCCACTCCCCTACCTTGTCCTTTTCACTGTACCTTCTTTTGAATATTTGTATAGACCTTCTCACTTAAAATGCCTTTATGATTATTTTCTTTCTTCTTTCCTGCATTTGTTCTGACTTTGAAATAAGATTATTCTGCTCATTATTTTCAAAGTAGCAGCTCCTGTCACCAGTTCTGCATCCCTGTTGGTGGAAACTACACTTGGGCTTTGGAAGTACTTTTTTCTCCCTTGGCCTGTGCACATGGTGATTTGAGTATGACTTTAGCCAACTCAAACCAAAAGTATGTGTTGAATGCTTATTATATGCTGTGAATCTTGTGAGGTGCTAGAAATATAGCAATCAGGCCGGGCTTGGTGGCTCACGCTTGTAATCCCAGCACTCTGGGAGGCCGAGGTGGGCGGATCACCTGAGGTCGGGAGTTCGAGACCAGCCTGACCAACATGGAGAAGCCCCGTCTCTACTAAAAATACAAAATTAGTCGGGTGTGGTGGCGCATCCCTGTAATCCCAGCTACTCTGGAGGCTGAGGCAGGAGAATCGCTTGAACCCAGGAGGCGTAGATTGTGGTGAGCATTGCACTCAGCCTGGGCAATAAGAGCGAAACTCCGTCTCAAAAAAAAAAAAGAAATATAGCAATCAGAAAGACCTGATTCTTGTACTTATGCCTTACAGTTTAGTGAAAGTCCCTTAACCTCCAGGTTTTAACTTTATTATCACCAACAAAAACATGCTGGTTACTAGTGGAAGTCTGGAAATATAAACATATCCCTTCAAAGGGAAATACCCAGCATGACAGCGTCATGGTTCAGACTGAGTCTGAGCTAGACTAAGTGCATTCAGATGCTAGCTGTGACACCTCCTGAGCCACGTGATTTCGAACACGATACTGAACTCTTTGTTATTTTAAATATTGAATGAGTTCATCCATGGAAAGCCGGGAACATACCAGATAATGTTAGTGTTGAATATTGTTGATGAGAGAAATCAGAAGATCTGGAGGGACAGTTGGTCTGTAAGGAAAGAGGAACTGGCTTCATAGAAGTGCTAAGTTTGAAATGATGGTTGCAGTGACTAGAGTACAGCTAGAGATGGAGGATGTGAGTTCCACGGAGAGACCAGGGCTGGACACGTGTATCCCAGACTTATTAGCAGAAAGGCCACCTGGAGCCTGAGAGCGAAACAGCAAGAGGCTAGGGGCTGGAGTCCCAAGGAGTGTGGTTTTTAAATAGGGATTTGGAGGAACAGTTGAACAGACCACAAACTGCAGCATGTTATTTGTGAGCGTGGCCAGCTTTATATTCTTTGGCTGGTCCACGCCTTTATTAGCCGCAGTATTTCTACCAGCCACTGTGGGAGACGGATTAGCGCCCCACTGTATCTCAGATTAGGAAAACAGGAATTTCATGTGGGTGTGGAGTACGCCGGTGCCCCCATGTGGCGAGTATATAATAGTGCAGTCAATGAAAAAGTGAATTGCTGCAAGAATTCTCAGCAAACTGCCATTTTGAGAAAATTCCCTTGACTTGAGGGACTGTTATTAGCATTGCTCCCTGTTGAGCTTCAGGCTAGTTTTTTTTTTTTTTTTTTTTTCTCACCACAGACTCTTTCCTGTGGCGTTGTTACTGTGATCTTCATTATGACCCTGGCTGGTGCACATGGTTCCACTTTGTCTTCTGGGTGTGGAAGAAGTAGGGTGACTTAATAGATTTTTTATTCCCATTTTCTAGTCTTCATGAGATTCTACTGTGAGGCTTCAGTGGCACCTTCTATCATTTCCTATGTTAAAGCTGATTTGCCTAAGATAATTTTAATAAGAGAATTGTAAATGGCCTATTGGTTCCATATCATATCCAAGGCTCCTTTCTGTTATTATTGCAACCTCTCCGTGTACTCCTGATGATTTTCTCATCTTTCTGGAGCAACTCAGAGAGCAGAAAATATCCTCGATTCAAAGTTGCATTTGGCCACATTCATAGGGATGATGTCAGGTATTTTCTGGGCTGTGAGTAATAAGGCTGGGTGGAACAGTCTGTGTAAAATGCAGTCCTCTGATGGGGTCAGACATTTTGAAATGGAGTCAAAAAAAAATGTTGTTGCTGGCCCAGACTGCTTCCCAGTTTGTGGTTTGACTTACAGTTAGATCATGGTTTGTAAAAGAGAGATAATAGGTTGATGCCTCTCATTGGCTGGAACTGGAGCTAAGAATAAGATGCTATCTAAATCAAAGGACAGGGTGATGTAAACATCAGAAAAAGAAGGAAGAAATAGCTGGACTGCCTGTGTCATAGTAATAGTAAAGATTTTTTTCTCTGGGAGCCTGTGTGTTTTGCAGGAGTAGGAGTGTATCAACTTTCCGTTTAGATGAAAACAAATCCTGTTAACTCACTCTGCATTCAGAATCTGACCACTTCTCACTACCTTTACTCCTCCTGCGCTAGTCTAAGCCACCATCATCTCTCCCTTGTATTATTGCCTCCTAACTGGTCTTCTTCCTGCTTTTACCTTTTTTTCTCCTCCTGTAGGATATTCTCAATATATCAAAGTGACTCTTTGAAGTGTAAGTCGGGTCGGAAGGCTCCAGTGGGTCCCCGTGTGCTGAGGTCAGCAAGGCCATACATGATGTGCCCCCTGCCCACATTACCCGCCGACCTCACCTTCTAATTCTCTCTGCCTTGCATATGCCACTCCAGCCACACTGGCTGCCTTACTTTTCTTTAAGCACGCTAGGCATACTCCCGTCCTGGGGCCTGCCATTTTCTTTTCCATTCTTCATGGAAAGTTCTTTTCCTGCTGTTTTAGTTTTCTATTGCTGAGTAAGAAATGACTGCATATTTAGCAGCTTAAAACAATACAACACACATTTATTATCTCAGTTTCTATGGGTGAGAAGTCTGGGCGTGCATGGCTTAGCTGGATCTTCTGCTGAGGGTGGAAGTGAAGGTGTCAGACAGAGCTGGAGTCTCATCTGAGGCTTGGAGTTCTCCTCCAAGTTCATGTGGTTGTCGGCAGAATTCACCTCCTTGAAGCTGTAGAACTCATGGCAGCTTACTTCTTGAAGGCCAGCAGGGGAGGGGGCCTGGCTTCTAGACCCTCTTTGAAAGGACTCACCTGATTAGGTCAGGCTCACCATGATACTCTCCCTTTTGATCAATGTGAAGTCAGCTGACTGGGGACGTTACTTGTAACATCTGCAAAATCCCTTCACTTTTGCCATATACAACATAATCACAGGAGTGATATCCCATTACCTTTGCCATAGCCTATTGGTTAGAATCAAATTACGAGTTCCCCCTACCACAAAGAGGAGAGTATTGTATAAGGATGCGGCTCCCTGTGGGTCATCCGCCTAACATACCCAGATATCCTCATAGCTTCTTTGCGCATCTCCTTCTAGTCTTCATTCAACTCTGACACTCTCTCCTCCTTCCCTATTATATTTTTCTCCAGTGCACTTGTCACTTTCTCATAGGATATGTAGTTTACAGATCTATCTTGTTATTCATTCTCTCTTTCCACTAGGGTATAAGAATGGGAAGGGATTCTTGTGTTTTGTTCACTGCTCTATCTCCTAGGCCAGTATTAGTGCATGACACAGAGTAGGTGCTCAGTAAATATTTGTTAAAAGCATGAATAAATACATGAGCTGACTGATAATACATGAGCTGTGGATCCTTCACAGGCTCTTTCTGGAACAATATTATTCCCCAAATATTCTGGTGCTACTTGGATGCCTGAGATGCCACACAGTTAATTCAGATGCCGTGGCTTCCGAATGATGGATTTTACCCTTCCTCTTGTTCTCCATATCCAGTTGGTTGCCTGGTTTTGTCAGTTTTTATTATTTCTCATCATCCCGTTCTACTACTATCTCTGTAGATTAGATCTTTGTTTTTGTGTCTAGAATATTATAATAGCTGCTTAACTAATCTGTCTCTCTGCGTTAAGTCCTTTATTTTGGTTTCTTTTTTTTTTTTTTTTTTTTTTGAGATGGAGTCTTGCCCGGTTGCCCAGGCTGGAGTGCAGTGGCACAATCTTGGCTCACTGCAACCTCCGCCTCCTGGGTTCAAGTGATTCTCCTGCCTCAGCCTCCCGAGTAGCTGGGATTACAGGCATCTGCAACCACTCCCGGCTAATTTTTTGTATTGTTAGTAGAGAAGGGGTTTCATCATTTTGGCCAGGCTGGTCTTGAACTCCTGACCTCAGGTGATCCACCCACCTCGGCCTCCCAAAATGCTGGGATTATAAGCGTGAGCCACCATGCCCGGCCTTATTTTGTTTTTTGCCAGAGCCATTTGTATGATCACTAGAACAATCTTTTGAAATGGTCCTTTGATCATGTCAGTAATTTCAGTGGCTCTGTAATTTCTTAATTGAGGTGAAAGTCATATAACATGCAATTGAGTTCAGTAGCACGTTAGCACATTCACGATGTCGTGCAGCTATCACCTCTACAGAGGTTCTTTATTGTTTAATACAAAAGAATCAACTATACAAACACTTGCCTTGCTATCTTTCCAACTTTGCCTTTCCTTCACAAATCCTCCAGTCCACCTGGATTGCCCCTCTCTCAGAACGACCATTCTCCTCCCCACCTTTGCATCTTACATGCTTCTAACATGTGAAGTGTGAGCAGTACTGCCTGTAGTGACTTCTCATATTTTTGATGCCCATTTGTTTTAATGAATTCTGAGACCACGTTTTCCTATAATAATAATCTTTGCCTGTTCTAAATGTTTAGTACTTGCTGTCTGTGGCACTCATTTAACATTTAATCCATACTATTTTATATGTTTATGAAACATAAACCCATTCAATCCTTATGTTTATTTCTTATGTGTAGGTCTGTCCTCCTCAACAAAGCTGTAAAGTACTTGTACCAGTTAGCTACTGCTGTGTAACAAACTACCTCAAAACCCCCGGCCTAAAATAGCCTTTCTTATATAGGTAGCTCTTGTCTGGGGAGCTGGGGTTTGGGTGATTTGGCTAAGCTGCAGATCTTTGGGCTCTTTCAGACCTCTGTGGGTCAGCAGGGGCGCTCTTGTCCTTCTCCAGGGAGCAGCAGGCTAGCCCAGGCACGTCCTTCTTATGGCGATAGCAGCAGTGCAAATGAGCAAGTGGAGCCATGCAGAGTCACTTAGGCTAGGAAGTGACACACCATACTTTCTGCTTCTGTTGATTGGTCAAAGCAAACCACATGGCTGAGCTTAGAATCAAGGGTTTGGGAAACATACTTGTCCTGTTAACGGGAGGAACTGCAAATCCACATGGCAAGAGGGTGTGGATATAGGAGGGAGTGAAGAATTGGGGTCACTGATGCAATTTAGCACATGCTCAAGGGCAGATTCTTCTCTGCTTGCCTACAGTGCCTAGCCCTGTGTTGTATACAGATGTATCAGTTATCTATTGCTTTGTAACAAGCTACCCCAAAACTTAGGGGCTTAAACCATCAGCCATATTTTTTGCTCATGATTCATTGGGTTGGCCAGGTAGGGCTCACCTGGGATGGCTCATTTCTGCCCTACATGATACCAGCTAGGCTTGCTTATGTGGCTGCAATTTTAACTGGAGGATCTAGAAATCCATATGACTGGCCCTTATCTGTGATTGCTGGAACACTAGAGCCTCTCTTTCTATGATCTTTCAATTTCCAAGGCCCCTCTCACTCCATAATCTCTCCAGCAGGGTAACTGGATGGTGTTTACATGACCAGCTCAGGGTTTCAAGAGAATGAATTCAGAAGGCAAGGCCTCATAAGGCCAAGACTCAGGAGCTGTACAACATCAATTCTCCTGCATTCTATGGGTCAAAGCAAATCCTAGATTCAAAGGGAAGAGAAACAGACCCCGCTGCTTGATGAGAGGTGTGGCAAAGTTGCACTGCAAGAGGGCACATGGGATGAGAGGGACTGTTGCAGCTGTCTTTGGAGAGACACTGCCACAACAGTAAGAAGCTCAGTAAATACGTGTTGAATGAGCATTTAAATGCAATGAGAGAAGCAGAAGCAGAGTCTGCCAGTGAAAAAGACTCCAGTGTGGGATTCTGATACAATAAAATTAGCAATGTCTCTGCTTTCTAGTTATCTTCAGATTTGTCTAAGAAGAGCTCAGACGATGGATTTCCCCAGATCCGTTGGCATCAAACAGCAGACTTCGGCTATGTCCCCAACCCAAAGATGCCCAATACTTTCATGGCTGTAGCTATGGATCTCTGTGATAGAGACTCGCCTTTTGGCAGGTATGATTGCTTCTTGGGCTTTGCATGAACAGTGTATGTTCTTTGTAGTCTTTCACTCTGATGTTCACCGGTGAGGGGCAATTAGACTGAGGATTGGCACTTAAGAGTCACGTATGCTGGGGTGTGCTGCAGTAACAACAGCAAACACCCTCAACATCTCAGTTCTCTGATGCACCAACAATTTATTTCTTGGTCACTCTCTCTGTTAAAAGAAGGTCAACAGAGACTTTGCTCACTGTAATCATTCATAGACCCAGAGCAATAGAGGCTCCAAGTTGACCTATGCTTCCATAGTCATCTTAAAGTGTCACACTGGCAATTCAGTGCTTCCACACAAGTCATTTCTGCTCACATTGCACTGGCCAAACCAAGTCATAAGGCTACGGTTAACTTCAGTGGCAGCAGGAAATGGAATTCCAGCATTCCTCTGGCCTCACAGGAGGAATACTGAGATACCTGTGATCAGCCCCAGGGAACACCACACACTAACTGTAGGATGTGAGGGGATTCCACATAGGAAACAGAGTCCAACACACAGTGTCTGGATTATAGGAGGAACTTGATTGATTTATTGAATAAATGAATAAAAGCTCTAGGGGACCAAATAATGAATCAGCTGATTCCAAAGAAACCTGACTTTTAGTGGTTAGGAACAATCTTATGAGTTAGCTCTCTTAGGTTAGTTCTGGTATCTTTCCTTCTTCCATGTCTCCCTCCCTCCTCCCAACCTGCCCTTTATTCCTTCCTTCCAAGTCATCTATTATTTCAAGGTTTCCAACCCATAGAAGGCCCAGAGCCCCATCTATGGTTACCATTCACCATTTCCCTTGAGCTGACTAGCCACTGATCACAGAGTTCAGTCAACTTTATTCTTACTTTCATAAAGGGTGCTTTGTATAATCCCCCTTTTAAAAAAATGTGGTGATTGTTGAGCTTAAACCCAAAGTTCTCTACTTGTTCCTTATCCTGTAGCATCCACCCTCGAGATAAACAGACTGTGGCTTATCGGCTGCATTTGGGGGCCCGTGCTCTGGCTTATGGTGAGAAGAATTTGACCTTTGAAGGACCACTGCCTGAGAAGATAGAACTCTTGGCTCACAAGGGGCTGCTCAATCTCACATATTACCAGCAAATCCAGGTGCAGAAAAAGGACAACAAGATATTTGAGGTGAGAAGAACAGCAGAATAAACAGGGGTTCATTTTGTGGTGGAGTCAAGATTTCCTCCGCACTTGAGGCCATCTCTTTTGTTATTACGATGTGGCGGGTCTTGGTTGGTTGGGGGCTGAGCTTATTTCAGAGCTGCAAATAAACAGCTGTTAATTCAGTAGCTTGGAGGCACTTTTGACAGACAGCACAATCGAGAAAGGGAAAACAAGTCCATATTAAAATGGACTTTAAAAAATTTTTAATTTCCTTTTACATTTTCTCTGCCGAAGCAACCATCTTTGCTAGGGCAGGGCCTGCAGCTTTATTTGTAGGTTACCTATTGAAGGATCCTTGCTCCAGAATATTTACCCCATCCTTGGGTGTATTTTTTGTTACACTCTCCTAAATCCTGACATTTTCTGAGTTTAGGTTCTCCTTTGAGAGGCTTATTCTTAGGTATTTGTAACTTAGTGTGACAATATAATGAGAGTCCTTTTAATACCTAGCAGGGGTCATTCTGCTGTGGAACTGGGGCCATTGATGAAAGATTATTCAGGAGTCTTCGATATTTGAGGGTGGGAGATGGAGGCATTCCTACATGGAACATTTAAATGAGTGACTTTGGGAATCATGAGGCCTTAGGTTGGGAAGGGGTGTGTGAAAAGAATGCATTGGAGAAGAGAAAAGAATATTAAAGGCAAACTTTAACTACACGGGAGTTTGTCTAGGGCTGCTATTTCTGAAGTCCTAACTACGGTATCCACCTGCCTCAGATGCTTGGTTGGCACTTACCCCACTTAGCTTCTTTCCACACTGGGTTCCAGGTGAATTGAGAGACGTCTGCATTCTGAGCTCTTCTCTTTAGTCAGTTGCCAGTGGTCTGGATAATTTGTATTCCCATTTCTGGATTGCCTTCTGGCTTGAGAAAGGTTTTGTATCTTATGCCCCTTCTTCATTCTGCAGTGGCTCTGGGAGTGCCAGAGCGGAGCAGCAGCAGCTGGGCCACTCTGTTCACTTAAATTCCTGTCTGCCTTGCTGTTTGGCAAGAGGGATCACCCAAAGAATGTTCAGGGGAGCAGCCTTCCCTAAATGCCTTATGTGATCATGCTTCCTTGTCTCCCTCAGTAAATGTTTTATTTATTAAAATTATTTATTTGATCACATGAACATGTATTATCAACCTGTGGCTGTGCTGACTAGATCCAAAGTGGGCTCAGGTTTGTTCTGCTTACTGTAGGAGTAGGTCCTTGGTGAAGAGTGTCTCCTTTCCTCCCATCCATTCTGTCTGAAAGAGCAGTGCCCAGTTTCTTGGAAGACCCTTCTGACCTAATCATTCCTATTTTATGGCTCTCTTATTAGATCTCCTGTTGCAGTGACCATCGATGCAAGTGGCTTCCAGCTTCTATGAACACCGTCTCCACCCAGTCCCTGACCCTGGCGATCGATTCTTGTCATGGCACTGTGGTTGCTCTCCGCTATGCTTGGACCACGTGGCCTTGTGAATATAAGCAGTGTCCCCTATACCACCCCAGTAGTGCCCTGCCAGCCCCTCCCTTCATTGCTTTCATTACAGACCAGGGTCCTGGACATCAGAGCAATGTTGCTAAATGACTGTTTCAGTATGATCAGAACTTAGATATAAGGATGGGTCCTTCAGATTTTAGCATTTAGGAGTTTCAATAATAACCATTGCTTTTAAAGGAAATTAATAGAAAGCCTCATTGAATGGCTTTCAGCTAGCACATGGCTGTTTCTATATTCTGATGAGCCCAGGCTTATAGGTAACTTGAAATGCTTGCTTTTTGTTCCCTAGTTGGTCTAAGGGTCTGTATTGGACTAATTCTGAACTACAGACAAATTGGACCTCAATGTCATTTACTTCCCTCATATTAATGGGAGTGAAATGTCTAATACTTTTGCCCCTTTTTATCCAGAGTTGTGGGAATCTCAGGATTGGAAGAGATTTTAAAGGCCACATAGGCCAGCTAGTGTTCATGTGTTCTTTATAAAATTTCTCCCATCCAAGTACTAACCAGGCCCGACCCTGCTTAGCTTCCGAGATCAGATGAGATCAGGCGCGTTCAGGGTGATATGGCCGTAGACGTCTTTACAAAATTCCTGACAGGTGGTTACTGAATCTCTCTATGAACTTTCCATTCAAAACTTTCCAAGTTTTTCCTTATGTGGAACCGAAATCTTTCTTTCTCCCGTGAAACTTTACTACTATCAGATAATTGAAGACAGATCTCTTTGTATTCTCTTCAAGCCCAAACCAATTCTGTTCCTTCAATCTAAATAGTGGTAATATGAATGTTTAAGAAATGAAATAAGAAACATGTGCAGGCACTTTGGAAGGTGCTAAGTGACTGCCCTAAGGAATGAAAAGCAAGGGCCAGGTGGGAGTAGCCCAGCGAAGGCACTTGGGCTGCCAGGAACAGGAGGCGTGGGAAACTCTGGCTTAGGAAAACATGAACACAGGGGCAACAGAGGCAAACTGTTGTTCGAGTTAAATATAAATCTCAGGCTCTTTAAAGGTAAAAGGTTTAAGGATAATCCATTTGGAAGAAGAAAAGAGTGAGGCTGAAAGTAAAGCCACATGACAAGCATATAAAAAAAAATGCAGATGATACAAATATGAAAGAGGCCTTCAGTGTTTGTTTATTAAGAATCTTAATGCAGTTTACTGATGGATTAAAAACAGCTAACATTGTCTGAAAATTATGTTACCTATAAGAAGTTGGAAATAAATAAAAGCATAATCACTAGTGATGTGTATGTATTTATATCCACTTGCAAACTGTCCTTGAAGCATGTGAAAAGGAGTAAGAATACTATCTATGGGTAGCTTTCCTCCCCTTAATGTGAAAAATGAGAACTAAAGCAAAAAGCATCACTCACTGTACATATACAATGTATTTTACGTAGTGTAAAAAATATGGTTTAGATAGTGAATATATTAATGAAATCATATGTAAATTTATTTTTAGTGGCTGAATAATTTAAAACATTATGTGGAATTCACTATGTTTCCCCCAATTTAGGAACTTTTTACTGTGTGAAAATGAAATTTATAATACTCTGTAGGGTGAATGATGGTTTTTGCTTTAGTTCTACCCCTCTGTAGAGTTCCAAGGGGTTCTGGTGTAGCTCCAAACAGCAGGAATAACTTTGTCAGTGCCAAGATTTTATTTAGTTAAAAAACAAAAAATCTACACACTTTACAAGGAACGTTGGCTCCCCTGAGGACTTCCTAGCATTCAACTCGTTCAGTTAACCCCTATTGCCCATGCTTTGACCTCTCATGCATCTGGCCCCATAGAAACCATGAACCTTGTAACAGATTGATGCCTGAGAAAAAGTCAATCTACCCGTCCACTCCTCCACTCCCAATACACATACCCCCATGGGCTGTTCTAATTCGGGGGCAGCCAGAGGTAGCCAAGAACTCTAAGTCCAGATTCCTTTCACCTCCAGGAACCTAGAGTACATAGTGTGAAAAATACGGTTCAGGCAATGATTATGTTAATGACGCCATGCACATTCATTTTTAGTGGCTGAGTAATTTAAAACATGATGTGGGAATTCACTGCATTTCCCCAAATGTAAGAACTTTTTAGTTTTAAAATGAAATTTATAGTCACTGTAGAAAATTTGGACACTAAAGTATAAGCAAGTAAAAATCACCCCCAAATTCATCATTCAGAGAAACACTATTTTGCTGAACCATTCACTTGACTTGAGTTATATAATTTTATACAGTACATATTATTTTGTAATCTGTGTTTTTGACTTACTTACTTTACCAAAATAATTTTCTTATGTAAATAATAGAATATAGATTTAGAGTGTTTCAGTTTGTGGAAGCCTCATTTTATTTAACCAATTTCCTATTAATGGACATATAGATTTTTAACAATTTTCTACTATTAAAATAATACTGTAATGAATATCACATGCAAACATCATACCACACTCGTCCAGTTATTTCTTAGGGTTCTTAACATGGAAGAGGATAAATATATATTTAAAATTTAGATATCTACAGCTTAACCCTCCCAAAGGATTAAACAACTTACATTCTCACCAAGGTAGTCCTTTTTTTGCCCTCACCCTCATTGACACTGGATGTTGTCAAATTTAAAAAAAATCCTTAACAATCTGATAGATGAAAAGATAGTTTAAGTATACTAAGGCAGTGTTTTTCAAGGTGTTTTTGTTTTTGTTTTTGAGTTGGAGTTTTGCTCTGTTGCCCAGGCTGGAGTGCAGTGGCGCGGTCTCGGCTCACTGCAACCTCTGCCTCCCGGGTTCAAGCGATTCTTCCTGCCTCAGCCTCCCGAGTAGCTGGGACTACAGGCGCGTGCCACCACGCCTGGCTAATTTTTTGTATTTTTATTAGAGACCGACTTAGCCAGGATGGTCTCGATCTCCTGACCTCTTGATCCACCCGCCTCAGCCTCCCAAAGTGCTGGGATTACAGGCGTGAGCCACCGTGCCCAGCTTTTCAAGTTTCTTAAATCCATGATCCATAGTAAAAACATTTTACACATATCTTCATACAAGTATATGTATATGTGGTATACGTACACACTATAGTTGTATATGCATTATAGCTGAAAAACCAGTTCAACCTTTCTACATGTGGTATGTTCCAAAAATTTTAAATGTCTTTCTAAAATGAGGCTCTTTTAATACGGGTATTACTCAGGCTGTAATAGTGGGAAAATATTTGTTATATGATAAAAGCAGCATATATCATTTCTGTGTAAATGCCAGTATGCTCAAGCCATTTATGCAGAGAAAAAAAGAAAAACACTGCATTAACATTTTAAGCAGTCCCCTTCCCGATTTGCTATTATACAAAGTTTGTTTCTTTTACATTGTAAAGTGTATACAACTTATAAAAAGACTATACTCAAAATCATAAAATACCAGTTAACTTAGCTTCTCAGTTTACAGTGGCCAGTGTGGTGTGCTCTAAACACTGCTGCCTGATCCCTCCCTCTGCTGGTCAGATTTATTACTATAAAGTACCAATCCCATTTGTGTTGTCCTCAATTGGCAATTATGAATGGCAGTGCATTAACCATTCAATTCTCACCACTCCATCCCCATTCTTCTACTTCTGGGTCCTTTTGTCCCTCCCTTTCCAGACAGCCCTTGGTAACCTGCTGCTGGGTAACTAAGGCATCCCACAGGTAGTGTTGAGGTGTTAGGTGATAGAGTAAACCTCTACCTTAATGCTATTAACAGGGTCCAAAAATCCAGTTGCATGGAACATGGAGTTATATTATTACATGGCTAATGAAAAGACAGGACTAAGTCTGTTATAGAGTATGGGACTAACCCCCAATTATATGTGAATTTGTGTTATCATATGGTTTCAGTGTACTGAGCTAAAAAGCACATTATCTGAGGTGCAATACAAAGGTTAAAGAGGTTAAAGATCCCCTTGAAGGATGTGCAAAATGTGAAGAAAAAGATGAACAGTGTACCTTGGACTGGACTTTCCATCTTGAGTTTAAGCAGAACATTGGATTTTGATGATACTGACATGAAAATTAAGCAGCAGCCTGGGTTGCAGGGGCTGGGACTTGATATTCCTTGAATTAGGATCACAATCAAGAGTAGAAGTTTGTCAGAATCTCCCTATCTCCCTCGTTAGTCAGCTGCTGCTACTACAGACTTAATGTTTATATGTCCCCAAAATTCATGTTAAATCCTAACCCCTAATGTGATGGTATTGGGAGGTGGGGCCTTTGGGAGGTGATTAGGTCATGAGAGCAGACCTCTCATGAACCGGCTTAGTGATCTTATAAAAGGGACCCCGGAGAGCTGCCTTCCTCTTCTACCACGTGAGGACACTGCAGGAAGACAGCTGTCTAAGAACTAGGAAGTGGGCCCTCACCAGACATTGAATCTGCGCTCCTTGAACTTGGACTTCCCAGCATCCAGAACTGTGAGAAATAAATTCATGTTATTTATAAACCAACCTGTCTATGGTATTTGTTGTAGCAGCCTGCAGCTCTCTATCACTCTTGTTTATAAGAGGCTGAAGTTTACTTTACCTCAGGCAGAGCTAAGCAAAAAAGATTACATCCCGATTACAAGATGAAAGTAAACAGAATTGACAAGAGAAATTTATTACTAAAAATAAAGCAGCTGAAGGTTTTCCCAGGGAAAACCATCACCACAGGACCTTCCATGATGAAATACGTTAGTATCTTCTTTACTTCTGAATTGCTGCCTTCTTTCATATACCCAAAATTTTAGTTTAAGTTAAATTAATCACGACAAAAACGATGTGGCATCTGATCCCTTCTTGTTCAATCTGAAGACTGAATTGGGCTACCCTGTGATGGAGACTTCAAGTGCTGCAGGTGAGTATCTACCAAGGGTTCATGTGTCAGGTACATGGGCTGGTAAGAAGACACAAAGGCTGCAGGCTGAAGCTCTGGGAGGTCCAAGGATCCTGGAGAAAACAATTCCTTAAGTTCCACTGCTGCTCGGGAGTCTGGGCAGACTGTTTTGGTCAGACATATACATGTCCTTTCAATCAATTCCTTAACACCCTTGCATTTGTCAGCTCAATTTTGCCTTTGTTAAGATAGGACAGATACTTTTACAATGAAAACTGGTTGAAACATTAAGTGACTTGCCTAGGGTTATATAGTATATTAGGCAAAGAGTGAGAATTTCAATTCCATTTTTTAACCCAGAGTTTTCCCTATATGACCCCAAAGCCTGAACCCTTGATCACTCATTTGTGGGAGGAACTCATGGAACACAGGCAGGGCCAAGGCCTTGACTTGACCCCACTGACTTCACTTGAAATGTTATTCCCTGCACAGTAAACTTTCCCCTGGTGTTCTGCTCCAGTCTTGCTTAGGTTACAGAATGAGATACCTTAGTTTCTGGGGTACCCTGCCTTACTATGATCGCAGGTGCTCCCCATGACATCTGTGAGTAATCTAGGAAGCTATGCAGGCCGCAGGTCCCCCTCTAACTCAGCACTCCGCAAGGCTGATTCAATGAAAGCTTTTATCACTCAATGCATAGATATTTAGGGTACTCGGCTATGTGTGAAGATGGGAAGGTAGCCTAAACACAGTCAATTTTCAAACCAGAAAGGTAAAGTTAAAGATACCTGGCAGAAGGGGATCATTCTGATCTTCATCAAAGATCTGTCTCTGAAAGGCTTCAAAGCTCATAGCTGCATCATTCTCCGGCAGCCCCTCAGGTAGCTGCCCATCTCCAGGTTTGCACACATCAAATTTCACCCACTGGTAACTGCAGAATCAAGGGAAATCACCCTTGAGAGTTATCTGCTAGACATAAATACCCATTCCTATCACTAAAGGGATCAGGTAATTTTTCTTTATATTCCGCCCATATATATCTAAAACACATATTTGCTAACAAAAACCTAAAAGAAATAAGCAGGCCTCTTTAGTGACAAATTAGTCTGCTAGATTTCCCACCCCTTTTGCTGTCATGGTACATACAGAAAATAGTAATAATCAGCGAACAGTGGAGTCCTGGCTCTTGCTTACCTGTCCAGAGGGCTAAGGGGGCCAATACTGAGCCCTACTGGTCGAGAAGCAGGCAGGCTTTGGACACAGAAGGTCAGTGAACAAAGTAGGAACTGCCAGTCCCTGGCCGGATGATCACTGAGCTTTTCTCAAGGGAATGAATTTGATCACACTTACTTGATGCATTTTCGAGCTCCTGGACAGCTCTGGATCAGGTTGTGGATGGCTGGATGAGAAAATCCAAAAAAGTCAGCTCCAGCTGGAAGCAGGTTAGGCATTAGTTTCCCCCTAAACAGGAGAGGGATAATTTTAGTTTGAGAGCTTAGCGGGAGATGAAGATGGATTTAAGAACAGAATAGTGGTATGAACAAACAGGATAAGCTTTCTTGACTTTGATAATGTGGAGGCTCTAGTTGGCACAATGTCAGGAGGATCCAGGATAGGTTTCTATAAAATAAAGTATCTCCACCCATTAAAAGCAAGAGAAAAGGTTTCACTGTACCAACAGTGATCTTTTAGCCTGTTTTCAAGCTTTTGGTCAACTTACATAGTAGTGCTTATAGTCCTGAGCAGTTCTGCATGACAAGCATCTGCAGAAGAGCTGACAATGGCATTCTGGGGGTCATCTTCAGGAACAATTTCAAACTGAGAAAGACAAACGAGCAATGAGATCAATCCTCAAGAAGGAAGGAGAGAGGGGCATACTACTCTGTAAATATTTCTTTACTCTGGAACGTGAAGCTGACGTATACCATCTTCAGAAGGGACACACATACTTTCCTATAGGGCTGCTAAAAATTGAAACAAATCCAAGTACCTAGAGAAAGTCCTTTGACTGTTTCAGTTCTACCCTTCTTGGTTGACAGCTTTCCAAAAGTGAGCGTTTAATTTGTTGTGTACCTTTCCAATCCACTTATTTATATCCTTAAGTACAAATACAAATGGTATTTTAAAAACAAATGAGATCACTCTCCATGTAATCTTTTAAGTCAATTTTACAAGATCTAGGAGAAACAGGCTGACTGCAAACTGCCATTTCATTGTATTTACTTTCATTTTGAACGTTAAAATATCTTGGTTATGTTAATAAAAAGAAACTGTTGCATCGAAATTACACTAATTCTGAGGAATTTTTGCCAAGAAAATATTTTTGTAACAAATGTAACAAGTTAACTAGCTGATTTAATTATTTGGCCAGTTTTCTATAAAGCGCAATGATTTTTTTGCCAGGAAAATATTTCTGTAACAAGTTCTATCTAGCCAATTAAATTATTTGACTAGTTTTAAAGTTCATTTAAACAGTTTCTAGTTCTTCAATGTTTACTTCAGTCAAATTATCCTGAACAGGATTAATTTATTTTCTGTATAATTTTTTAGAATGATATCGAGCACTACTGATTTCTAAAAAAAGTCAAAGCAATTTTTACTGAGTATAGTTTCCACTACTGTTAGTTTTCTTCTGTGGTTATTATTTCACTGGATTCAATTTACCGTGTCAAATTTTAGAGATCTGTCAATTTTGTCAGTAATAAATTCTCTTGTGAGTGGTTTCAATCAATGGTGGTTTTCTTATTTCAACCAATGGCATACCTTGCCAGGTTAAGATTCTAATGTTTTATATTTATTTCTCAGCTAATAAATGAAAAAACCATGAGCAATTAATTTCTTTTCTTTTTTCTTTTTCTTTTTTTTTTGAGATGGAATCTTGCTCTGTCGCCCAGGCTGGAGTGCAGTGGCGTGATCTTGGCTCACTGCAAGCTCCGCCTCCCGGGTTCACGCCATTCTCCTGCCTCAGCCTCCCCAGCAGCTGGGACTACAGGCGCACGCCACCAGGCCCGGCTAATTTTGCTGTGTGTAATTAATTTCAAATAGTCCAGGATTGCTCTACTATTTAGTATTTGTCATGTCAATTTCAATTACTTTTTTTGTACTGAAATTTTTACCCTATTTGAGTAAAGAGCATTAAAGATAGAAATGTTATACTTTAGTCTTGAAGATACCTCCTTGTTAGTACTAATGTATAAATCTACCTCATTCTTCTAATTGCTGTACATACAACGGTGGATATATTTTACTTAACCATTTTCTCATTGATAGGTATTTAGGCTATTTCTAATTTCTTGCTATTGCAAATACTGCCACAGTGAACATTGTTACATGTTACTTTGTTCACATTTGCACATTTCTCTAGGTGCAAATGTGTACCTAGTGCAGTCTAGATACTAGACTATCTAGACATATTCTGGGTCAAATGATACACATACTAAAATTGTTGATACTGCCAAGTTGCCCTCCCAGAAGACTACCAATTTTCACTCCTACTAACGTGTACTTGTTTTCCTCCACCCCGGCCAGCACTGGATATTATTAATCCCTCTGATATGTGCCTATGAGCAAAATAAGATCTCAGTTTTGTTTTATTTGCATTTCCCCACTTACTGATGAGGCCCACACTTTACCATCTGCACTGTTTCTGTGAAATGCCTGTGGGTTTTTTTTTTTTTTTTTTAATATTGCTTTTTCCTACTCTACAGGAGCACTTTATCTGGTATTAATCCTTTGTCATACGTTTTCTTCCTGTTTATTGCTTGTGTTTTAACTCTGATCATGGTGTCTTTTGCCATTCAGAAGAGTTTACATTTTTAATAGTTAAATATGTTATTATGTTCCATTATGGCTTCTAAGTTTCATGTCTTGCTAAAGAAAGCCTTTTCATCTCACCCTAAGATTATAAAAAATTCTTTTACATTTTCCTTTAACATATTTATAGAATAAAATATTCAATAAAGCTAAAGTAATAAAAAGTCATATTGACATGTATAGACAAAAAGATGAATAAAAAGGAATCATCTGGAAAGAGATACAAGAATTACATATATTTAGTCTGTGTGTGTGTGTGTGTGTGTGTGTGTGTGTATATATATATATATATATATATATATATATATATATATATATATATATATAAAACAGCTACTTGACGTTAGTTGGAACAAAATTTGAAGCTAGATTCCTAGCTCACACACCTAAAAATAATGTCCAGTTAGGTTAATGACCTAAAAAAGAAAATTAAAAACTCCACAGATTCTTCTTTTTCAAAAATGTTCTAGCATTTTGTTTTTCAGAGAAAATTAAGAATCGGCTTTTCAATTTCTACTAGGATTTTGATTAGATTTGCATTGCATTTAAAGATGTATTATAAATATGGTATACCGTTACAATAATGAGTCTTTCTAAAGAAACTATTGCATAATTGAGGTCACGTAAGCTCTCAACTATGCCTAACAATGCTCTGATAGGCGTGATGCAATATTATCTATAAGAAGTCAAGCTGTCTCAGGGTTCTCCCAGCTTCTGCTCAAAGGTTCCTTACCTTGCCTCTACTTCCTTCTACCTTACTTTCTAGTGATCTGTAACTTCCTCAGTGAAGCTTAGAACTCCGAAAATGGTCTATTTTTTTGTTTTTCCCTAACAATCAGGAGATGATGGTTGGGGAAAATGTACTGTCTCAAATCTTAGCACTGAGAAGGATGAAAAAAGGTATTTAGTAAGACTAGGATTTAAGACTCTCAGGTCCTTAAGAGTATTTGCAGCCAGAAACTAATATGCAATTTCTTTGCTAACTCCATCTTGGTCCAACTTGAAATGGCAGTGTATCAAACTAATCTTCCCTCTATTTTGGCCTGTACCTCACATAAGTAGGCTTGATCAAGCCTCACATAGTCACAAAGTCAGCAGTTGAAGTAGCATGGTTCAAGAGAAAAGAGCATCAGTTTGAGAATGAGACAGATAATAGATTCACATCCAAACTCAACCACTTATTAGCAGAGGTGTGACTTAGGGCCAGCCACTTTTCTGCATCTTGGGATTACCCAAATGGTGATTATACATATCTACCTTGTAAGGTATCAGAACAGGTAATACATATCCTAGCACAGAGAAGGTTCTAAAGACAAACAGTGGTTATTATTAGAGGGGGTACCTGAGGCTGCACACCACCATCCTTGATCTGACAGGTATATAGACACTTCTGGTCTGGGCACTTCATGCTGGCATATATTCGAGTACTGCAATAGCCCACGGGGTAGATGGCACTCTCATCATGAAAGCCAGGTCGGTCGGTGATGATCTATAAAAAACATTCCCCCAACCTGGGATTGAGGTCACTGAAGAATTTAGAAGTCCAGTTTCCTGTGGTAGCCTTTAGAACCACTTTGGGGCTGCAAAGAGTGACAAATCACACAAAGACAGAGAGTAGGCTGTGTAGCAGACAACACTGACCTGGTTTTGCAGGGACTGGAGATACGCTGGGGTTGGTATGGATCAGCAAGAGGCTGCTGCTAATGGGAACAGGGAGGGAAGGCTCAACCCCATTCCCGTATTTCCCTGATTCTCCTCTCTATATATCGCTGGTCTCACTCACCTCCCCCAGGCTATATACTGTTAGACCCCCTAGTCCGATGGGGAACACAGGCCGTCCTGAGGGATCCAGGGCAATGGGCTGAACCAGCTTGCGAGCACCTCCCGCCATTTTCTTTTTCTTGCATGTTTTCTTCAGAACTGAAACGCAAATCTGGGGTCACCCACTTTAGGCCCCTTCCAATGTTGAAGGGAAGGGATAAATTTGCACGTGAATGGTGAGGGCAATAAGCCAATCCTGGTTTTATATACTTACTGAATGGGCATATGGGGCTTTCGCCCAAAGCCCTGAGTAGCTTTCTAACCTGCCCAGATTAGTGCTTAGGAGCCAAAGGCCTTATACTTTTTAAGGCCTCTTATTTCATCTGTAAGATCAGAAATTTACCAAGCCAGCAGTGTGCTCCAAAGGCCACCTAGCCCATTTCCCTGCCTCTAGGAAAGACTAAATGGAATGCAACCCAGAGAGTTGGGGGAAGGGGGAAGTCTCAGTCTGCTCCCCTTGCATTTAACGAAGTCTAGCTCGAATTTCTCCACCCAAAGTGGCTCTAATACATTTGACATTTGTTTTCTCAAGGGCTCCTAGGGCTCCTTAAGAACCAGATGAGACTCTAAGTACATCTGCAGCTGTGTGTGTCTGTCAGTTAGTACCAGGTCTAACTGTCATTAGTAGGTGAGTCACTGGGGCAACTGATATCATCTCCCCAAAGTACCTTCCAGTTTGTTGTTCTCTTTGCCTTTTTCTTTTTTCTCCTTCTTAGTTTTCTTCCCAAATGGTTCCTCAGCCCCAGTGCTGGGCCCTGAAATAGGCCCAGCTCCCTGTATAGTTCCCACAGAGCTGGCCACACCATAAGTCAGGGGCAAACTGGAACTGTGGGAAGGAGCTGCAGCCTGTACTTCCCCTTCAGTTAGAGCCTGAAGCTGGAGGAGCTTCTTTAGCAAGTACCTGAGATCAGGAAGGAAAGGAGCAGAGAAATGAACTTCCGTATTGTCTCAATTCAGTATTTTACTCAAGTACTGGGAAAAGCCAGAATTATATACAAAGATTACTATACTCATAAAAGAAAGGTTCTTATTAGGCCCTATGAATCATAAAGCCCTGGAGGATAATCAATACTTCAAGAGGCCAAGGATAAGAACTGTAGCTTATCTCTTGCATCTGGACGGTTCCTCTACCTTGATGTTGGACGGTGTTAGGCTTCTGAAAGGCACATTATTTACACATGTATATATACCCATTGTGCTTTGCACAGAATAGTACGTACAGAATAAATATTTGTAGAACGAGAGGCAGTTGCTTTTATCACTTGGCTTTTATAATTGGGCCATAAGATTAAATAATCTTAGTAAGATTATTTATTAGATGTGGCAAGATGGCTTTTTCAGAAAGATGAGTAGAGGAGCTGTCTCATCGCCATGGCCCAACATAACTTGGGTGTGCAGGCACCAATGCCTCAGGCTGTAAGTTTCTCTGTGCTTGATCAAGTGGCCAAGGGGCTGTGCGATACGCATCAATCCCACTGGGAAAAAAAGTCTCCAGAGCAGTAACACCATTATCAATCACCAAATCAATCACCAAAAAGGTGATGCTGAACACAAAATGAAGCCAGCTCACCTTCTTTCTTCTTTTGCTTTAAGAAATTTTTCCTCAAGACGAGCAATTTCATCACAAATAGCAGCATTTTCCTTTAAGTAAAAATGTGAATATAATAACATAAAATGAATAAAAAAATCACATTATTATGCTGGGAAGAGGATCCATATTTCAAACCAAAAAAGCTTGTATTACTGAGAAGAAGGAGCTATTCGACCGTGTGACAAACTATAAATAAATCCATAGATAAAGGTAGTCAGGTTCTACTATGGACAGGGTATAGCTATGTAATTTATTATCCAATCCGGGACATCTTTGAGTGAAAAGGGGGTACTATTAATGCTTATGCCAGAACAATACGGTGAACCAGGACTGTCCTGGGCAAGCCAAGATTAATGGTCACCCTAATTAGTATAGCCTTTGGCAAAGAAAAAGGCATACTGCTTAAATCCTTATATGCTTAAATTAAATACTATAAATATGAAAACTGTCTATTCCCAAGTGCCTCAACTCTTGAAAAACTTACAAAGCCAGTCTAACCCAAATAGAGAAAAACTGGACAGAACAAAATCAAATTTAGTGTGTAAAATTCTTAAACTTCACAATCTACTTATACGAATTCAAGTATTATCTTTTTTCTTTTTTTTTTTTTTTTTTTTGTAAATGATGACTCAATCTATCTCCCAAGCACCAATCCTGAAGGGAATGCTGAATCTGAATGCCCCCATAGGTGGAACTTCAAACTCTCAATGTTCAAAACAACATCGCTTTTTCTTCACAAAATCTTCATTATGTATTTGATGGAACCAATATCCTTGAAATAACATAAATTCCAAGCTTTAGGTACCTTTGACGTATAGGGGATAAAAGAAAGGGAACAGTCAATCAGATGCTAAGTTCTCTTAGTTTTACTTTTCTTGTTTCTCTCCAGTGCAAATAGCAAGCAATACACATAGCAAGTGCTGAATAAGTGCTTTTGGAATGTGTATTCTAATTTCTGAACCTTTCCTTATGCTTCCAAAAATGCTGAGAGACGTTCAAGCTTTTGGTAGAGAGAAGAGATGAACTGTTGACTTGGATGTGGGGGGACATTTGAGGACTCCACCCCTATTTCCAAGCACTGAGGCAAGCCAAACTATTCTAATATAAAGTTATGGCTGGCAAGCTATATTAAGTTTATTCACTCAATAAATCCAGTGCTTCTACAATAAAAGAAAGGAAGAAACACTTGGAACACTCAAAGGTTAGAGGGGGGAAATTACTGACAGTTTCATGTACCTCTTTGGGCAAAGGGTCAGTTATGGGGATTTGAGGTGCTCAGAAAATAGTCTGTGTACTGGAAGTCATAAAACGGAATCAGGTTTATCTAAGTTGGAGTCAGGGCTCTGACACAGTACCCTTGGGCAAATCATCTCTCTGGGCTTCAGTGTTCTCATTTTACAAATAATGCCTAATTCTCAGGGCTGTATCTCGAGAATCAAACACATTTCCTAGAGTCCTGCAGTAACAACGATGACTAAAATTTATTGGTATGTCTTTTACGCACCAAGCACTTTTCTTTACTCATTTAATATTCATTATTCTGCAAGACAGTTACTAGCTCATTTACAGATGAGGACACAGAGAAATTACGTAATTTGTCCAAGGACACAAGGCTAACAAGTAGTAACGTATACGGAAAAGCCAACACTGTATTAATACTGTCACACTGGGAAGGGGGAACAGCTTGGGGAAAGATTTTGTGAGGGAGTCTCCAGGAGGGGACCGGCTGAACGTGGGTCAGACTCACAAACACCGTGGCCTTGGCCGCTTTGCGCAGCCGCAGGTACTTCAGCCGGTACTTCTCATTCTGGCTCTTCTTCGGGAGCTTTTTCATCCTGGCCTTGCTGGACTGCAGCGGAGCCCGCGGCGAGGAAGCGAGGCCGTCCAGCAGGCTCATGGTCCAGCCCCGCTACGGGGGCCCCAGGACGCTGCCGGCATCGGATCCTAAGTCGGGGAGCGGGCGGGAGCGCTGGCTTTGTCTGTTCCGGGCTAGCGGAATCGGGCCTCTAGGAATCTAGCTCTCCGGGACGTTCCCAGGGCTGACCGCAGGGCCAGAGACACCCGCAACCGAACGGGCTCCCGGCGCCTCCCAGCACTTCCGTGTCTGTCTTGGAAGTAAGCCCTTCCCGGAAGTTACGTCCCGGTGTCGGCAGTGTGTAACTTCCGGGGCAGGGAGAGTAGGGTGGTCTGGGCGGTGCGATCGTGGGCACCGGGAGGAAAGAGACAGCTGGGGGCTAGTGCTGGATGAGGAGAGGAGGGAGGGCCGGCGGCCGTGTGCTTAGCTGAAGGGTACTATAGTTGAACCAACGAACTAACAAGAAGCTTACCAATGCGAGCTCTCATTCACGCTCCCCCGCTGGGCCACTGCGTTTTAATACGTTTTTCATGCTTCGTGCAGACAGGCTTTCCCAGACTGTAGGACAAAGTGAGCCCAAGTGCTGGGACTCTGCTTCTTTCCCTGCTTCGTTCCTTTCTGCAGCTCACAGAAATGTGTTTGCAGGGCCTCCTAATGCTATCATCTTCCCAGGAGCTGGGAACACAGTAGTGAACAGGAAGAAAGGCCTTGGCTCTTTCTAGTAGGGAAGATGAGAGATTTAACACGCAGTTTTAATACTAGCACTAAGTAGGCACTCAGTAAATGTTTGTCTAGTGAAACCAGAAGTGTATTTCTGTACATAATATGTACATGTATATGGTTCTAACTTTACAACCAAGGTCTATTTAAAATTAGGGAAGATAGAAAAATCTTTAGGGTGCGGTATTGGTAAGTGACCCAGGCTGGATGGCAGAAGGCTTGCTTGCATCTTCTTCCAGCGATGCCAATAACTAGTTCAGTAACTCTCTAGTTTTTTCTCTCAAAAAAAAAATTTGCTGTTCTGCTGTATTTTGTCCTTGCGGGCTTTGGGGTCTGACTTTATTTGTATTATTTATTTTCATATACATGTATCACATCTAGGGGGAAGAAAAGTGCTATCCTTTGTCCTAGTTTGCAGGCTGTTTTGGCCAATGGACTTTAGTGGGATTTGCATGAAGATATTTTTTGTTTCTTCTTCATTGGACACATTTCCTTACACTTACAAAACATTTCATTCGAACTTTAGAAATTTAGAAAATATAGTACAAGAAAGGTTTAAAAATCCATAATGCTACCACTTGGAATGAACTACTTTTACCATGTTAGTATATGTGTCTAATATTTTATGCATTTTTGTATAGGTTAGACAATACTGAAAATAAAGTTTTCTTTTTGTTCATTTACCATTGTATCATTTCAGTTTCACAAATGTTAGTATAGCTTCCTTATAAGCATAATTTTAAGTGGCTGGTTAATATTCCAGTTATGGCTATATTATATTTTGCATAATTATTTCCATGTTCTTTGACTTTTTGGTCAATTCCATTAAAAGCATATCTTTGCGTCCAAAGCTTTTTCCATATAGGACTGTTCAGAGGCTGGATATGTGTGCTCCACAAAGGTCATGCCACTGAGCAACTCATTCAGTCCTTATTTGTTTAGAAGAATATTTACCTAGTGCCTATTATGATACCACCTTTAAGAACCTTAATTTAAGAAGGAAAGACAGACAAGTAAATTGGCAATGTTAATATGGTATAATAAGTTTGTTTCAGAGGTAGGTTTTATTTTATTTGGCAGCACTCAGGGAAGGAGGGAGGAGATAGGAAAGGTTTCTTAAAGGAGATACATCTGGGCAGACTCTGAAGGAGAGGTAGTGGTTGGTTGGCCCAGTGAAGAACAAAGGGGGGCATGCTGGATGGTGGAGACAGCATATGCAAAGGCTCAGTATGGGAACTGCAAGTAGTTGATCAGTGTGAAAGATGTGTGTAGAGAGAAGCAAGAAGAGAGACTGAAGCAGTAAGTAGGGTTTTTTGGGTCATGAAAAGTCTTGTGTACCAACTGAAGAGTTGGACTTTGACCCAGTGACAATAGGAAACCATCTATCAGCTCTTTGCTTGTGTTAGGTAAACTTACCTGAATCTGTCAGAAGCAACACAACTTTTCTACTTAACTATACGAAGAAGGGTCTAAATGGCCTATGCAAAAATTCTTTAAAGAAATGCATAATGTGTAGCTCTAAAAAGAAATATAAAATGGCAGACAGCATGATATTGTGTCTGAGTGTGGTCTTTGAAGTCAGACCAAAGTTCCATTAACTACAGGCATAGGAATGGGAGTTAGAAGCTAAAATAGGGTAATAAATCAGAAGAGAAAGAAGTTCAATAGCACTTTACTGTCTACCCATTTGTAAGTGCTTGCTATTCAGTGATTAGCTGTAAGGGAAGGCATAGTATCCTCTGGAGTATTAAAAGCATACCTGGCTCCGTTAACAGTTGTGAAGAAGTCCATAGCCCATAATCCCAGCCCCTGGTGAAATGAGTTCCTGGTTTAGATGGTGAAAAGTGTATCTGGGCACCTGAAGGCTCCACTCACGGCTGAGACATGGCCCCAGCCTTGTTCTACTATGTCCTTACATCCTAAGAGCAGATTACAAATTGAAGCCATCATCTCCCAGCACTTTGGAGGCTACAGAGGACTTGGACAAGGTTGATAACTTCTACAAAGCAAGCTGGGTAAATTCCTAGGATTTCAGGCCACACCAAAGGGTTTCCAGGGGTTTACATCTTTATTAATCTTTTGCCAGATTGCCTCACTTGCTCTCTGGGGTAAGCTGAATGTGCGTTCAAGAAAGGATATGGAATTGCCTCCATAAACGGACTTTAGAATCTTCTTTCCTTGCAGCATGTCTAGACTGTATTTCTTTTTATTTATACTATCCTCATAGAATGTTCTAGACTTAATTTTTTAGCTCTTTGACTCTTCGGCTCCAGCTTTCACATTTATTTCCATGTCTTGGTTATGTCTTCTCACTTTTAGGATAACATGATAAAAGATATATGATTCAGTTAAATCCAAGCTTAGCAGTTTTAAAATGTGTAATTTTTTGGTGTGTATGTGTATTAGTGTGCATGTCTTATGAGGAAGGAGAGAGACTTTCCACAAGCTTTCTTGCTCCATGGTTTCTTAACTATGGGTGTTCATCACATGCCGAGTTGGTGAGGTGTTTGGGTTTTGAGGGTTCTAAGCCAGCCAATAAAGTCATAAAATCAACTACTGTGTCAATATTGTGCTTCTGGGTGGTTGTATCCTTCAACACACATAAGACACTCAGCCAGCTAAAAGAGATGAGCTCAGAGATGTTAGCTCGGAGGAAAAGAAGGATCACATTGAGGTCATTGATGGGACATCCTAGCATCTTTCTGCTGAGGAGATCAAAAGCTGGGAGCATCTCATAGACAGATAAAAGTCGTTTGTCCCACCGACATAGCCGTGTGAGGTTGTATATTATCACTGGAACCAATATGGTGTATATTGCTACACTGGAGAGGCTAACAATCTGGAAAATGGACAGTGATGTCAGCCTGCATGTGATCAGATTGGGGACATGGGTCTCATCACTTAGCAGCCCTGTCTTGATGGAGCAGCTGAATTCTTCCTGGAAGAAGACATCCAGATGGAAATGACCAAGGTATAGGTAAGTGGCGGAGGTGAAGATGAGCAAGAGGGAGTTCCTCAGGAGGTAGGTAGCCACTAGCGAATGTGAACGCTGCTTACATGCCAGGTACCGCTCTAGCAAAGGGAATTCAAAGTATCGTTCTTTCCGAGCCCTGGGCAGTGGAAGGAAGGAGGCAAGGTTAGTAGTGACCATTTAGAACCATACTCTAAGAGAGGCATGTGACAAAGTAACAGATCTGTTTTCAACATGGCATTCTTGGTTCCCATGAAAATCTGTCTTCCCGAGCATAACCATGCTTCTCCCCCAAACTGAGGCATATGAGTATATCTTGATTCTCCAAGTACTTACTGCAATGTGATAAACCCAGTGAATGATCAGTGAGTAATGATTTATTACACTGGATTTCTGCCAAGCAAGGCGGACTAAAGTTCTAAGCTGAAGTAGGATCTTTAGGTAGCAATAGGCTTATGAAATTAGCACTGGATTGGGGGTTTAGCTAAGTGCATTCTGGGCCGGGCATGGTGGCTTATGCTCATAATCCCAGCGGCCGAGGTGGAAGGGTCCCATAAGCCCAGGGGTTTGAGACTACCATGGGAAACACAGTAAGACCTCATCTCTATGAAAAAATACAAAAATTAGCTGGGTGTAGTAGTGTACACCTATGGTTCCAGCTACTTGGGAGGCTGAGGAGGGAGGATTGCTTGTGCCCAGGAGACTGAGGCTGCAATGAGCCAAGATCGTGCCACTGCACTCCAGCCTGGGCAACAGAGTGAGACCCTGTCTCCCCCACCCCCCCACTCCAAAAAAAGTACATTCTGGTTCTTGGCCTGTGTACTCTGTGTATGATCTTTGGGACAATTCATTCATCTTATGTAAATAATTTGGCTCACAAATGTTTGTCGAGAGCTTTGGTGTTCAGGTACATGTAAGCCAGTTTGTGCTCTGAAGAAGCTTAGAGACTGGCTTGTGGGGAAGGGGCAGATAAGACATGCAAATACGGAATAAAAATGACACTTGGTTTGTTGCTAAAATAGTGGACACAAACCACAGTGGCTGTAAAAGTTAGGAGAGGGAGGTAACAGTGTGGCCTTCAATGTTCAGAAACCCTTATGGAAAATATTGGCTGAAATCTGGGCTTCAAAAGATAGAGAGGATTTTTTTTCAGAAGATAGAGTATGTGCATAAATATGGGACAATATAATTCAAATGTTAGCGCAATTGTCTCCTTGGGCCATCTAGCCTGGCCACTCTGTGTGAAGCTACACCACTCTCCATCCCTCCAGCTTCCTCTTGCCCCACTTCCCACTTTACTTTTTCTTTTCTTCATACCACTTATTATCTCAGAACGTAGATTTCATTTCTGTGTTCTGTTTATTTGTCTGTGTTTCCTTAATAGAATGTAAGCCCCACATGGGTAGGTACAGCTTTGTCTCTCCTACCCCCATCCCCCAACACATACAAGTGAATGTATCAGAAGCACCCAGGACAATGCCTGTATGCAGGTGGAGGAATGATTACATAGATAAATAATTTGTTCAGGGGAAAAGGAGGAGGCTGCCTAAGTGTGGTGGAAGGTTTCTGTCACCTGGTAGTTAGAATTTTGAAAAAGTAGATGGTGACAGTGTGTTGAGGGCCTTGCACACATATCTGGGAAAGTTTGGGTATTCTTTGGTAGGCATGAAGGGAGCTATTTAAGGTTTCTGAAGGCAGTAGTGTATGAAAGTGGAATTCTAGACAGATGAATCCCTTTGTGGGCTCAGTGTGGTCATCTGTACACTAGAGGAAGAGTCCTTTCTCTCTCCCTTTACAGAAACAATAGAAAGTTAATGAGATGATGTGTTAAGCACTTTGCCTTCTTGAGAAGGATGGCATGGAAGATCATTTAAAGATGACTATGCAAAGTTATCATTTTAATGCTTGACTGAATTTCTCAGAAAAAGGTGGAAGAGACAACTCACTTCTCCAGCTCATTCCAGAACACATAGGGGTCGGAACTCTTCTGCCGGATCTTCAGCATGTGCTGCACGAGGCGGATGGAGCGATTATAAGATTTGTCCAGTTCGCTGATGATGAACAGCAGATCGGAGCTGAGGGCTGGCACAGCTGCATACTGCCACAGCAGCACCGGCAGGTACATGAGCAAGGCCAGGGCCAGCAGGGAGTAGGGGAGGGCCTGCAGGGCGAGAGCAGCTGAGGAGGGAGGCCGGGGCTGCTGAGACCCCGAGTGACAGTGCTGACTGAGGGGCTCTCCTTTCCCCTGTTCCTGCCTCAGCAGGGGAAGGCTGTTTGGGGAATGGGCTAGCCCAGGCTCAGCCCCTGAGGCACCCTACTGACCTGGCTGAGTACAGGCGGGCCTGCTTCAGAAGGAATGTGCACCTTCATGCTCCCCTGGTTCACTTTTCTGATCCAGGGTCTGTGTGGGGTCCCAGGGAGAAGAGAGAGAGAGAATAAGGAGAGAGAGAGAGAATAAGGAGAGAGAGAGAGAGGAGAGGTGGGAAGGAGAGGGGAAGGGAGGGGAGGGGAGGACAGGAGAGGGATATATAGAGAGAGAGAGAGAAAAGGAGAGAGAGAGCCATCTGCCTACCTCCCTCAAAGTAGTCTGGGCAGCTAGCTAGCTAGGGATCATGGCCAGCAGAGGCCATGTTGTCCTAAGGGAGAGAAAATCCCATTTCTTCCCTGTCACCTTCCTGGACTTGTCTGATGCACAGTGGTCTTTTCTGATTTTTGGATTCTTGGTAATGCCAAACTACACTATCAGACACTGTCTTGGGATTCTTTGCGGGGCTCTTTCAGGCATGTAAATCTATAAGTGACTTTCAGGAATCCATAAGCCTTGTCTGCTCAATGACTGCATCATTAGCTATCTGCAATAAGGGACTGATATGGGTTGAATTGTGTCCATGTCCACCTCCCTCCATTCATACCTTGAAGTCCTAATTCTCAGTACCTCAGAATGAAACCTTATTTGGAAATGGGGTTGTTGTGGATGCAACTAGTTAATTCAAAATGAGGTCATACTGGAATAGGGTGGGCTTCCAATTCATTATGACTGATGTTCTTTTTTTTCTTTTTTAAAAAAAAAGCCAGGTAAAGAAGCAGAAATGCATACAGGGAGACTGCCCAGGGCACTGGATCTACAGGCCAAGGAGTGGGAACCTGGCAGACGTTTCCCTTGCAGCCTTCAGAGGAGCCAATACTGATGACACCTTGATCTTAGACTTCCGGTCTCCAGAACCCTGAGACGATAATTTTGATTGTTGAAGCCACCCAGTTGGTGGTGCTTGGTTTCAGCAGCTCTAGCAAATTAACACAGGCACTTTTCTTCAGGTTTCCTCATCATACTTACCACACCTAGCAGGGTTGGGCCAACTATTTTGCCTACAGTAAAATCTCTACTTGTAAAGATTTTTATTTATTTATTTATTTATTTATTGAGATTGAGTCTCGCTCTCTTGCCCAGGCTGGAGTGCCGTGGTGCGATCTCTGCTCACTGCAAGCTCCGCCTCCTGTGGGTTCAAGCAATTCTCCTGCCTCAGCCTCCCAAGTAGCTGGGATTATAGGTGCTCACTACCACACCCGGCTACTTTTTGTGTTTTTAGTAGAGATGGGGTTTCACCATGTTGGCCAGGCTGGTCTTGAATTCCTGACCTCAAGTGATCTGCCCACCTTGGCCTCCTAAAGTGCTGGGATTACAGGTGTGAGCGACCACGTCCAGCCTGTAAATATTTTTTAAAGCTACATTTTTGCTAGGTGCTTAATATGCATTATTTTATTTGATCTTCACAAGGATGTCATCAGGTAGATACAATTTAGTATCTCTATTTTACAGATAAGGAAACCAAAGCATGAAAAGATTAAGTAACCTGTGCAGGGTTGTACATCAAGTAGGTGGGAGAGCCAGGATTTAGAACTATAGGCTGTCTGATTCTGGAGCTTATTCCCTAAATGATTACTTCACTTATAGCTTCTCCTGAACCAGGGATGGCTTGTTATTTCAGAAGAGAATTTGAAGAAAAAGAGGGAGGATACATAATTGATTGTACCTGGGTAGAAAAGAAAGGTGTGGGGCCGGGCGCAGTGGCTCACACCTGTAATCCCAGCACTTTGGGAGGCTGAGGCAGTTGGATCACAAGGTCAAGAGATCGAGACCATCCTGGCTAACATGGTGAAACCCTGTCTCTACTAAAAATACAAAAATTAGCTGGGCTTGGTGGCGGGTGCCTGTAGTCTCAGCTACTCAGGAGGCTGAGGCAGGATAATCACTTGAACCCAGAAGGCGGAGGTTGCAGTGAGCCAAGATTGCTCCACTGCACTCCAGCCTGGCATCAGAGTAAGACTCTGTCTCAAAAAGAAAAGAAAAGAAAGGTGTGTGTTTGTGTTTTCTGAATTAAACAAGAAAGATATGTTGGGAAAGGCACACCAGGCTCTAGAGAAAATTAGAAACTTTTTGCTGCTAAGAAAGGGCATTTCTTGGCTGGGCACGGTGGCTCACGCCTGTAATCCCAGCACTTTGGGAGGTCGAGGTGGGCGGATCACAAGGTCAGGAGTTCGAGACCAGCCTGACCAACGTGATAAAACCCCATCTCTACTAAAAATACAAAAATTAGCTGGGGATGGTAGCGGGTGCCTGTAGTCCCAGCTACTTGGGAGGCTGAGGCGGGAGAATCGCTTGAACCTGGGAGGTGGAGGTTGCAGTGAGCCAAGATCGTGCCATTGCACTCCAGCCTGGGGGACAAGAGCCAGACTCTGTCTCAAAAAAAAAAAAAAAAAAAAAAAGAAAGGGCGTTTATTGAAAATAAACCCTTCCTTTATACTTAGAGATTCTGTTGTAGTAGGCTGAAGTGGAGCCTGAGAATTTGGGTTTAAAAAGCTTCCTGGTGGCCAGGTGCTATGGCTTATGCCTGTAATCCCAGCACTTTGGGAGGCTGAGGCAGGTGGATCACCTGAGGTCAGGAGTTTGAGACCAACCTGGACAACATGGTGAAACTCCATCTCTACTAAAAATACAAAAATTAGCTAGGCATGGTGGCATGCACCTGTAATCCCAGCTACTCAGGAGGCTGTGACAGGAGAATCGCTTGAACCCGGGAGGCAGAGGTTGCAGTGAGCCAAGATGGCACCATTGCACTCTAGCCTAGGTGACAAGCACAAAACAACTCCGTCTCAAAAAAATAAAGTTTTCTGGCGATCTTGATTATCAGGCAATTTGATCCTTTTCTTATATGTGAATTCCTCTACCACAGAATTTATTTTTCTTTTTTTTTTTTTTTTTTTTTTTTACCATTTAGATCCTTCCTGAACTTCCAGTGATAGAAATCTCATTAACTCTTTCCATTAAGTCTCTGGTTTTGTCTCAGTCCTAGAACTGTGGCAATTTGACGCCTTGAAACTGTCGTGCCTAGAAAATGCTACGAGTGTCTTCTGACTAAACCTCGTGAATCAAACATACATGTTACCACTGCCTCCTCCTAAAACCCCACTAGGATGACAATAAGACATATTTTTATAAGGCCAAAGAGAACAGGAGAGGAGACAAGGGAGCCCAATATTGAAGACTGGAAAGCAGTTGCAAGATAGAAGACACCAGTTCATGGGGAGGATGGGGAGAGGAGGCAGGGACAGGCAGGCTGTTTTCACCACAGAACCAGGAATTGGAGACACCAGGTACTTCTGAAAACAAGAGTGCAGGAGAGGCTGAAAACAGGGATCTTGTTGGAAAAATCTGTGTGAGAAGCAGCCCGCAGATCCTTTCTGTAATGTGAGGCAGTCAAGCGGCTCCTCTTTCCCTCCCCTAACAGAGGCTTGACGGTTACTCCCTGGAGAGATTAAACCAGATTAAACTCTGCTCTTGGGTCCATTGAGGCAGGGGAGCCGTGCTGGGACAGGGGGAGCAGCTGAGTGAACTCTGAATGGTGAGACCCACAGCCGAGTTCCTAGAGGGTTGGCAGCCTGGCTTAATTCCAACTGCACCCCGCCCCTCCCCACAAATTAAGGTTTGAATGACTCTTCTAGGAGGAAACTGATGAGCCCAGGAGAAAGGACTACAGAGTCAATATTTCACATACTAATGAAATAGACCAAAGGGATCACCTTAAACCGAAGTCTGCCTGTTTATGTGCCTCACCCTTAGGCACAAAGCTTCCAATTAGATAAAAGGGAGCAACCAAAGATTGCCAGATTCAGAGAATGCCTGAAACATGAAAGTAAGTGACCAAAATAAATGGGTTAGGGGTGGTGGGGATAGAGGCAAGAGGGAGTAGAATGAAGGGGTTCTGCACCACTCCACTCAGCCGTGAAGCTGGCCTTACAGAGAGTTTGCTTTACCTTGTGGGGCCAGAGAGATTTCATTTTGTCCTGGCCAGGCCCGTCCTGCTTATGGTGAAGCAGTGAGTCCCAGCAGGAGCTGTCCACGTAGGCTGCCTGCCGGATGCTGAAGTTACTGGGAGAGAAGCAGCTGATCGGAGACCCTGCAACAGGAACACAGCTTTGAGGCCGCCTGAGTTGGAGTGGAGGAGTGGGGACTCAGGGGCAATCATCTAACTCTTCCCCAGTTTCTGTTTCTGGCAGGGACTGTCTTCTTCCCACACCTTAGTCTTCTGGGTTGAGCACTGCCATGTCACGGTAGGACAGGGCACTCCTGGACGCATCCCACTGTATGGCCAGGGCTTGCCAGTGCTGACTCAGCCTTTTGGGTCTGGTGGTTCTTTGCTCTCAGAGCACCCCCTGGGCTTTTTGTGCTCCTGTAGTCTGGTACCAGAAGGCTTGCGGTTTGATGGTGATGTCTCTTTCCTGAAATAACTGACATCCTTTAGACTCTAAAATGTTGAGGATGAATTGCCTGGGCTTCCGAGCCTAAATGAAGAGAAAGGGTGGGCAAATTATGCCGAAAGGAAAGTGGACTTGGAGGAGAGTTCCTGCCTTTTTGTTTTCACATCATTCTCCAGAAAGAGGAAGAAGTGGGAGCCATTTCTTCTGCCCTGGTTGTGGATGAATAAAGAGGCGGTGGGAGGCTGGCACACCTGTTTGGGAAATGTAGTAAGCTAATGGCACTGCCAGAAAGGAAAGCCAGAAGTCTCAGTTCTCAGGAAGTCCACATTCTCTTTAACAAAGGTAGTGGATTTGCTGACTGAATCTAGCACCTGAAACCCTAGATGTATGTGTATGCTAATGTCTGTGTGTGCGGCTGGGGTTTGTAGACAGGAAGCAGTGGGTTTATGCAGCATCTCCAATGTGCATGGCCCTCAGGCACTTAACACATGTTCTCAAGTCAATAACCCTGGAGTTGGCGGGTTAGGGGTGGGAAGAGGGCCCAGAGCAAATAAGAGACTTGGCGACAGCCCAGCTAAGATGAAGAGGTCTAAGGCCCTAAAAACATTACCAGGAGTGTCAACTTCTTTCATCCATAATGAAAGCCAAAATAAAGCTTTCATCATTTGAAATGACATAAAATATATGAATACTAAAATTACAACAATTTTTTTTTTTTTTTTTTTTTTTACTGTAACATTTTGGAGATGACTTTCAAAATTTTTTGGTGCCTCTGCTTTGCTGGTGCCCTGAACTCATGCACCATCTGCCTTTTGGATAATCCAGCCCAGCCCGAAGCCATGGAATCCCGTCACTGTGCGCACCATCTCACTTCAGAGCCCATGCAGAGAGTGACATGAGGGGGAGTCTCTCTTGCGCACTGGGTCTTGGAAGCAACTTACCAGAGGAGAACTCCTGGGCGAATGCCAGGGACATCAGCAACAAGGGGGAGCCCACAGCTACGAACTTGACTATCCGGTCCAGGGGCAGTTCCAGACGCAGTCCTTTGAGGCGGGGTCCCCTGCGGTCAGGCAGCAGGGCATCTGAGAGCATGTACTCTGCAGCTGTGTGTGCAAGTGACATGATGCTGCTGAGCTTGGGGGTGCAGAGGTGGCAGCAGGGGTCCTGGGATGGTGGAATGAGGAGACGGCAGCTTCAGGCAGCTGACTTTGGGCAGACAGTGCCTGCCACCCCAGCCTTATGGATATCTCTGCTGGGAGCAGGCGATGGTTCTCTAAATAACTGCCCAGGCCCTGAGCCAGGCCCTGCTAATTAGAGGGAGGCATAGCCTTAGCGGGTCCTTGCTGGAGGAGGGTCGGGCCTTACCTGGGCCTGGTGCCACGCTGCTGTCTGGATTGTCCTAGAGCAGATGGAGGTCTGTGGCTTTATGCTGCCCTGTCATTGATAAAGTATTTTCAGTGGAGAGAAGGAGGGCTGTGGAGCCAGGACCCCCCTCCATGTAATTTGTGTGGAATTTGGGTGAGGATTGCTTAAATGTTTTGAAGGCACTCATTTTGTGGTTTGGAGTGGGAATGGAGTCCCCACGACCCAGCTGGGATTGCTACCCTACATAGTAGTCTTTGTCCCAGTGATGATTTTTGCTCTGGGCCCAGACTCTTTCCCAGAACTTTTCTGTATTTGGTGTTAGATTTCCTTCCCTGACTATGGTCTTTTTTCCAAAATGTTTCAACTACATATTTACAATTTCCAATTCCTTTTTAGCCCTTGGGTTCTTTACAAAGCTGGGGGATGCATGGCAGTGTTGAGTCATGGAAAGAGTACAACCTTTGAAATTCGGAGGAGAAACTCCTCCACTGGAGACCTAGGAGTACTCAGGTTTTAACTGTGTGACTTCAGGCAAGTCACTTTTAGCTCAGTTTCCCCATCTCTCAAATTGTGATATGTAACAAGCTTACAAGACTGTGGGGATTGATTAAGAGTATTGTTTGTGAAGGTGCTTTGTAAACCGTAAAGTGTAGCAGAAGTGTCAGCTCTTATTTCAATTTGGTGGGGGTGGGTAAGTGGAGAATAGGGCACTCTTGTCTCTAGTGTTGCCCTTAAACTGGCAATAGAGGCTCTTAACCTTATCCTCTTTGGTTGTGTCCTTCTCATGAGGCAAGGAGTACGTGGGCCCAAGGGGATGTGTCCATTCAGAGTCTGTGCACCCAGCTAGAAACCACTCTCTAAGGCCCTGCCCAAATGGCCTCAGCCTGCTTCCCAGACCTGTGTGGGCCTTTTTTTCAGGGGCAACTGCCCAAGGGAAGATTGTGCTGCTGGTGTGCACTTCTAGGCCCAAGGAATGGCTGGTTGTCAGGGTTTGGATGCAATTTATAAATCTTGGGGTGTCCACACATGCAATTCTGAGGTTTTTTGCAATGTGGGTGTTAGCTGAGTTGGGAAGAGAAGATTGGGCCAGGGGCTTGGGAGAGTCTGAGGATTCTAAATTTGAATCTGGCATTCCTGATCATTATGAAGCTGGGGTGTGTTTGTCTATATATGTCTAGGTGAGCAAGAATAACATATTTTATTTAACAGTTTGTTAACTTGGTTTATAACTTTTAATATTTTAGATATATGGTATGTGGATCTGTATTTGAACTTTTTTCTCCTAGGCCACAAATGTTTGGGCTGGGCTTACCTCTCTCCCCATCCCACAGGCTAGAGGCCAACTTGGATTCAGAGCTGCCCCGCGTGGGCTAACTGGCGTGTATGGGTCATGGGGCAGCAGAAGGGACCCTTTATTTCTATTCCCCATTACCCTCCCCACACCACATTTCTGTATCTTTTAATTAGGCATGTTTTTGCCAAATGTTTATTATTAGTTTGTATGCATGCATATCCTTTTACTTTTTAAAAATACATTTTTATTGAGAAATAATGTACACACCTTAGTATTGTGTACGGTGCACACAACTTGGGTGACGGGTACACTAAAATCTCAGACCTCACCACTATGCAGTTTATCCGTGTAACCAAAAACGATTTGTACCCCAAAAGCGATTGAAATAAAAAATTAAAAAGACCAAAAAACGAGAGAAAAATTCACATACCATAAGGATGCAGTTTAATAAATACTCGTCTGATCAAGAAACAGAACATTACGAGCACCCCAGAAACCACCTCTGTGCTCCTCTCTTCCAGCTTTTCCAAACGGTAAGCATTATATAAACTTCTAATTGATTAGTTTTGCTTTTTTATACATTATGAAAATGGAATCTTGTGTATTTACTCTTTTGTGTCTGGCTTCTTTTGCTCCACATCATATTTATGAGAATCATCCATTTCATTGCCTGTTTTTGTACTTTATGTAAATGGAATCATGTGCATGTGTTTATGTGTCTGGATTCTCTGCTCAACATATTTTTGAGATTCACCATGTTGCATGTACCAGAAATGCGTTTCCTCTGTGTAGATATATAACAATTTGTTTATCCATTCATAAGCTGACAGATATTTGAGTTTTCAGGTTCTGGATGTTATGAGATACTGTTGCTGTGAACATCCTAATATGTGTCTCCTGGTGAATATATGTATGCACTTATGTTGGGTACATATTGAGGGGTGGGATTGCTAGGTCATAATGCTATGCATATGTTTATCTCTATAGTTTTTCAAGAGGTTGTTTCAGTTTACACTTTCACCAACAGCTTATGAAAATCCTAGTTGCTGCACATCCTTGACATTACACTTTTGGAATTAAAATTTTTTTTAAGCCATTTTGGAAGGTGTATAGTAGTAATGCAATGTGGTTTTAACTTGAATATCTCTGTTGACTAATGAAGTTGGCTACTTCGGCCATTTGGATATCTTCTTTTGTGGATGGATGTGGGTGTACGTCTGAGTCTTTTGCCTGTTTTTCTGTTGGGTTGTCTGTCTTTTGCTTATTGATTTGTAGTACTCTTTCAAATATTCTGGATGTGAGACCATTGCTAGCAATATGTTTTATTTATATCTTCTTCCACTCCACTTGTTGCCTTTTCATTCTCTTAATGGTGTCTTTTGATGACCAGAATTTCTAATTTTAATACAGTCAATGTATCATTTTTTTCTATGGATAGTGCTATATGTATTCTGTTTAAGAAGCAATTGGTTATTAATTACAATACCATGAAAAATGTTTCCTAGGTGTTCTCCAAAATATTTTTGTTTTATCTTTCTCATTTGGGTCTGCAGTTCATCTATAATTTTTTTTAACATATGGTATGAGATATGAGTCAAGAAATATTATTTTCCATATGGCTATCCAGCTGACTCAGCACAATTTATTGTAAGACCTTTCCTTTCTCATTGCAGTGCAGTGTTGTCATGGTCATAAATCAGGTGACTGTGTTCCAGCTGACAATGTCTTTTTTTTTTTTTTTTTTTTTTTGCCAACACTACAATATCTTAGCTAGTATAGCTTTATAGTAGGTCTTGGCACCTGTAGTGTAGATCTTCCAGTTTTATTGTTCTTCAGGATTGCTCTGGCTATTTTGGATCTTTTGCATTTCTACATGAATTTTACCATCAGTTTTTGAATTTCAGCAGGAAAGAAACCTGCTGGAATTTTTGATTGTGACTTTAATTTACAGCTTAATTTGGGAAAAATTGCCTTCTTTACAGCATTTAGTCTTCAAATCTATGAACATGGCATATCCCTCCATTTGCTTAAGACTTCTTTCTGAGGCCGGGTGCAGTGGCTCACACCTGTAATCCCAGCACTTTGGGAGGCCAAGGTGGGTGAATCACCTGAGGTCAGGAGTTCGAGACCAGCCTGGCCAACATGATGACAACCCATTTCTAGTAAAAATACGAAAAATTAGCTGGACGTGGAGACAGGTACCTGTAATCCCAGCTACTCGGGAGGCTGAGGCAGAAGAATCACTTGAACCCGGGAGGTGGAGGTTGCATGAGCCGAGATCGTGCCACTGCACTCCAGCCTGGGCAACAAAAGTGAAACTCTGTCTCAAAGAAAAAAAAAAAAAAGACGTCTTTCTGTCCGTAGCAACTTTTGGTTTTAAGTGCAGATGTCTTACACATCTATTGTTGGATTTATTCCTAGGTGTTTGATGTTTCTTGATGCTATTGTTAACCATATATTTTTTAAAAAATTGATTTTCTAATTGTTTGTTGCTCACATATGAAAATACAACTGATTTTTGTACACTGATCTTGTATACGTCAATCTTATTGAATTCATTTATTGATTCTAATAGTTTGTAGATTAATTCAGATTTTTAAAAATCTATACAACCATATCATTTATGAAAAATCACAGCTTTCTTTCTTTCTTTCTTTCTTTCTTTCTTTCTTTCTTTCTTTCTATCGTTATGCCTTTTATTTATTTTCTTGCCTTATTACACTGGTTAGGCCATCCAGTATAATATTGAATATGAGTAGTGATAATGGGTATCTCTGTCTTGTTCCTTCTCTCAGGCGGAAAGTTTTCAGTGTTATTATTGAGCAGGATGTTCATTGTAGGTTTTTTTCCTTTTTTTTTATTGGTAGGAATTCTTTTTCACATTAAAGAAGTTCTCCTTTATTCCTAGCTTGCTAAGTGTGTTTGATATGAATGAATATTCAATTTTTAAAAATATTTTTTCTGCATACTTTGAGATGCTCATATGATTTTTATCTTTATGTGTATTATTTTGATGAGATATATTGATCAATTTTTGAATGTTAAATTACTCTTGCATCTGTGAAATAAATCTCACTTAGTTCAGATATATTACCTTTTAAATTTTTTACTGGTTTCAGTTTGCTAATATTTTGTTAAGGATTTTTACATTTCTATTTAAAAAGAAGAAAGAACTTGATTTAATTTTCCTTTTTTATCAGGTCTTTGGCAGGTTATGCTGGCCATGCCAAAAGAGTTAGGAAGTATTTCTTCTTTATCTGCCTCCTCTTGTAAGAGTTTGTGCAGTATTGGTATTATTTCTTCATTAAATATTTGGCAGAATTTACAGGTGAAACCACCTAGTCTTGGGATTTTCTTTGTGTGGAATTTTAGTAATGGATTCAATTTCCTTAGTCAATATTTGACTATTCAGATTTTCTTTTTTTTAACTTTTACTTTATTTTATTTTTTTTGATATGAAGTCTCACCCTGTTGCCCAGGATGGAGCACAGTGGCGCTATCTCGGCTCACTGCAACCTCTGCTTCCAGAGTTCAAGCGATTCTCCCACCTCAGCTTCTGGAGTAGCTGGGATTACAGGCGTGTGCCACCATGCCCAGCTAAGTTTTGTATTTTTAGTAGAGACAGGGTTTCACCATGTTGGCCAGGCTGGTCTCGAACTCCCAACCTCAGGTGATCCCCCCGCCTCAGCCTCCCAAAGTGCTGACATTACGGGCGTGAGCCACCGCGCCTGGCCTGACTAATCAGATTTTCTAGTTTCTCTTAACATAGCTTAAATGCACTAGCTTTCTATTGTTGCATAAAAAATTACCCCAAAATGTAGGGCTTAAAACAAAAAAAATTTATTATCTCAAATATTCTACAGATCAGAAATTTGGGAGGGGCTTAGCTAGGCTGTTCTGGCTCAGGGTCTAGTGAAGGTGTTGATTGGGGCTGCAGACATCTATACTCACTGAGCGGTTACTGGCTGGGAGTCTCAGTTTCTTGCGGAGTGTTGGCAGTAGGCCTCAGTTCCTTACTGCATAGGCCTCTCCTTAGGGTGACATGGGTGCTGGTTTTCCCAGAGCAGGTGATCCAAGAGAGAAAGCAAACAGGAAGCGACAGTGCCTTGCATGACCTAATCTCTGAAGTTGCAACTGCTATTTCTGCTTTTTACTATTCACTAGAAGGAAGTCATTAAGTCCCCATACCCACAGGGAAGGGAATTAAGCTACACAGTTTAAAGGAGTGTCAAAGAATTTGAGAACTATTTTAAACCATTATATTAATAAGTTAAAAATTTGAGAAAATTGTCCATTTTCCATTCAAACTGTCAAATTTGTTGGCATACTAGTAATCATAATATCCTCTTATATCAAATTGTATTATGTAATTTTATATATATAGCAAGGTTGAAAGAATTTTATAGTGAATGCTGGCAATCCTTAATTCTATCATTAGCACTTCACGTGGTTTGCTTTGTTATTCATCTATCCAGCCTCCGTGCACCCATTAATTAATCTTTTTTTGGATGCATTTCAAAGTAAGTTGCAGACATTGATATTCTCTTCCCTAAACATTTCAGCATGCACATCAACTATACCTCAATGTTGATTTACAGGTTTTTTGTTTTTTTTTTGGAGACGGAGTTTCGCTCTTATTGCCCAGGCTGGAGTGCAGTGGCACAAGGACTCGGCTCACTGCAAGCTCCACCTCCCGGGTTCAAGCGATTCTCCTGCCTCAGCCTCCTGAGTAGCTGGGATTACAGGTGCCCACCACTTCGCCCAGCTAATTTTTGTATTTGTAGTAGAGATGGGGTTTCACCATGTTGGTCGGGGTGGTCTTGAACTCCTGACCTCAGGTAATTCACCCACCTTGGCCTCCCAAGGTGCTGGGATTACAGGCATGAGACACCACAACTGGCCTATTTACAGTTTTTTTAGAGGTAAAATTTACATACAATGAAATGAACAAAGTTGAGGTGTGCATACATGGAGTTTGACAAATGCATACACCTGTGTAATCCACACCCCATTACAATTAGAACATTATCATCACTCCAGAAAATTCTGCTTGATTATTTTTTAAAGATCCTAGTTTTCTGGCAGAAATATCCATAACTTTCTTTTTTTTTTTTTGAGACTGAGTCTCACTCTGTTGCCCAGGCTGGAGTACAGTGGCGCAATCTCGGCTCACTGCAACCTCCGCCTCCCAGGTTCAAGCGATTCTCCTGCCTCAGCCTCCCGAGTAGCTGGGATTACAGGCACCTGCCACTAAGCCCAGCTAATGTTTTGTATTTTTAGTAGAGATAGGGTTTCACCATGTTGGCCAGGCTGGTCTCGGACTCCTGACCTCCTGATTCACCTGCCTCCGCCTCCCAAAGTGCTGGAATTACAGGCATGAGCCACCGCGCCCAGCCCATAACTTTCATCTAATTCACCCATCTTATATTTTCTTGATCTTGCTAATCGGAGTTATTTTAAAATTCTTATTGCTAACTCCAGAATCTGGGTAGTCTATGGATCTGCTTTTACTGTCTACTTTTTCTCTTCTTTATTGGTCATGTGGTCTCATCTCCTTGTATATCTAGTAGTTTCACATTGTATGCTGAAGACTGTGTATACAAAACCATAAGAACCATAGATGTTCTAGATGATGCTATCATTCACTAAAGATGGCTCACCCTTCTACTAGGTAAATAGGGTGAGAAGCTGATTACAATTCTACCAGGAACTGAGCATGGTTAGGCCTGTGTTGGAATTTTAGTAAGGTTCTGTCTACAGTTAGTTTTCCCTGTTCCTAAGCTTGACCTTTCCAGGTTTTTGACTGAGAACCTGTTGGGTCTTTTCTCTTAAGCTATGAAAGATTGAGAAGTTCTATTATCCTCTTTAGAGGATTTCCATTTAGCACTTTAGCCTCCTACTGCTTCAAAATCTGGCAAATGTTAGACACTGGCTCAGTGAGTTTGGATCAGTGAGTTCAGTGCAGACCCCGTCCCTCTGGAGGGTCTTCGTTTTCTAAGCATCACAGAGTGTAGCAGTTTTCACTTTGTATTTTAGAAACTTCTGTTCTGGTCTTCAGTTCACATGACTCTAGCGCTCAGTCTATGTCCTCTGGGGACAACTGGCCATGTGTGTGAAGTCCCTCAAGTTTCTAATTGTCACTCCATCTGGTAAGAATCATTAAAAGCTTTGATGGTTTATTTTTTTCTCAACAGAGGCCCTGTGCTTGGACCAAGTCTCCTAGAAACAGAAATAACTTGTTATCTTACTGCAAAATAGTTCTGTTTCCTCTGGAATTTCAATTCCTCTCATTCTCATTTCTTTCATAGCTTCCAGATATCCATAAAACATACTTTTTGTTATTGATACAGCTTTTTCTATTTGTTGCTGCAGGAGCATTCACCTGCCATGCTATGACATGACATATTGCACCTTACTTGAAAGTCTGTGCTTTGTAATTTTAATATACATAAGTGATATTCCATGTTATATTTCATTCTGTTTCTTATTTTTAAAAACACTCAGGCTGGGCGCAGCGGCTCACATCTGTAATCCCAGCACTTTGGGAGGCCGAGGCGGGCAGATCACGAGGTCAGGAGATGGAGACCATCCTGGCTAACATGGTGAAACCTCGTCTCTACTAAAAATACAAAAAAATTAGCCAGGCATGGTGGCGGGCACCTGTAATCCCAGCTACTCTGGAGGCTAAGGCAGGAGAATGGTGTGAACCCAGGAGGTGGAGCTTGCAGTGAGCCGAGATCACGCCACTGTGCTCAGCCTGGGAGACAGAGCAAGACTCCGTCTCAAAAAAATAAAATAAAATAAAATAAAATAAATAAAAAAACACTCAGCACTTTAAAGTCAATCCATGTTGTTATGTCCACAGCAAATCTGTTTCTACTGCTGCAAAATACTTTACCTACTCACTTGCCTATTGATGGAGACTCATTTTACTTCCACAAATAACATACATTTCCCCTCATGGTCCTAAAGGAAAATTCAGTTGGGATACACGTCCAGGTCTAGAATTTCTAGGTCCTCTGGGGCTACTGCTGTAAAATGATATCTTGTTACTTTAATTGTCTTTTCTCCTGATGACTAATGACTTTGAGCTCTTCATATGTGCACTATTTCTGAGTAACAAATTACTTTAAAAATTAGCATCTTAAGGCTGGGTGCGGTGGCTCATGCCTATAATCCCAGCACTTTGGGAGGCTGAGGTGGGTGGATCATGAGGTCAGGAATTCAAGACCAGCCTGGCCAAGATGGTGAAACCCCATCTCTACTAAAAATACAAAAAATTAGCCGGGCATGGTGGTGGGCACCTGTAATCCCAGCTACTTGGGAGGCTGAGGCAGAGAATTGCTTGAACCCAGGAGGTGGAAGTTGCAGTGAGCCAAGATCGTGCCACTGCACTCCAGCCTGGGTGACAGAGTGAGACTCCATCTAAAAAAAAAAAAATTAGCATCTTAAAACAACAAACATTTATTATTTCCCAGGTTCTGCAGGTCAGGCATTTGGTAGCATCTTAGCTGGGTTGCTGTGACTCAGAGTTGCTCAAAGGTTGCAGTCAAGAGCTTGGCTTTGGTCATCTGATGTCTCAGTTGGGATTGGAAGAGTCACATCCTGGATGGCTCACTCATGTGGCTTTTGGCAGAAGGCCTCAGTGTGGCAGGAGGCCTCAGTGCTTCGCCACATGGCCCTTTCCATAGGGCTGATTGAATGTTCTCACTACATGGCACCTGCCTTTCTCTGGAGCAAGCAATCCAAGAGAGGACAAGGCAACAGCATGAATGCGTCAGACCTACGGGAAAAACCCAGAGCTTGCCCTTTGTAAAGCTGATGTGGAGGATGCTGGAGAGAAAAGGAGTAGGAAACAACTGTTAATCTAGTGACTACAATATTGCATCAAGTAAAAAAGAAAATTGTCCTATCAATATCATAGATGCTAGTGCATGAGAGAAGTATGACTGATGAATAACTCACACTAGTACTATTTTAATACAAGGCAAAATATCTATTGTTGTACCAGTCAACTCCATATAAATACTACAACTACCAGCAGGGAGCTGACTTGATGAAATGTGATGACAGCAGTTGCTGGTCCGCATGTTACGCTTGGCCATGACAATATAAACACGAAGCACTACAAAGCTGTGACATGCCGTCCTCATAGGAGATGATGGTCTTCTCTAACACAAACTTCACCAGTATTTTAGGGGTACTAATAGAGCAATTGCAGTGATCCATAAATGATAAATTTCTGATGACGTAGTACATGGGAGGGTGAAGCTGAGAATTAAGGAAAACTAGAGTGATCAAGATGAGGGCCCCCACTACGGTTTTCAAACAGATCCCTAGAAGAGGGGGAGCTGGAGCCCTTGCTGGCTTTTTCCTGAGAATGAACTCTGTCACCGTAGAGTGACTTTCTGCTGCCATTTTCCTGGTGGAGCTAGGTATGAGCATCTCCCCTGACTGAGCTGTTTCCTGCATTTTACTCATGCCATTACTACTAATGTTCTCTAGGAATCAGACCAGCCAGAGAATGTTCCAGAGATCGAATTAGTTGGAATAAATGAGCTAGACCTGGAGTTTTCACTGTGTATAAGCTTTTCACATATTTAAAGATGAAAATTTTTATGTTTTACTTCTTGGGTTTGGATGCTTACTTTGCTTCTGAAATTTAATCTCCCTTTTTGTATAGGCAATCCCAAAATATTCACTAGGCTTTGATAATATAAAACTAACATTATTCCAAATCTAGAGAGTACAGTGTAGTGTGGTTATAGTTAAACTACTTACCGAGTGACAAGTCATTTCCTTATCCATAAAATGAAGAGTAACAACGTCAACTCCCAAGGCATGTTGTAAGCATAAAGGGAGATAATGTGTATGCAAATGATTTTCCAAATGCTTAGTTGCTATAGAAATGTAAGTTGCCCTCAAGCATCTGTAAATCATCCTTAGTTTTCCCCTGGACTTGAAGCTCTATGATCTAACACAGCGGGTGTCCTTCCACTTTGGGGGAGGTTAGTTAGCAGCGAAATCAGAGGGAAGTCGATGGGGTGAAAATGTCATCTGGTGGTTCCTGAGAAATCATTTCAAAAAGGAGTACAATCTGCACCCTGACAGGCCATGCATATCAGTATTAATGGAGCTCAACAAGTTGAATTTTAATACACACAGATGTAAAAGTCTGAAGACCATGAAGAAACATTGGTGTAGGTGTCTGCATGTGTCATGTCTGTGGTATTGGCACAATGTTACCAAAGAATAAAGAAAAGAAGAATTGTACACACCCACCAAAGCATGCATGTTATCACAGTTACATATTTGTGAAAAATTACATATATGTTTGTGGGTATATGTATTGAAAATGAAAGAAAATATGAAAAGAAATAGGATATGCCACTTTGTGTATTTATGCCAATAAGTAGGTTTGCTTCGCATATGAAATTGAATCCAATAAATTTGTACTTGGGCTTAAGCCATGTGGGTGTGGAAAAGCCAACATCTATGACTCTAGGCAGGAGGTTGTGTTCTGCTACAGAAGGAATAGTTAATGTCAACTGAGAATTTCGTTGTTTATTTGGGCAAACTAGACTTGGAATGTAGTTTATCCTGAGAAAAATAAAGGAACTAAGAAAAATAGAAAAGATCTATTGCCTCCTTCTATGCTCAGAGGAGCTCAGGAAAGTTCAGGTTAGGTCAGGTTTAGAAGTAGGTGGAACTAGAAATAGAATATAACATGCTCAAAAATCAAAAGCAAAGTAATCTGAATGGAGAACTGGATTCTCTTCCACTGTGTGCCCTTTACATTGAGGTCCCAAAAAGTCTTTGTGTCCTTGACTTCCTCTTCCCATGTCACATTTTACCCCTGAAAAATCTCAACCGCTCCTATTGCTTCACCATTTTTCTATTTTTTAGCTTTGATTCCCAAATCAGTGTTTATTGGTTTTCCACTTTTAGGGTCAACCTATGGTCAGGGCAGAAAGGTTTGTAGCTGATGATAATTGTATGTTGCTGCCCAAGAGGCCTGCTAGAGGAATCTTGGGACATTTATGACAAAAAAGGCAGGTTAACATTTGGTCTTTAAAAAACAATTGCTTTTAAAACTATACAACTCTTAGAAGAAAACGCAGGGATAAGTTTTCATGACCTTGGATTTGGCAGTGGATTCTTAGACACAACACCAAAAGCAGGAGCAACAAAATTAAAAATAGATAAATTAGGCTTTATCAAAGTTGAGTGCTTTTTTGTGCATTCAAAGAACACTATCAAGAAAGTGAAAAGGCAATCTATAAAATGGGAGAAAATATTTGGAAGTTATATATCTGATAAGAGTCTAGGATCCAGAATATATAAATAACTCTTAAAATTCAACAACAAAAGACAAACAATTCGATTACATGGGGAAAGGACTTGACCAAACATTTCCCCAAAGAAAATATATAAATGGCCAACAAGCACATGGAAAGGTGCTCAACATCATTAGCCATCAAGGATCACAAATTAAACCTACAATGAGATGACACTTTACATCCAGTAGGATAACTATAATAAAAAGGTGGACAATTGTTGCTGAGGATGTGGAGAAATTGGAATGCATTATATAATGGCACAGCCACTGTGGAAAATATTGGCAGTCACTCAACAAGTTAAACATGTGACCCAGTGAGTCCATTCCTAAGTATATACCCAAGAGTATTAAAACATAAGTTTACACAAGAGCACAAATATTCGTAGTAGCATTATTCATAATAGTCACAGAGTGCAAGCAGTCCAAATATACATTAACTGATGAATGAATCAACAAAATATGGTATATCCATGCAATGGAATATTATTCAACCATAAAAAGTAATGAAGTACTGATACATACTACAACACAGAAAACATTATGTTAAGTGAAATAAGCCAGTTGCAAAAGGCTGTATATATATATATATATATATATATATATATATATACACACATACATATATATACATGCATGTGTATATATGTATATATATGCAAAAGGATGTATACATGTATACACATATATACATCCTTTTGCATATATATACATATATACACATGCATGTATATATGCGTGTATACATATACACATATATGTACATGTATATATGTATATATGTGTATATATACGTATATGTGTATATATACATATATGTGTATATGTGTATATATGTGTGTATATATACGTATATGTGTATATATGTATACATATGTATATACATATATATACAGCCTTTTGCATATATACACATATATATACTTTGGATCGTTTCATGTAAGTGGAATCATATATACATATACACACACATATATACACATATATACATATATACACAAATATACATGTATACACATATATACATATATATGGAATCATACATATATATGGAATCATATACATATATATCATATACATATATGTGTATATGATTCCACTTACATGAAATGATCCAAATAGGCAAATTTATAGAGATAGAAAGTAGATTAGTGTTTGTCAGAAGCTGGGGGAAGAGAGGAAGTGGGAGTGATTGCTAATGGGCACAGGGCACAGGGTTTCTTTTTGGGATGGTGAAAATGTTCTGAATTAGATGGTGGTAAAAGTCACACAACCTTATAAATATACTAAAAAGTACTGAATTGTACACGTTAAAATGATGAGTTTCATAGTATGTGAATTATGTCTCAATTTTTAAAAAAGCAATTGCTATCACTGTATCACTGGATTTTACACCCTCTTCTGACACACACACAAACACACTTATTTATTTATTTGCTATTCAGAAAAAAAGCTGTAGAAGGAATGCATAACTTGTAAGAGCAAATAGGACCTTTCTTTTGAGAAAGTTGTTCACTGTAAGTGATCGGATTATTCCTACGGAGAAGTGATTCTCAACAGGGGGTGATTTTGCCCCTAAGGGACTATTGGCAATGTCTGGAGACATTTTTATCTGGGGGTGGCAGCATGTTACTGGCATCTAGGGGCCAGACATGCTGTTAAATATCTTTCAGTGCACAAGACAGCCATTCAAAACAAAGAATTCTTGGCTCTCAAATGTTAATAGTGCCAAGGTTGAGATTTTAAGGTAGTCCCCATGATCCCTGCTTTCTGGTAGTCACACCTTAGTGTCATCCCCTCCTCTTGAGTGTGGGTGGGCTTGTGACTTGAGGTTCATGCCAATAGAATGCAAAGGTGATGGTATGCATGTGATTCTGGGTGTATGATTGTGTAAGAGTGTTAGTTCCCATCTTTCTGGAGTCTGTCTCTGTTGCTGGCTTTGAAGAAGCAAGCTTCTGTGATTCTTACAGCCACAAGAAACAGAATGCTGCCAACAACATGAGTGGGATTGGAAGAAGATCCTTCCCTAGTCAAGCCTCTAGTTGAGAACCAGTCCTGGCAACCCCTTGGCTGCAGCCTGGTGAGACCCTAAACAGAAGACCCGGCAAAGCTGTGCTTGAATCCCTGACCCACAGGAGTTGTGAGATAATGAATGTCTGTTGTTTCAAGCTCCTAAATTTGTGTAATTTGTTACCCCAAAGTGGATAACTCATAAAGAGTCCTAGACAAGATGGGTGGTTGGGTGATTGGACAAAATGACTCTATATCTCTCCAATCCTCTGATTTTGTGATGTTAAGATATGGATGAGGAAAGAAAGGTTCAATGTGGGCGAAAAAGCTATTTTCTCTCAAGTCTGAAGGATTATATAACACAACAATTCAGAGTAGTTAAAGGTAGTGAGGGAAGTAACCTAGTTACAAGGTATTAGTATTTCTGGGAATCTTTCTTAATATTTATATTGAAAAGCATCCTTTGATATGTGCACATAATAGGAACAGAATGATATGAAAAATAAGCAGTCTATATAAAGAGGACATTTTTTGAAAATAAAAATATGCAAAGTTCTAATTCCAATAGAAAGCCTACAAAGTGAAGTTGATAAAAGTCTCCTAGGGAAATGAACAAACTTTTAAAAAATGGAAACTAGGAGGGGAGGTCCAACCTGTCAATAATAAGGATTCCAGAAAGAGAAAGGAACAGAAATAGTGAATGGGAAGAAAATAATAATTAAGAAAATTTCCTAGGGGTGAAAGTTTTTCTCCCCCAGAGTTAGAACTCACTGAATATACTGTATAATAAGTAAGAAAAAGAGATACATACATCATCGTGAAATTTTAGAACACTTTGGAGAAGAGAATATATTGAAAGCTTCCAGGGAGAGAGAAAAATATTACTTACAAATAGAGATTCCAGATCAAATACAGGGTACCCAATTAAATTCGTTGTTTAAATAAACATGAATACATTTTTAGTATATCCCAAATATTGCCTGGGACATATTTATACTAACAATATTTTGTTACCTGAAAGTAAAATTTAACTGAGGGTTATGTATTTTTATTTGTTAGATATGACAGCCCTGCACATAAGAGAAATGAGAATGGAATTAAAAATCTGGATGGCAATAGTGATTACTATAATAAAAGACAACAGAGGAATCCTTTTATTATTCCATGGCAAAAATTATTCTTAATGTTTTCAAGTATAAGGGTTAGAACTAAAGATACGTTCAAAAATAAGAACTCAAAAAATTATCCCTACCTTCCTTCTCTGCATCCTCCTCCTCCTCCTTTCTTTCTTTAAGGGAACTTTTGAATAAAGTGTTCTAGCAGAACAAAGGTCTGACTGTAATCCAAGACATGGAATCCAGAAAAGAGCAGGTCCAACCCAAGAGTGCAGCAGAAGGAAGTTCCAGGATGACAGCCACGCTTCAAGCCTGGAGAGCAATCCAGGTGGGAATAGGAGAAGGGAGTCCTCCAGGAGAAAACGAAATCTATTTACTGTCCCATATGTTTGTGCTTTTGGGAAATAATATTGTTGGGTGCTTGGCAGTTATAATGGAGTATGTGGAAATATTAAGAAGAGGCACATAGAAAGCAATGAGGACAGTGTTTACTCTGGGAAAAAGAAAATAGAACAAGTAAAAAAAAAACCCCAAGTACAGTAGACATTTAGTGTTGAGAAATGAATATTGTGATTTATCTATATTGGGAAGATAGGAGAGAAAGATTAGGGATGGGGAACATAAGAGAACTAAATTCCAATCAAATCTAATTGGTAGCAATTCCCTTAGCAAAAAATTATTGAAGGCCAGGTGCAGTGGCTCATGCCTGTAATCCCAGCAGTTTGGGAGGCTGAGGCCAGCAGATCACTTGAGGTCAGGAGTTCGAGACCAGCCTGGGCAATGCGGTGAAACCCCATGTCTATTAAAAATCCAAAATTAGCTGGGCGTGGTGGCAGGAGCCTGTAATCCCAGCTTCTCGGGAGGCTGAGGCGGGAGGACTGCTTGAATCTGGGAGGTGAAGGTTGCAGTGAGCCGAGATTGCACAACTGCACTCCAGCCTGGGTGACAGAGGGAGACTCCATCAAAATAAAATAAAATATAAAATAAAATAAAATAAAATAAAATAGATAAGATAAAATAAAATAAAATAAAATACTGAATAACTATTATGAGTTAGCTACTATTCTGGGCCCTGGATCAATCAATCATGTCTAAACTAGATGAATCAGCAAATAGCACTGTAGGCATATTATTTAGAAACCCTGCTTCTGATCTTTTCTGTGTGAGCCTGAGAAAGGTACTTGACCACTTGAAACCCAAGCTTTCTTAAGCTACAGATTTTGAATTATTACAAGTGGCTTCCTCATAGGATTGTGAGGCTTAAATTAAGAACCATGCCTAGTAAATAGGAAACATTCAATATATTTTAACTCTTGTGGTTACTATTGTTATCTTTCACATGTTCACATCATGGTGTCTAAGCAAGGCACTATTATCTTCATAGTAGCAAAGTACTCACATTTCAGACACGTTTTCTAGAAGCATGGATCTTCACTGTTGGGTTCCTAATATGGAAATAATGTGAATTCTAGCTATGATAGTTGCTTAACTCATATAATTAATGATGTTTGCATAATTCAGTAGAATTTGTGCATTCCTGTCACGAGTTTAAATCATTTAATGCTCATAAGTATCTTGGGGACAGGTGATATTTATTAGCAGGAATTATGATATTCTTTTTATTGGTGAAGAAGTTGAATCGCACATTAAGAGATTTGCCCAAGGTCACAGAGCTAATGGAGGTGACATGGAACTTGAACCTGAAGCGCCTGAGCTTGTTGCCTTGCCTTCAGTGGTTCTCAGCTTGTGGTCCTCAGACTAGCATCATCAGCACTGCCTGGGAACTTATCATATAAATTCTTGGGCTCCACCCACAGACCTACTGAATAAAAACCTCTGCTGATGGAGCCAAGAAACCTGAGTTTTAACAACTTTTGTAGGCAATTCTAATGAATGTTAACATTTGAGAACTACTTCTCTATTTTGCAGCCTCTTATATTTGTGCACCTGTGTGTCTTAGGCATTGTGACTGCACCAGTTGTACTCTTTTAAAAATATTATTTTTCTTTAGTACACTTGGAAGAGGGCCCACCTGGTGACTTGCAAGACAAGTGCTTCTACTCTTGATACTCTTGATTGTCTTAACAGCATAGCATAGGGACAAAGAAGAATCCTGTATTATTATTATTATTATTATTTTTGCATTTTCTGGGGGCTGAGGTGGGAGAATCTCTTGAACCCGGGAGGTTGAAGCTGCAGTAAACCAAGATTGTGCCATTGCACTCCAGCGTGGGTGAAAGAGTGAGAACTTGTGTCACAAAAAAAAAAAGACAAGAAATAAACCACATAGTTTTATTTCACTTATCCTCCCTAACCCCGCACCCAATAACAATACCTATCCTATGTTCCTTCTTAGGTGTGGGAAAAAGTCTATAAGCTTCATGTTGCAGTAGTAAAAGCAGGGAAAGCACATTACATCATAAGCTTTATACCTCAATTTATGGTGTCAGAAATGGCATCATTTATTCATAACTATAACTCTTTGAGTTTAGGCATTATTATCCTTATTTTAAGTTAAGGGATTTGAAATCCAGAGAGATAAACAAACTTATCGCTGTCATTCAGCTAGGATGTGGCAGAGCCAGCATTTTTACTGAGATCAGTCTGATTCCAGTTTATTGCCTGAATAAACCTTAGTAGGACCATCTAATTTGTCATTCAAGTGGGATACAAAGGGGGTTGATTTTAGAATGATGTCAGCAAGAATGTCAGAGTAGGGAACTCCAAAACTCTTTTTTGCACCCACAAAAGCAACAAATAAACTGGTAAAAAACTTTCAGAATCAACTTGCTTAGAACTATGAATACTAGTAAACAAACAAACAAACAAACATACGTGCAGCAACCAAGGCGACACTTAAGGAAAAAGAGCTGGATCTCATAAGCGAGCTTTGTGGCATTTTAACTTATCCTGGGGGCTTCTCCTGCTCTTACCTAGTTGGCAACAGCCTTGAAGACAGGAGCCCGCATTCCTGGCACAAGTACCCAGTACCTGAGGGAGCATAACAGACCTTATTCTCAAAAAACTGAGATTTTTAGAAAAATTGTAGAAACTTTAGGTGTGCAACCTGATTTTGATATACATGGCATAGTGAAATAATTACTATAGTAACCAATTTGATATATCCATGATCTCACATAGTTACCTTTTTGTGTGTGTGGTAAGAGCACCTAAAATCCTCTCTTTTAGAACATTTTCCAGTATACAATATTATTAACTACAGTTCTCCTGCTATAGAGAACTAGATTTATTAGATCTCTAGATTATTCATGGTACATAACTGCAACTTTTTACCTTTTGACACACATTTTTCCACGGCACCCCACCTGCCGCTGGTAACCATTGTTCTTTTTTGCTCCTATATGTTTGACATTTTTTAGATTCTACATATAAGAGAGATTTTGTGCAATATTTTTCCTTCTGCATCTAGCTTATTTCACTTAGCATAACGCCCTCAGATTCGTGTTCATCCATGTTTCCTCAAAGGGCAGAATCTCCTTTTTTAAAGCTAAATAATACTTGTGTGTGTGTGTGTGTGTGTATTGTGTGTGTGTGTGTGTGTATGTATTGTGTGTGCGTGCGTATTGCAGTTTCTTTATCCACTCATCCATCCATGGATGATTAAAAAAAAATTGATGTTTGTTTTGGCTTCCCTGGTGGCTCTCTGAAAGATCAGCTCAAAGGATTTGCCTGTATCTTGCCTAACCTGGGACTCTCCCACGGCTAAGGTGGCTTTGTAGGTGCCGGATGGGAGTACGGAGGTGGGGCTTGTTATAAGTATGCAAAGGCAAATGTAATAGACACAGTCAGAAGCAAGAGATCACAATTGGGGCAAAAAATAGGTTAACCAAAAGCCTGGCATGGTAGACTGAGAATGAGATGCTTTGAGAAATAGGAACTCTGAAAAGCCCCCACGTATTCCTGGGAACCTAGAAGGTCAGATGCATGCTTAGGGCTGAACGCTACTCAGAAAAGACCTGAGAAGGCTCTAGCTCTAAGATCTCACCTTCGGCTGACCTTCAGGTAGTATTATTTATAATCGCCAAAAAGTGGAAACAATCTAAATGACCATTAACTGATGAAAGGGTAAATAAAATGTATACACACAGAATAGAATATTATTCAGTCATAAAAATGAATGACATAGGCCAGGCACGGTGGCTCACAGCTGTAATCCCAGCACTTTGAAAGGCCGACGTGGGCAGATCACGAGTTCAGGAGTTTGAGACCAGCCTGGCCAACATGGTGAAACCCCGTCTCTACTAAAAATATAAAAATTAGCCGGCTGTGGTGGTGGGTGCCTGTAATCCCAGCTACTCGGGAGGCTGAGACAGGAGAATTGCTTGAACCTGGGAAGTGGAGGTTGCAGTGAGCCAAGATCAAGCCACTGCACTCCAGCCTGGGTGACAGAGCAAGACTCCATCTCGGAAAAAAAAAAAAAAAAGAATGACATACTGATGTATGCTACAACCTGGATGAACCTTGGAAACATTATGCTAAGTGAAAGAAGTCAGGCACAAAAGGACGCATATCGTATAAATGTATTTATATGAAATGTCCTGAATGGCCACATCAGTACAGATAGAAAGCCAGTTACTGGTTTCCAGGGGCTGGAGGTAGGAAGGAATAGGGGTGACTGCTAGGTATGAGGTTTCTGCTTGGGGGTTATAAAATATTCTGGAACCAATAAGTGCTGATGCTTGCACAGCACTGCGAATGTACTAAAAGCCACTGTATGCACATTTTAAAAGGCTTAAAATGGTGAATTTCATCTCAACAAAAATAAAAAATAAAAATAAAATAAACAAAAAGGCAACACTCTAATTTTGAGATGCATTTGAAATGAAGCCTCCATGGCAACAGTCTCTGAAGTGACATCAACTCAGAGGGACTTGCCCTAGAGTTGCCTCATCCAGACAAGAACCCTCAAAGGTTCTTAGAGAAAAGTCAACTTTTAACGAATCCCTGAGGTCTTATTTGCTCTTGAGTCTCAAGGCGGTTCTGCCTTATGGGGCTTATTTGAAGTTCATCCTAATGAACTGTTTTTCTCTAGTTGTAAATTTTGTGCAGTGGGATTGAGAACAAGGAATGGGATTTATTAATAACACTGAAGGATGTGGCAACATTCTCATTGAAAATCTACACATGAGGCACTATTACTGCTGAGCCTTGGTTGAATACGGCCCATGGAGGAAGATAAGCAATTATTGATAAGTTTGTGCACATACTCATAACCATAAATAGGCCTTCCTAGGAAGAACATGGGCTTTGGCCTTTGTGTTAGGATTTTTTTTTTTTTTTTGAGACGGAGTCTCGCTTTGTCGCCCAGGCTGGAGTGCAGCGGTGCCATCTCGGCTCACTGCAAGCTCCGCCTCCCAGGTTCACGCCATTCTCCTGTCTCAGCCTCCCGAGTAGCTGGGACTACAGGCGCCTGTCACCACGTCCGGCTAATTTTTTGTATTTTTAGTAGAGACGGGGTTTCACCGTGTTAGCCAGGATGGTCTCGGTCTCTCGACCTCGTGATCCTCCCACCTCGGCTTTCAAAAGTGCTGGGATTACAGGGTTGAACCACCGCGCCCAGCCTCTATTCAATTTTTATGTCAGTCTTTTTTCTCTCTGCGTTTCAATTTGGATAATTTCTATCACTGTGTATTCAAGTGCATTGATATTTTCTTCTGCAGCATCTGATGTTAATACAATCAAGTCATTATTTTTCTTTACAGATATTATATATGTTTTAATCTCTAGATGTTCCATTTGGTTATTTTTGGTATCTTCCATTTCTCTCAGCATCATGTTTACTTTAAAAAAAATATTGACTATATTGAACGTATAATAGCTAATTTTAAAGCTCAATTTGCCAGTTCCATCATCTCTGTCATTTCTGGGATGTTTCTGCTAAGAAATTTCTTCTGGCTACAGGTCACATTTTTATGTTTCTTCCACATCTAGTAATTTTCAATCAGGCACGGACATAATAGATTTTATGTTGTTGAGTGCTAAATTTTGTTATATTCCTTTAAGGTGTGTTGGGAATTCTTTTGGAAGGCTTTTAAGCATCTTGAGGGTCAATTTGATCTTTTTGAAGTTCATTTTTAAGCTTAACTTAGGTATCAAGCCAAAGTCTCCGGTAGACCTCTGTGCAGATTTGTGGGGTTCTTTTTTGCAGAGCTCCCTCTTCTCACTTTCTGCTCCACAGCTTCCTGCTGCTCTGACCTTCCTGAACACGTCTGTCTCTTCACTTCAGTGAGACTACCAAGCCCTTTTTCTTCCTGATCCCTGCCTTCCTGAAATTGCCTCTAAGCAGGAAATTCTCATTCGTTTTCCCTTTTCTCCCTCTGGAATAACAATCTTCTGCTACCTTTTGTCAATGTCTGAAGACAGTTGTTTTGCACATTTTTTTCTGGTTTTCTAATGATTTAGGGTAGGGGGCAAGTCAGGACCCTGTTACTCCATCATGATTAGAAGAGAAAGTCTCAACCCTCCTTTTTCTTGAAGCATCTTTCCTATAGTTTTAATGTGCATTTCTTGTATGAGAAAAGTTGAATATCTTTTTATATGTTCAAGAGCCATTAATATATCTATTTTCTCTGAAGTCTCTATTTATGTCTTTTGCTCATTTTTGTCTTGGGTTGTAGGTCTTTTTATTTTCAAATACTAGAAGGTCATTATTAAATATATTAGCTTTTTGTCTGAGATATAAATTCCATATAGATTTTTCTCATTTTTTATCTTCTGACTTTTCTTACAATTTTTTTCCAGGCAAAAAGCGCTTTCTAGAATATAGTCACATTTATTAAAATTTTATTTATAGGCTCTGGGTTTTGAATAATTGTCTGCCAAGTATAATCTACTTTCAGGTTATAAATAACTTCGTCTATGTTTCATTTTCCTTTCCAGAACTTGTATGAATTTAATTTTTACATTTGGATGTATTTGAAATTTATACTGTTTGTGGTGTGAGAAATAGATCTAATTTTATTATTTTTCATAAGGCTATCCAGTTATACCCTCACCGTTAAAAAACGATAACCTATCCTTTCCCCTGTTGATTCTAGTTGCTACCTTCATCAAATATTAAACTACATTTTGATTTGTTTTATATTCTGTTCCAGTGGACTACCACCCCATTCACGTGCTAATATTTTGCTTTAATTACAGAAGCTTTAATTATGTTGTTTTCACGTATGTTAGGGTTAGCTTCTACAAGTTGTGATCCCTCATGCCCCCAGGATTTTCCATGGTATTCTTGCCTATTTATTCTTTCAGACGAACTTCATTATCAGTTTGTCTTCCTCCAGACAAAAAAAAAAAAAAAAAAAAAACAAAAAAAACCCTCCTACTATATTTATCAAGATCATGTTACATTTACAATCTTAGAACTAACTGATACATTCTGGTGTTGAGTCTGACAATGGGAGACCACCGTATGCCTTTCTGTTTGTTAGATATGCTTTTGTGTCCTTTAGGTATGTGCGTACTTTTAGTCATGTAGGTTTTGTACATTTTTAAACTAGATTTTTGATTAGAAATTTTATTTTCTATTGTAATGAGATCTATTGTGACATGTTCTACCAGGTTATTGTTTGTATACGAAGTATATTGATTTCTAATTTTACTCCTGCAACGTAACTGGTATTGTTTTTAGTATGTTTCATGGATTATTTTGGAATTTCCAAAAAATTAATAATAGTATCTGCCTATACAGATAGTTGTACCTCTTCCTTTATGATTCTTTTGCCTTTAATTTCTTTCTCTTGTCTAATTGCATTGGTTCCCTACTTTACAATATTAATTAATAGAAGAGATAGTAGACATATTGGTCTAGTTCAGGCTTTAATGGGAATGTATCTAATATTTTTACTATAAGGATGTTTTCACATTTACCTTTAGAATATGTCATTGATTCCTATTTCACTGAATATTTAAAAATAATGATTGAACTATTGAAGGTATTGAATTTGATCAAACGCTCTTTCATGTGCTCTTAGTGCCGCCCCCTCCCATCCTAAGTATTTCAAATCCTCAAGTTTTCTTTCTTTTTTTAAAAATTTTTTTATTTCCATAGTTTTTTTGGGAACAGGTGGTATTTGGTTACATGAGTAAGTTCTTTAGTGGTGATTGGTGAGATTTTGGTGCACTCATCACCCAGGCAGTGTACACTGAACCCAATTTGTAGTCTCTTATCCCTCGCCCCCTCCCACCCCTTCCCTCGAGTCCCCAAGGTCCATTGTATCACTCTTATGTCTTTGCATCCTCATGGCTTAGCTCCCACTTATTAGTGAGAACATACAATGTTTGGTTTTCCATTTCTGAGTTATTTCACTTAGAATAATGGTCTCCAATTGCATCCAGGCTGTTGCAAATGTTATTATTCCATTCTGTTTTATGGCTGAGTCATATTCTATGGTGTGTGTGTGTATACACACACACACACACACACACACACACACATATATATGTGAGATTATATATATATCTCACAATTTCTTTATCTACTCGTTGATTGATGGGCATTTGGGATGGTTCCATACTTTTGCAATTGCAAATTGTGCTGCTATAACCATGTGCGTGCAAGTATCTTTTTCATATAATGACTTATTTTCCTCTGTAGATACCCAGTAGTGGGATTGCTGGATCGGATGGTAGTTCTACTTTTAGTTATTTAAGGATTCTCTGCATTGTTTTCCATAATGGTTTACTAGTTTACATTCCCACCAGCAGTACAGAAGTGTTCCCTTTTCACTGCATCCATACCAACATCTTTTTTTTTGATTTATTGATTATGACCATTCTTGCAGGAGTAAGTTGGTATCACATTGTGGTTTTGATTTGCATTTCCCCGATCATTAGTGATGTTGAGCATTTTTTTCGTATGTTTGTGAGCCATTTGTGTATTTTCTTTTGAGAATTGTCTATTCATGTCCTTAGCCCACTTTTTGATGGGATTGTTTGTTTTTTTTGTCGCTAATTTGAGTTCCTTGTAGATTCTGGATATTAGTCTTTGTTGAATGTATAGATTTTGAAGATTTTCTCCCACTCTGAGTTGTCTGTTTACCTTGCTGACTGTTCCTTTTGCTGTGCAGAAGCTCTTTAGTTTAATTAAGTCCCATTTATTTATCTTTGTTTTTGTTGCATTTGCTTTTGGGTTCTTGGTCATGAAGTCTTCGCTTAAGTCAATGTCTAGGAGGGGTTTTCCAATGTTATCTTCTAGAATTTTCATAGTTTCAGGTCTTAGATTTAAGTCCTTGATCCATCTTGAGTTGATTTTTGTATAAGGTGAGAGATGAGGATCCAGTTTCATTCTTCTACATGTGGCTTGCCAATTATCCCAGCACCATTTGTTCAATAGGGCATCCTTTCCCCACTTTATGTTTCCGTTTGCTTTGTTGAAGATCAGCTGGCTCTAAGTGTTGGGTTCTGGGTTCTCTATTCTGTTCCATTGGTCTATGTGCCTATTTTTAATACCAGTATCATGCTGTTTTGGTGACTATGGCCTTATAGTATAGTTTGAAGTCAGGTAATGTGATGCTCAGATTTGTTCTCTTTGCTGTCTTGCTTTGGCTATGCAGGCTCTTTTTTGGTTCCATATGAATTTTAGGTCAAATCCTCAGATTTTCATTTCTTTCTTGTACCTTGAATGTTCTTTTTTTACTAATTCCTTTCTTGAACAAAACCATGAGTATGCCTTTATTAACTTAAAACATTTTCCCCCAATTCTTTTTCTTTTTTAATTTTATTTTTATATTTTGTAGAGATGGGGTCTGTCTTGCTATGTTGTCCATCCTGGTCTTGAACTCCCGGCTCAAGCAATCTTCCTGCCTCGGCCTCCCAAAGTATTGGAATTCCAGGTGTGAGCCACCATGCCTGGCCTCTTTCTATTGTAAAAACTTTTAAAATGTTTTGTGTATTTCTCTTCCTGTCAACATTCAAGTGCTGGTGCTAACTTTTCACTGTTATATCATTTTTTCTCTCTCTTCATATGCAGTGCAACTTCCCTGTACAGATGTACTTGGATCTCAAATCTAGGTTTTCTGTGGTTTAGAACTTGCTGTATAATTGTCAGGTTTTCCCTGGGCCAGAGGGAGTTACTGAGAATGTTTGTTACGCTCCTTGAGTTTTAGGCAAGCTGCCACCAGGTGGCAGCAGCAGAAAAAGTCATCCTGTCTGAACTGACATTAAAAATGTTTAGGCCTATGCTGATTTTTAAATAGCATCTTCTCTTTTTATGGGAAGAAAATATATATATGTGTATATATATATATACACATATATATATATATGTATATATATATATACACATATATATATATATATACACACATATATATATATATACATATATATATATACATATATATATATATACACATATATATATATTTGTTACTTTTGAGATACATATTTTTAAATATTCCCCAAAGTAATTAAGAAACCTTAAGACACAGCTTCTTACAAAGACTTTTTTACTTAATAAGGGGAATATATTTACACACATATACATAGTATACAAATATATTTATATATCATGTATATACTTATTTTAAGAAGTAAATTCTAGCAAGCACTAAGGCATTATTCAATAAATTTATATTCTAAAGAAAACCTAAAAAATGACTGGCTATTATTTATTCTTTATTTCCTATTTTACTTAGAATTGCTGAGAGTATGAGGGCATTAAATGTTTTCTGACTAAAAGGATGATGCATTTGTGTAGAGAGCTTCTGCCTTTCTGAAAATAACAGCGAGTGTATGCCCCAATTTGAACCTCTGAAAAGAAGAAAAACGTCACATGCTTATGGTGTGACTCTTCCCTGCTGTTCTTCAAGGGCACAATACTGCTCCCCGGAACCAATAGCAAATGAACAGTTTTTCCTCTCTACTCCATATCAACTGATTTTAAGCTCTCTCAAGGCATTACCTGCCATTACTCAGGAAAACAGAGATCTTAGTAGCTTTGAATAATTTTATATAATTTAATTGAAGATGGCGATATGAAAAGGGCTTTGTCATGTGCACAATGTAAAGACCCTGCCTAATTGCCAGCTCCACAAATTGTGTTACTGAATTTCGGCCATTTTTATAGAGATCTAGCCTAGGAATTCCCACTTAGCATCAACCAAATGGGGGAGGGAGACAGGGTAGGCACCTCCTTTCATTGCTTTCAGTGTTGAAGCAAAATCGAACATGGAGGTTGTTAAAGTTGCTACATGTGTAAACTCAAAGGACATAATTTCTTGTTTTCTATAGTAACTCTAGGAAGTAACTGAGGGAGCCTTCTCTGGATTTTTACTGAGGACTCTGAAATATGTAAAAGAAAACTCAGGCTGTTAGGTTGAGAGGTCTCTGGCTGCTCTTGACTTGAGCGACACACTTTGTGTATTTACCCTCCAATTGCACTTGGGCTCCCAGAGGCAGATCCAAACTCTGACTAGCAGAGAGAAACAGCTACGCTAAACGGGGAAAAAGTAGAAGCTGTGTCTTAAAGTTTCTTAATTACTTTTGAGAACATTAAAAAAAATTAATTCATCTCAAAAGTAAGATAGCACAGTACTGAACTACAGCAGAACTTTACAAGCAAGTATTTTACATGTCACAAGAAGGAAACTTGCTGTGGGGAAATGATTGCCCCGTCTGTGACTGAACCCAAAGCAGACCAGCCTGTTTAATGGGATACCTACTCCTTCTGTGCCTCAGGAAGGTAAAGAGTGGGAGGAGCCCCTTCTCTTTTCCTTCTCCCCACTAGACTCAACCCCCAGAAAGAATAGTGACTCCTGCCTCTTGAGGCTGGGAAACAGCATGGGTTAAGGATGGCTGAGCCCCCTGAGCATTCTCTTTTTAGGACAGCCCTGTCCTCAGGAGTCTCTTTCTTCCTCTTCTAAGTGCTCTCCTTTCGTAGACAAGAGCTGCAGTTGCCATCTCAGCTCGTGTCTAGGTTTGTAAAATTAATCTGGGGAAGCACAGACGGAATTAGGGAGTCCTGTTGTGGCTGCAGCTCTAAGCTATGCCCTTCTATGAACTTCATCAGTGTTTAGGCTAATCTTCATCTCTTTCTATCTGGCTTCTTCTTTCTCAATTCTCAGAGTGTGGAGGGGAGGATGATTAATTATCACCTGTAACCTCTTGTATCAGTCCGGGTTCTCCGGAGAAACAGAACCCTACCTATATCTGTGTATCTCTATCTATCTATATATCTATACAGATATACTGTATAGATGGATGGTATGTCTGCAGGGACCTGTGTTTTATGGAATTGGCTCACATGATTGTGGGGACTGGAAAATATGAAATTTGTGGGGCAGGCACAGCCTGGAAGTTCAGGTAAGAATTGATGTTGTAGTTTGGAATCTCAAATTCACAGGGCAGGCCAGAAGGCTGGAAACTCAGGTGGGTTTCTATGTCACAGTCTCGAGGCAGAACTCCTTCTTCTCTGGAAACTCCTTTGCCCTTTGTTCTTCAATGGATTGGACGAAGCCTGCTACATGATAGTCTGCTATAATCTGCTTTACTTAAAGTCAACTGACCATAAAAGTTAATCACAGATAAAATTCACACCCACAGCAACAGCTAGACTAATGTTTGCTCAAACAGCTGGATTTCATAGCCCAGCCAAGCTGTTACATAAAATTAGCTATCACAGTTTAGCGCTTGTTTACTCAGCATCCGTACACATTTTCTTGCACTTAATGTCCAGATAAAGGAAATAACAAAGCCGTTCTTCCATCTAACATGATACAGTCAAAGCGACGCATAAAATTAACAGTTGCGCCAAAGCTCCCCTATTTCACGCTTCCACACATGCAGTGATTTCACCATAATATCATCTACCCTTCCCTAAATATACGTGGGTTTTTTTGTGCCTCCGTATCTTTTTTTTCATGTTGTCTTCTCTGCCTACAAAACCCTCGCCCATTCTTTTCTGGTCATCTTCTATTCATCATTCAGGATTCATAGCAATGAGTTTTTCTTGTATCATAAATCTGACCACGAATTTCTATAGTTACAGTGTCAAAAAATAGGACATGGTTTCTGAATAAAGATTGAATATAAAATAAATAAAGATATGGCCAGTTACCTGTCATAAAAGCAAAGCTATAATTATTTAAAAACAAAGTACCATAAAATAAATCTTGTCAAATGAGCAATGAGCTACTCTCGTATTGGTTACCTAAGGAACTTTAACAGACAGGGTGTGTGGTATCTATGTGTGTGCCTGTGTGTCACATAGAGATAGTCCTCTGCTATCACAGTGAATGTTTAAAATACAAATGCTACCTATACCACATGTGTAACATTTAAATAGTAATCATGTCATTCACTTTGTTAGATTTCAGTAATAATTTTGGGAATACACTAAATTATTTTAAGAATCTTAGTAAAATTTGAGCTGATACAAATATAGATATCTATATTGGAAGCATGTGTGTTTATAGTTGTTTTGCTGACATTAGGGCATTAATATTTAGGTTAGTCACTTAAAATGTAGTTCTCGTAAGGCAAATTGACTACAGACTTCCCCACACTCTTTACCAAGGATGTTGGTCTCTGGAATCTGGTCTGTTCGTACATTTTCTTTTTCTTTCTTGCTTTTTTTCATTTTCTTTCTTTCTTTTTTTTTTTTTTTTGCCTTACTGTACCAACAGAAAGAGTCTGGAAGAGAAAAACAAGAATAAACATAGCAAGAGTATGATGTGGAAGAGGAAGGGAAAAGCTGTTTCCACCTTACCAGGAGGAGGGTGGGGGTTGATGAGCAGTCACAGGCATCTGAGAGGGCTGCTGTGCTGCTGGGCACTTTTCTCACTCCCTATCATTTCCCTCAGATGCACCATCTGGCCAGCTTCTATTATAACCAGCGATGGCTCTTAGCTGCGAAAAAATAGAATCTGACTCTGGTGAACTCCAGCAGGAAAGGAATGCATTGAAAAGATACAGGGCAACTAGACTATTAGAGAAGTCTGGGAAACCAGATCTGGGAATAATCAGGATCCAGGGGAGCCAGGTGACCAGAATCCCAGCTAAGGCCATAAGTGAGGCCTGCATTGGTTTAAGTAGCCCTGGCCTCTGGCCACCTGATAGCACCACACAACACGGCTGGTTGCTAGTGGTTGCCATCTTTGTGTTTTCCGTTATGGACCTGTATCTTAGTCCATTTTGTGTTGCTGTAACACAAATGGATAATCATACCTCAGACTGGATCACTTATACAGAAAAGAGGTTTACTGAGCTCACAGCTCTGCAGGCTAGGCAGTATGGGATGCATGGCCCTGGCATCTGCTTAGATTCTGGTGAGGGCTTTTTGTGCTAGGTCATAACATGGCAGAGAAGGTCAAAGGGGAAGCAGACAAAGGCAAAGAGGCAAACCCCAAGGGCCGTCCTGGCTTATAACAACCCACTTCGGAGGGAACGAATTCATTCCTTTGAGAACTAATCCAGTCTCACCAGAGTAAGAACTCACTCACTGCTGTAGAAGGACACCGAGCCACTCATGAGGGATCCGCCCCTGTGATCCAAACACCTCCCACCCCACAGCCCAACCCCACCACAATGAGTATCAAATTTCAACATGAGTGTTGGTGGGGACAAACAAACCATAGCAACCTGAAATTATCTTTGTTTCTCTGCACTGCTTGCTCCAGAAGTAAAGTCCTGAGTGGGAGCATCTAGTTGGCAGAGGTCGAATGTTCCTCTTACCTTCAACAGAGGGCATATTCAGACACTTGCTCTGGCCTTAATAGCTGCCAAGTGAGAAGATTTCAATAAAGACTTGAACAAAGGCAGATTCTCCTAACAGAAAGGTGGGTTCTGATGCTGAGAAGCCAAATATTGACTGCACTCCCTTATCCTTCAGGTGTCTGGATTTCACTTCCTCAGAGAGCCTATTTCTGACCCTGAAGACTCAGTTCAGTTTCCCCCAGTTAAATGCTTTTGTACAACCCTATGCTTCCCTTTGGAGCACTTACCACACTTCTAATCCATTGTAAGTGATAACATCTAGGATCTCTTTATAGTATATTTTTGGTATGGGGCTCTACGAGTTACAGAGAGATTGTTCCATCCACATTCCAAGTTCATACACATTTGAGTGCAGACTGGTGAGGGATTTTCAGGGGAGAGGGTTTTCCATTTTCTACCCCCTCCTCCATCCAGAGCCAAGGCTGAGACCAGCCTGTATCCTCACCATCTCTCTGAGGGGGCAATTCTTTTCCAGTTCATTCACTCAGGTTTACCTTCTTTCAGCATGAGTTTACAAGGGTGGTGGGGAGGTGACATGGCCTCTAATACCACCTCTGTCCTGCGTGGGCTCCAGGCCTCATCTCTTGCTTTTCATGTGTGAAAGCTCAGGACTTTCCAAGGACTCCAACGACTGGAAGACACACCTAGGTGAACACTGAGTCCAGGCTTCATTTACATAGTCAGATGCCTGCTTTCTTACCATTTTTTTTTTTGCCTTCATAGCAACTTCCTTTACCGTCTCACAAACCATACCATTCAATAAAAAGTTGCTTTAATATTACTTATCTACTACTTTTGTATGTGCTCCGGTGAGAGAGGTATTTTTCTTTGATCATATAGCCAGAAAGGGCTATTTATGTGAATATTTTTCTATTTTATCAATGAATGAATGTTTTAATAATTGTCTTAATAAACAGATATTTCATGCTATTCTTTTTTTTTTTTTTTTTTTTTTTTTTTTTTTTTTTTTTTTTTTTTTTTTTTTGAGACAGAGTCTTGCTCAGTCGCCCAGGCTGGAGTGCAGTGGTGCGATCTCGGCTCACTGCAACCTCCGCCTCCCAGGTTCAAGCAATTCTCTGCCTCAGCCTCCTAAGTAGCTGGGATTACAGGCACCCACCACCATGCCCGGCTAATTTTTGTATTTTTAGTAGAGACAGGGCTTCACCATCTTGGCCAGGCTGGTCTTGAATTCCTGACATCATGATCCACCCACGTTGGCCTCCCAAAATGCTGAGATTACAGGAGTGAGCCACCGCACCTGGCCAGATTCATTCATTCTTATTCAGTGCTGTGTACTTGGGGAATCTTCTGGAGGAGAGGGACAAAAAGGGAAAAAGCCATTTTTTCTAAAATAAACCGGAAACATTCAAATTTGGAACTGAAGCTGATTCTGGGTGGGGAGGGATGATTGCACCAAGCATCCTAGGTTCTGTTCTGGAGAATATCCCTGCCCTTTCCTGCGTCTTCTCTCTGTTGTGTGCCCCCAAGTATGCAGGCCTCAGAGGACTCCTGCTTCCCCTTAACAGTGGACAAATGACCATAAACTTGCTGTTCTCTGGTGCATCTTGAGACAAGATTAGGAGGGTCCAGCATGACTGTCCTAAGGCTAGTTGATGGTGAAAGGGAAATAAAGGTGGAGCATGTCTAGAGAATATGTCTTATGAGATACTGTTTAATCATTGTCAGCTTGTAGGGTCCCACAGAGGTTTCCGTACTCTGCTCCTGCTGCTGCAGAGGCTATAATCTGCCTCACTGTGTGAGATCGCATTTGAACCTGTCTACCTTTCAAAGTCCATGCTGAGAAAGGAAACCAGCTCCTCTCCTTTTTCCATCCAGGCATCTCTTCTTACAGATTGGTTTCCTGTACGAGGATCCAATATTTTTTTTTTTTTTTTTTGAGATTGACACTGGCAATGCTTTATTCAGCAGAAGTACCCAGTGGGGCTCCTCTTTGTTTTTGCAGTCGATGAGTGTCAGAGTTTGGATTTAAGTCATCCTGATTGCAAAGCCCATATGGTTTGCACAGAATGATGCTCCTGCTGGGTTTGCCTCTCACGTGGAGCCTATGTGGATTTGTACATGAACTCCAATCTTAAGTATAACATAAGGACATCCTTATATTGTAGCCTGGTGCCTTAAAAAGAGAGCATGCTCTTTTGAGGTCTACTAGATGTGTGCTTGCATATCTCCTCTGCTTCTTACTAACCTCAGAGGCTGTATAATTATTTCACATTTGTTAACCTCAGTTTACTTATTTTCAAAATGGAAATACACTTGTTCCTTAAACAACATGGGCTTGAACTGCATGGATCCATTTATATATGTATTTATTTCAATAAAAGTTACATGGAGTGTGCCTGCCTCTCTTGCCTCCCCTTCCCCCTCCTCCACCTCTTCCTTCTCTGACACCCCTGAGACAACAAGACCAACCCTCCCTCTTCTTCCTCCTCCTCAGGCTACTCAACGTGAAGACAATGAGGGTGAAGACCTATATGATGATTTACTTTCACTTAGTGGATAGTAAATATATTTTCTCTTCTTTATGATTTTTTTAGTGGTATTTGCATTTCTCTTATTTTATTGTAAGAATACAGTGCATAATACATATAACATACAAAATATGTTAATTGACTGTTTATGTTATTGGTAAGGCTTCTGGTCAAAAGGAGACTATTACTAGTTAAGCTTTTGGGGAGTCAAAGCTACAAGCAGAGTTTTGGCTGGGTAGGGGGTTGGCATTTCAACTCCTCCTGCGTTGTTCAAGCGTCAACTGCACTATCTACATCTTGTGTACTTTAGATACCAAGAACAGTTGGGAAAGTTTTCCGTAAAAACATGGAGATTATGTGCAAGTCTGTGCATTAAGTCATGACACCCTGTTGTTCTTTCCATGGCTGGGTTCTTAGAATGTTGGCAGCCAGTCTCATTAGGAGGTTGGAGAGTTTCCTGGTGAAACTGACAAGACTAAAAAACTTACAGCTTACTTACAGCTACCGATAAAGGGGCTCACATAGACATCCTTCCTCTAAAGCAGTACTTCTTAAAGTATGCTCCCCAGCCTAGCAGTGTCAGTGTTACCTGCAAACTTATTAGAAATGCAGGTTCTCGATCCTTGCCTCAGACCTAGTAAATCAGAAGCTGTGGGGTGCAGCTCAGCCCTTTGTCTTCACAGGTTTCCTAGGCCATTTTGACACAGGCTAAAGTTTAAGAACCACCGACCTCTTCACTAGTTGACCAACTGTCTTGATTACATTGGGGTCCTAGGCCCTTAAAAAACATTACAGTGCCCAATCTCCCTCAGCCATGTAAAATTTAAAATAAAAATTAATATTTGAAATGACACAATAAGTACATATATTCTGAAACTGAAGTTGTTTGTTTTTAGTTTCTTTAATTGGAAAATTGTGAAAATGTTTTCCAAAACCTTCTTGTTGCCCTGATTTTCTGGTGCCTAAGTGCATGGTTTGTCTGCTTATTTCATTACATCCAACCCAGCCAAAATAATGAAACTTGCTTAGCGTATGAATCATACTCACAGCTGTCTTACTCCAGATCCCATGCAATGAGAGGAATAAGGTAGTGTAGTCTACCCCTGCTGCACCGGGTAGTGGCAGCAACACACTGGAAAACTCCTGGGCCAGGGACATCAGCAGCAGCGGCAAGCCCACAGCTATGAACTTGCCCATTTTGTTGGCAGCAGGGCTTCTGAGATCATAGGGTCTGCAGCCATGTGCACAAGCAACAAGATTCTGATGAGCATGGCAGTGCAGAGACAACCTGAAGGGATGCCAGGACAGACAGAAAAAGGACACGACAGCTTCAGGAAGCTGGCTTTGAGCAATTATCCATGCTAGGAACAGGAGATGTTCTCTAAATAACTGGCCAGGCCCCTGGTAATTAAACGGAGGCTTGGCCTTGAGCAGGTCTTTGCTGGAGGATAGTCTAACTTCTGTTGGGACTGGTGCCAGGCTACTTACCCTAAGCTGACCTTAAGTCAGCGGAGCTCCCTTACTTTGTTCTAAACAGTGGCAAATGAGAACTTTCCAGCACAGTGATGGGGAAAGGAAGGATATGGTCCAATTACATGGACCCTGTGTAATTGGTGTGAAATTTGAATGGCATTTGCTTAAGTGTATTGAAGGCTCTCATTTTGTGGTTTGGGAATGAGAACAGAGACCCCATAACTCTGCCTTGGATTGCTTCTTCGGCATTTTGTTCTTTTTCCCAGAGAAGGCTTTAGTTCTGAACTGTGGTTCCTATTCCCAAACTGCTATGCATTTGAAGGTAAAGCCCATTCTCTCTGTGTGCCTGCTGTGGACTTTTTGTAATTTGTTTCAATTACATTGGGTCCTTCTGAAAATCTCTGAATGCATGGCAGGGCACAGAAGTGGAAAAACTTTCAAAGCTATGATCAAAAGTCTGGACAGATGGTAGTACCAGTAGTACCAGTTTTTCACTATGTCACTTTGGAGAGACTGAATATACAACCAGACAATGTCCAGACCATATATAAAAATATAACTCTTACCCACAGCCCCTGCAGCTACCAGCCTGGGAAGCCAAACTACAACCTCTGCAGCAATTGGCCCAGAATGGTCAGGACTTGGTCAATGACTGGCAGCTTCTTTGATTTTTGCCCTTGCCTCCACCTTGAGAGCAATCAGAGAAAGCCAAGTATGCTTTTTAAACCAATCACATAGGTGCTCTACTTCTAGCTAGCCTCTCTCCAGCTTCCCAGTGCCAACAACCTCCAATTAGAGCATACCTGAAGCCTCCTGCTTTTTTCACTATAAAGCTTTACAACTTTCCTTCCTGCCTATGAGTCTCTACCAAGTGATGATGGCAGACTCCCTTGCTATTGCGTGTTATGAATCAATAGCCTTTACTTATTCTTATTTGGTGGTCTTTGTTTAGTTCACACTTTGAAGAAATAACTTAGCCCCATTTTTCTTATTTGTAAAACAGTAGATTGATGATCTCACCAGATTGTGAACATTGATTAGTACTGAGTATTAAGATGCTTTATAAACTATAATATGAGGAACAAAAAATATATCTTATTTTAACTGTGGATTTTCCAGTCTAGGGAGAAGAGAAGCAGCTATGGGCAAACATATAGACAAAGGTCACTTGAATAATACTGTCTGGCTGGGTGCGGTGGCTCATGCCTATAATCCCAGCACTTTGGGAAGCCAAGGCAGGAGGATCACGAGGTCAGGAGTTCGAGACAGCCTGGCCAAGATGGTGAAACCCTGTCTCTACTAAATATACAAAAATTAGCTGGGCGCAGTGGCGGGTGCCTGTAATCTCAGCTACTCTGGAGGCTGAGGAGGAGGGTCACTTGAACCCAGGGGCAGAGGTTGCAGTGAGCCGAGATCGCACTGCTGCACTCTAGCCTGGGTGACAGGGCAAGACTCTGTCTCAATAATAATAATAATAATAATAATACTCCTCTTAGATTTTGTGAAAGGTGTCTCTGTTTTCAGCCCTCCCCTGGCTATACCTTCCTTATGGGGTGAATGGATCCAAGAGGATGTGCCCAGTTAGAGCCTATGCATCCCTTAGTAGTGTTGGGGATACCAGAATTCCCTCCCTAAATACCCTGTACCTGCTTACAAGGCTCTTCCCCAGAACAATGTCCTGAAGGCAGACCACTACTGGCTGTTCAACCCTAGATAAAAGGGACAGTCAGGGGTTGCTTTGTGCAGGTGTATGGACCAAGAGTTTGAATACCAGGTTGCCCATACATGTGTACATGTGAGGTCCCTTGTGGAATGGGACACAATGGGGAGTGGGAAGCAGAGGTGGAAAGCTGTGTCTGTGGGGAGAATGCCAGGTGCCAGGAAGAGCCCTTTCCTAGTACCACTTTCTGGCATGGAACTCTTAGAATTCTGAGATTTCTAAATTTGAACCTGGACATCTAGCTTGTTATGAAGGTATATCTATCAGGGTAGGAGGAAGGAAAATATTTAACACTTTGCTAGCTTAATTTACAACTTTTAAACATGTAGATAGTCTTTCCCAAGACCTCACAATTATTAAAGGTGAACTTGCCTGTCTCTCTATTCAATGGTTCAGTGGCTAGCTCTGTCTGATCCAGAGCTTCTTGGATGGGTTCACTGGTATGTACCTGAGGGTCGTGGGTCTAGGAAAAATAATTTTTATTTCTGTTTCTTCTTCTTTTAAAAATAGAATTTACTTTTTAAGATAATTTTAGGTTTACAGAAAAATTGAGCAGAAGGTACAGAGATTTTCTATATTTCCCTTACCTCCACACATACATAACCTTCCCCAGTATCAACACCCCTTACCAGAGTGGCACATTTGCTACAATTGATGAGCCTATGTTGACACATTATTATCACCCAAAGGCCAAAGTTTAAATTAGTGTTCACTCTTGATATTGTACCTTCTTTGGGTTTAGACCAATGTATAATGACATGTATACACCATGTCATTATACATGTATACACCATGTCATTATACATACTGGTATATATACATTATACCAGTCAATACAGAGTATTTTCACTGCCCTAAAAATCCTCTGTGCTCCACCCATTCATCACTCCCTCCCACTCTAATCCTCGGCAACCACTGATCTTTTTATGGTTTCCATAGTTTTGCCCTTTCCAGAATGTTAGATTCTTAGAATCATACAGTATATAGCCATTTCAGATTGACGTCTTTCGGTTAGTAATATGCATTTAGATTTCTCCATGTCTTTTCATGGCTTGATAGCTCATTTCTTTTTAGCACTGAATAATATTTCATTGTCTGAATATATCATAGTTTATTTATTATTCACCTACTGAAGGACATCTTGGTTGCTTCCAAGTGTTGGCAATTATGAATTATGGAGCCTTCCTTTCCATGAATATGGAATATCTCTCCATTTATTTAGTATTTGATTTCTTTCATCTGAGTTGTGTAGTTTTCCTTGTTTAGATCATGCACATATTTTGTTAAATTCACACTTATGTATTTCATTTTTTGGAATTCTAACATAAATGGCATGGTGTTTTAAATTTCAAATTCCATTGTTATTTGCAGGCATATAAGAAAGCAATTGACTTTTGTATGTTAATCTTGTATGCTGCATCCTTGCTGTAAATGCTATTGATTCCAGGAGGTTTTTCTTTTTTTTGTCAATTATTTCTAGTTTTCTAAATGGACAATCATGTCGTCTGTGAACAAAGACAGTTTTATTTCTTCTCTCCCAATCTGTATATATTTTATTTCCTTTTCTTGTCTTATTGCATTAGGTAGGATGTCCAGTACAATGTTGGAAAACAGCAGTGAGAGGAGACATCCTTGCTTTGCTCCTGATCTTAGTGGGAAAGCTTCAACTTTGTCATTATCAAGTATGATGTTAGCTGTAGGTTTAAAAAAATTCTTTATCAAGTTGAGGAAGTTCCCCTGTATTCCTAGTTTACTGAGAGTTTTAAAAAATTATAAATGAGTGAGGAATTTTGTCAAATTTTTTTTCTATATCTATTGATATCAACATGTGATTTTTCTTCTTTAGCCTGTTGATGTGGATTTGGATTACCTTAATTGATTTTCAAATGTTGAACCAGCCTCACACACTTGGGATAAATTGCACTTGGTTATGGTGTATAGTTGTTGAATACATTGTTGCATTCAATTTGCTAATATTTTGTTGAGGAATTTATTATCTCTGTTCATGATAGATGCTGGTCTGTAGCTTCCCTTTCTTATAAATTTTTTGTCAGATTTTGGTATTAGGGTGATGCTGGCCTCAAAGAATGAGTTAGGAAGTATTCCCTCTGCTTCAATCTTCTGGAAGAGATTGTAGAGAATTGGTATAATATCTTTCTTTAAAATGTTTGGTAGAATTCACCAGTGAACCCATTTGAACCTGGTGTTTTCTGTTTTGAAAGGCTGCTAATTATTAAGTCAGTTTCTTTAATAGATATAGGCCTATTCAGCTTGTCTATTTCTTCTTATGTGAGTTTTGACAGATTACATCTTTCCAGGATTTGGTCCATTTCATCTAGGTTATTAAGTCTGTAGGCATAGAGTTGTTCATAGTAATTCTTCTTTTTTTAAATGTTCATAGGACCTATACTGATGTCCTTCTTTCATTTCTGACACTAGTAATTTGTGTCCTTTTTTTTTTTTTTTTACCAGTTATCCTGGCTAGAGGCTTATCAATTCTATTGATCTTTTCAAAGAATCAGCTTTTGGTTTCATTGATTTTCCTCCGTTGATTTTCTGTTTTAAATATTATTGATTTTTCTCTAATTTTTTTTGTTTTCTTCTGCTAACTTTGGATTTAATTTGCCATTCTCCAACCTAGTTTCTTAAGTTGGAAGTCTAGGTGATTGATTTTAGATCGTTTTCTTTGCGAAGGCATTCAATGCTGTAAACATTCAATGCTGTAAACATTCAGTGCTGTAAACATTCAATGCTGTAAACTTCCCTCTAAACTCTGCTTTTGCTGCATCCCACAAGTTTTGATTAGTTGCATTTTCATTTTCGTTTCATTCAAAATATTTTAAAATTTCTCTTGAGATTTTCTTCTTTGACTCATGTGCTATTTAGAAATGTGTTGTTTAATTTCAAAATATTTAATGATTTTTCAGTTATCTTTCTGTTATTGATTTCTCGTTTAATTTCATTGTGGTCTGAGAGCAGACAGCAGACATTGTATGATTTCTATTTCTTTAAATCAGTTAAGGTGTGTTTTATGGTCCAGAATGTGGTCTTTCTTGGTTTTCTGCTTCATCTTTTTTCTACTCCCTTCTTTCGTGCATCTTATCTCTCTCAGCAGCCATTCTGACCTGCCTAATGTGTATTTTACGTTATGGTCTTTTTTCTTTCTAAGTGTGCTTTTTTTGGGGTGTGTGCACATGCAATTTTAATATACATAAATAATATGTTTTATATCTCATTATCTTTCTTACTTTTCTCACACAGCACTATACCTCTAAACTATATTGTGTATAGCTAATCCTTTGCTTCTAACTGTTGAAGAGTCTATAAATTGTAAGTAAGTAGATACAATTTATCTACTTACTTTCCCAATGGTGGACACTTATTTTATCTCTAAGTTCCCATCGCCAAAAATAATGGTATAATGAATGCCTTTGTACATGCCATCTTATAGGCCTGAAAGAGAATGATTTGGGACTATATATACCTTGGACCAGATTTGCTATGCCCTGTGGATACCTATACTTATTTTTCCTAAGTAATGTCTTACTGTTTTCCAGAATAGCTGTAGTATATGGGGGTTCCTAAATCCCTACCTCCTTACTAACACTTAGCACCATCCAGCTTTTAAAATTTGTGCTAATCTTATAAACGTAAAAAGATATATCACTGTTTTAATTTGCGCTTCTATGTTTAGTAATCGGTTTGAGCATCTCTTCACATGCTCTGTGGTACTTCAGGTTTTCTCTTTTGTAAATTGTTCTATATACCTTGCTCATTTTTTTTCTTGCTAAAGTTGATGTCTTTTTCTTGCTGGTTTGCTAGGGTTTATTATTATATATGCTAGTTAGGCATCTTTTCCCATCCTATTATAGTTGTTGCCCATAAAGAGAAAGAGGTTTGGGCAGATGATAAAAGGAAGGGATTTGAGAAATTATTTTCAGAAGAAATTATTTTCATCCAATTTGAAATTGGATGAGCATAATTATGGGAGGTTTAATAGGCTGTTCAAAGGGACGGCTAGACTAAAGTGAAGGAAGTAATGTGTGAGTGCCCAGAGTCTGGGCTCTGGAAGCCACTTGGACTGGGGTTTGAATCTCAGTGTTGTTACTCCTGCTCCAAGTTCCATATCTGTGAAATGAGAATAGAATAGTACCTACTTGTTGTGTAGTATAATTGAAATAGAATAGAAAGCACGTAGAAGAATTGCATGGATCAGAGTCAGCATCCAAAAACATGTTAGCTGCTGTTATCATTATTATTAGTGTTACTAAGAAAATTACATAAAGAGATCAGGAAATTCTTGGGCAGGGGTAAGTAGAGATACTTTGCCTCTCTTTGCCTCATTTGTTCCCAAGTACAAAAAGAAAAAAAATTGGCCAGGCGCAGTGCCTCACACCTGTAATTCCAGCACTTTGGGAGGCCAAGGCAGGTGGCTCACTTGAGGTCAGGAGTTCAAGACCAGCCTGGCAAACATGGTGAAACCCCGTCTCTACTAAAAATACAAAAATTAGCTGGGCATGGTGGCAGATGCCTATAATCCCAGCTACTCGGGAGGCTAAGGCAGGAGAATCACTTGAACCTGGGAGGCGGAGGTTGCAGTGAGCCGAGATCGTGCCACTGTACTCCAGCCTGGGCTGGAGTGAGACTCTGTCACCAAAAAGAAAAAAAAAAAGAAAAAAATTGGGCTGAGTAATATTTTCTATATAGAAGATAATAAGACCATGAATGACCCTAAAACTCAATGTTGAAAGTTTAGCATTTAAGTTAAATTACAATTAAGATAGGAAACATTTATTAAAGGGCTTGGGGTAGAGGGATGGATCTCAAGTGAAAGAAAACCTGAACCTGAAGTTGGCTGGCTTCAAAGAGAAGTGAAAAAAGAGGGAGGGAAGGAAGAGGAAAGAAGAGGAAGGAAGGAAGAGGAAGGAAGAGGAAAGGAAGAGGGAAGGAAGAGGAAAGAAGGAAAAATGCCCATTCACCCAGCCATGTGGAGAAGTGATTATTTTCCATCCACAGCTGGCCAGCATTCAGAAGCTGTCACTCTGGTATTTATAACAATTACCACTAAATTGAAAAGGAACAATAACATTTGCATCAAAACAGTTTACCCCTCAGCGTTTTCTGCACGGCAGCCTTTACTTCCTTGTTCCTCAGGCTGTAGATTAGGGGATTCAACATGGGGATTACCGTGGTGTAGAACACAGAGGCCACATTCTCCTGGGTCAAGGAACTGATTGTGGAGGGTTTTAAGTACATGAATGCAGTTGATCCATAGAACATTCCCACGGCTGCAAGGTGGGAGCTGCAGGTGCTGAAGGCTTTGGATCTCCCCTCTGTGGTGCTGATGCCGAGGATGCTGGAGAGAATGAAGGTGTAAGAAACAAGAACTGTTAAGCTCGTGACTATGATGTTGAATCCAGCCGAAAAGAAGACTGTCATCTCAACATCATAGGTGCTAGAGCAGGACAGCTTCATGAGAGGGAGGATGTCACAGAAGTAGTGACTGATGAGGTGCTCACAATAGGGCAGTTTTAACATGAGGCCAGTTTCTATTGTGGAGCCAATGAGTCCGATGGCGTAGACCACAGCCACCAGCAGCAGGCAGGTGTGATGAGACATAATGATGTTGTAAAGCAAAGGGTGGCAGATGGCAACATAGCGGTCGTAGGCCATCACTGTCAGCATGTAACACTCAGCAATGACAAAAACAAGGAAGAAGTAGAGCTGTGACATGCACCCTGCGTAGGAGATGATGTTTTTCTCTGACACAAAGTTCACCAGCATCTTAGGGGTAATGACGGAGGAGTAGCAGAGATCCATGAGTGACAGATTGCTGAGAAAGTAGTACATGGGGGTGTGCAGCTGAGAGTTCAGACAAATTAGAGTGATCATGCCCAGGTTCCCCACGATGGTGACCAAGTAGATCCCGAGGAAGAGGAGAAAGAGGGGGAGCTGGAGGTCTGCTCTCTTCGTTAAACCCTTGAGAATGAACTCTGTCACTGTAGAGTGATTTCCTGCAGCCATTCTCCTCTGGGTGGGAGGCCTGCAGGGATGCATGGGAGACAAGAACCCCATTAAAAGGCTAATCTTGGACGGCTAGTCTTGAGCCTTTGGTGCTAGTGAAACATCCTGGGCTCTCTGCTGATGCATCCTCCCCGCCCTCCTCCCCTCGTCCTGCTATTTGCTGGTCTTCTTTGCAGGAAGACCAGCGTGAGTGTTTCAGGGATCATGAAGATGGGAGGAAAGCAGGCCAAGGTCTGGATCTTTTACCATGCACATTTTTCTAAAGCATCCTGGGGCAGTGTTTCTCAAAGGGTAGTCCCTGGACCAGCAGCACTGACATTACCTGGAGTTTTTTAGAGATGCAAATTCTCAGGCCTCAGCTCACACCTAATTAATCAGAAACTCTGGATATGGGGCCCAGCAATCTATGTATTAACAATCTTTCTGGTGATGGTGTTGCATAGTAAAGTTTGAGAATCTCTACATTGTAGATAAGTAGTATATTTCATATTTTGTAGTTGGGGATGGATTTTGCTTTAGAAATAAACTTCCTTTGTCATGTATATAATTCCTAAATATTCACTGAATGTGAACATGTAAATACCTATCTGAAATTTACGCAGTGTCAGGGTGATAGGGTAGTTACAAGCTGTGTCATTGGCTGACACATCAATTTCTATGTCTGAAAGATGAAGAAATTAATATTGATTCCAAAGGTGGTTGTAAAAATAACACAGGATAATGCATATTTAGAAATCTTTTTTCAAATACTCAGTGCCTATAAAAAATGTGAATTGTCATTAAGAGTCTGGAATTTGTTCTTAATTTCTTACTTGACCTGAGGTCCTAAGGCAGTGGTTCTCAGCATTGGCTATACATTATAATCACACGGGGCATTTACAAAGGATTGATACCTGGGTTCTACCCGTAGATGTTCTGATTTAATTGATCTGTGGTGCAACATGAGCACTGGCCCATTGAATGTTCCATACTAAGTGCTAAATAGCTAATTATTATTATTATTATTTTCAGATCATAATATCAAACCTTTGTCCTATTACATCCCTGATGACAAAGTATTCAAATTACAGGCATATCTCCAGGAAGCATGAATAATCATTGCTGGATACAATATGTATAGACAGTCTTATCTGTGGGATGTATTTCTTAAGCTATAAAACATATTACCCCTATTTTAATTGCTTCCTTATGTAATTACTAACTTTTGCATAATGCTTTACAGCTTACACATTTCTTTCAAAGGTCGATCTCATTAACTTCTGAAGTTTTCGGAAATGGGGAGAAATGTGTTTAGGGAAGGATTTTTATTTTCATGTTTGTATTGAGAAAACTGAGGTGCCAGACACTAAGTGATTTGCCCAAGGTTTACTAATTATTGGTGACTTGGAACTCAAACTTACCTCGGCTCTGTCCTGATCATGAGTTTCCTCTTTTGCCTCACATGTGCAGCCTTGTAAATCTGCACACTCACAGCTCTTAGCAATGTATGATTAAAATAGGTTTAAGCTTGATATCTTAGTATATGCATAGCATAGGAAAAATGCTGTATTTTGTTTCGTTGTCTAGGAAATTGAAGCTCTAAAAGTTAAATAAGTCACCCAAGGAAACCCAGCTAGTAAGAGGCAAAACTGGGCCTAAAACCCAGGACTTCTGACCACCAGTGTGTTTTGTCTCCACTAAACTAAATTGTTTTGTTTTAGCGTATCTTTGTGTAGCACTTTATTATTATTTAATAACATTTAATTTATATAATTTTTGAAGATAGAGGAAAGATCTATTGCTAATTTTGGATGCATTTAAAAAAATTATAAAGGCAATATATAGGCATTGTAGTGAATTAGAAATGCAAATAAGCAAAAATTTAAAACAACCATTTTCCACCACTTGGAACCAAACGGTGGTAGTGAATATCCTTCTAGACTTTTCCTATGCATATATGTATTTACATGTATATAAATATATATGTATTTTTACAAAAACATTTGTAATCTGCTTTTTAAACATAGCATTCACAAATGTATTGTCTCATTTGATTCCTATAACTGGCACTAACTGTATTCTTTTTTCTTAGAAGTAAGAGTCTTTAAAATCATTAGGACGTGGTGTGAAGACAAAGTCTGAATTGCATTGTAAGCTTTTATATCAAATTATTGGTAATGAGGCATTTAACTTTACAATAACTAGTATGAGAGGTAGCTAAGATTTTTAAAATTCACGTTAAGCATTCCCAATCTGAAAACTCAAAGTCCAAAATCTGAAACTTGTTGAGGGCCAACATGAACCACAAGTGGAAAATTCCACACCTCCTCTCATGTGACTAGTCTCAGTGAAAATACAGTCAAAACTGTTTCATGCACAAAATTATTAAAAATATGGTATAAAATTACCTTCAGCCTATGTGTATAAGATGTATATGAAGCATATATAAATTTCATGTTTAGACTTGGATCTCATCCTCAAGATATCTCATTATGTATATACAAACATTCTAAAACCGGAAAAAAATTCGAAATTCAAGACATTTCTAGTCCCAAGCATTGTGCATAAGGAGTTATTCCCATTTATTACAATGGAAATAGAAATGTATTATTTTCATTTATCACAAAGAAGAATTTTTTTCTAAATAACAACAGTAGATTTAAAAAGTTTTACATATCCTTTTTTACCCAATGTCTGCCTCTTAAAATGAAAGGAAACACCCAACTTGAATAACTATAACTGTAGATCGTGTGCTTTACAAAGCAGTGTGGAATGAACACTGTTCACTGAGTGCACAGCAGGTGGGAACACCATTGTGTAGGAGAACGCTAGACAGCACTGATTTAACGTTTCACTCTCATAGTCTTCTAATAACATGAAAGAGGCAAATATAAACCACGTATTTCTTTTACTTTCCTGTTTTTCCTCTTTTTTAAAGACAGAGTCTCATTCTGTTGCTTAGGTTTGAATGCAGTGGTACGATCATGGCTCACTGTAACCTTGAACTCCCAAGCTCAAGCAAGCATCTCACCTCAGCCTCATGAGTAGCTGGGACTACAGGTGTATGCTACCATGCTGGGCTACTTTTTAAAATTTTGGCTACAGATGGGATCTCTCTGTGTTGCCCAGGCTGGTCTCCAACTCCTGGCCTCAAGCAATTCTCCTCTCTTGGTCCTCTAAAGCTCTAAGACTACAGGTGTGAGCCACTGTGCCTGGCCAAACCATATATTTTATATTAGTTACTACAATTATTACCTTTAGTTTCACTAAGCCATAAGAGCCTTAGGATAACTGCCAATGAGAACACAGCACACAGATTAAAAAAGCACATAGTGGTGAAAGTAAATATATGGTTGTAAATAGTCTGCATCACAAACAAGAGTTCATGGAAGAAATATTTTTCTCAGGCAATTGCTTTAAGTTTGTAATTAAATACCTGTGATGAGGAAAAATAAAGCACAGTCTGCTGGAAACTTTAAGGGCTGCCTTGGTTTCAACAATCAGAAAATGCAGGAACCATACTGATTTATACTGAGTCCTACATTTACTCAAATTCATTAAAAAATGGATCACTAAGACTGGGGGCTTGGGATTGTGTTTACGAATATGTGGGCACAATATTTCCTGGGCTATAATCACTTGAGAGGCTGGGGTTCTCACTAACAGAGCAATTAGAGCCTTGCTTTACACTGGCTCTGAGAAACATGCTTTGTCTCCCAGGTGTGTTAATTTTCCTGTTATTGGTAGAGTGATCTTGCAGCTAGGGAAACTTACAGTCTAATGCCAGCTTTGGAATATTTTACTATCAACAGTCCCATTACTATTGTCACAATCGTCATGATTATGATCATTATGTCCATCATCACCACAACCACCTCACTCATTGCCATCAACACCATCATCAGTTACTACCACTATGGTTGTTACTTATTATTCATGATTATGCACAATTGACTAGCTTTAAAATGTTTATTATAATGTGTTTTAAAAACAAATTCAATTTTTTAAAAAACAAGCTGTATACTTTTAGTAAAGGAATGTTACGTTCCTTACATTTATAAGGGAATGCTGAATTTGGCACCCTGCTGCTGCACCAAGTAAACTGACAGTATAGAATGACAGGAGGTTCAGGAGCATGTGAAGGTGGACTAAAAGAACTCTTCATTCATACAGGCTCATTCATAAGAGAAGTGTGTTCATAAGGAAATTTCCTATTCAAGAACATATTCAGTATTTTGTTATCCATGAATATATTGCAATGAAGATTTTTAAATTAAACTTTTTATTTTGAGATAATTGTAGTTTCATATGTTATTGCAGGAAATAATGAAGAAAGATTCTTTGCTGTCTATTTTATGCCATTTTCCTTCAGTGGTAACATCTTGCAAAATGATTGTACAATATCATACCCAGGATTATTGACATTGATACAATTCACGGATTTTATTCAGACTTCCCCAGTTTTACTTACACTCATCTGTGCATGTATTTAGTTCTACGAAATTTTATCAAACACATAGTCTTGTGTATCTGATACCACAGATAATGTAAAAACACATCACCTGCGTTTTCTAAGTTTCAAAACAATAACTTGATATCCTGTTATACTCCAAAGGTGACCAGTTATTTTTCTTTATTATAAACTCACCACTGTAAACACATTTTATGTGTAAAATAAGTGTAACGGATAACGAAGTTAACTTATTGCAGTTATTTTTGTTGATCACATTTTTCTATCTTTGGCCTGTAGAATTCTCTTCAGTTTGTCTCCGGTGTCTTTGACATGGTGTTAGTAGTTTCTAGTATTATGCCTTCCTTGCTATCTTATATGACAAGATGTTATGAACTCATTTCTGCTGGGAGCAAGTCCCTCAAAGTCTGGTCATAAACTGCCCCCAAAACTGGCCATGAATAAAATCTCTGCAGCAATGTAACATGTCCACAATGGCCATAACGCCCAAGCTGGAAGGTTGTGGGTTTGCGGGAATGAGGGCAAGGAACACCTGGCCCGCCCGGGGCGGAAAACCGCTTAAAGGCATTCTTAAGCCACAAACAAAAGTCTGAGCGATCTGTGTCTTAAGGACGTGTTCCTGCTGCAATTAATTCGGCCCATCCCTTCGTTTCCCTTAAGGGATACTTTTAATTAATTTAATATCTATAGAAACAATGCTAATGACTGGTTTGTTGTTAATAAATACGTGGGTAAATCTCTGTTCGGGGCTCTCAGCTCTGAAGGCTGTGAGACCCCTGATTTCCCACTTCACACCTCTATATTTCTGTGTGCATGTCTTTAATTCCTGTAGCGCTGCTGGGTTAGGGTCTCTCGGACCGAGCTGGTCTCGGCACATTTCATACATTTAATTCCTCAGACCTGGAAATCAACCATTTCTCCTAGAAATTTGATTTCTTTTAGCAGGGAAATGATATTTCAAGAACACAAATTAGGTGCTAGAGAGGCTCATTGCTCTTGGCTTAGCCATTGCTTTTAGGTCTTTTCAAGCAGAACTAGGAACTGTAGGACTACATAGTTATCAAAGTGTGTTTTTTTTTTTTTTGAAGTCCAATAATCTTACTAGGATATATTTTAATGTTCATTCTGAGACAATTTTCTTAGGTGTGATGTTTCTTTTAACATGTTACTTTAAATCTATTGTTTTAATGCCAGAAAGTTTCTTGAATTACAGTTTTTATTACTTGTTCTATTGGTTTAGATTTCTCTGTTGAGGCTCCTACTCTATGCCAGTTGCCAGCTAGATCTTTACCTAGTGTCTACATTTGTTACTTTCCCCCAAATCCTCTTCATTTCATTTTTTCTCCCTTGTTTTCACCTTTGATTTCTCCTAAGGCACTATCTGTTGTGTTTATTTTATTTTGGTTACTCCTAGTTCAGTCTCAATTTCTGAAACTTTTTTATTTCTAACAATTTCCTGAGTCTTATTGCTTAATTTATAATTTTTTACTAATGCTGAGTTTTATTATTTGTTTGTCAGCATGTCTTTGTAGCTTGCTCTATATTTTCTGTAGAAAATCATTCTTCTTTCTTATAATAATAATAATAATAACTTTATATGGGATTTACCTTGATTCTTTTCTATTCATTTTAATATCAAATTAGTTTTTTCCTAATTTCACACATGTGGAACCTCTTCTTTGTTTTTTCTGTGAAGTGCTGAAAATATGATGCCTTACCACCTGAGATCTCTTGGTTCTGCCCCTTTTCTGCTTTTATCTGGATTGTTTCTTTCTTTTGTCTCTAATGTTTCTATTCTGCTTAGTTTGGGTTTTATTCCTTCCAGTTTATTCTTGTAGGGAGTTTTGGTTGGTTCGTTTTGAGAGTTCATGGTATCCAAACTTCTGCACCACTTCAGATCATACACCATTAAGGAAATGAAAAGGTGAGACACAGATTGGGAAAAAATATTCAATGCATATATCAAAAGATTTATTTTAGGAGATAAAACAAGTCTCTTACAAATCATCTAAAGACAAACAACCCAATTAAAATTGACTCCAAAATTTAGATAGTTACCTCATAAAAGAAGATACGCAAATGGTCAAGAAATACATGAAAAGATGCTCAGTATCATTAAACATCAGGTAAATGCAAATTAAAAACACACTGGCATAACACTATATACCCACTAGAAATGTTAAAAATTTAAAAATCTGACAATATCAAGTTTTGTTGAGGATGTAGAGCAACTGGACCTTTCCTACATTGCTGTTGGGAATGTACAATTGAATAACTTCTCTATAAAGTGGTGCTATGATTTGAGTGTCCCGGACAAAACTCATGATGGAAGCTTAATTCCCAGTGCACCAATGTAGAGAAGTGAAACTCTTAAGAGGTGGGGCTTGCTGGGAAGCATTTGGGTCATGAGGTCTCACCTTTATGGGCAGCTTGGTGCTGTTCTTATGGTAGTGAGTTCTTGCTCACAAGAATGAGCCCTCACCAGAAACCAAGCAGACTGCAGCACCATGCTCTTGGACTTTCAGACTCTGGAATCATGAGCCAAATAAACCTCTTTCCTCTATAAATTACCCAGCTTCAGGTATTCTGTTACAGCAACACAAAACAGACTGAAACAAATGGTTTGGCAGTTTTTATAAAGTTAAACTTGCCTATGACCCAACAATTCTAACATTAGGTATTTATCCAAGAGAAATGAAAATACACACTTACAAAATGTTTTGTACATGAATGCTTATATATGCTTTATTCATAAAAGCCTGAACCGGAAACAGTTTAACTGTCTATGAACAAGTAAATGGATAAACAAGTTTGTGAAAATAATCATACATCAGATTACTACTCATCAATACAAAGGAATGTACTACTGCTATACTCAACAATATGGATGAATCTCAAAACGATTAGACTGGGCAAAAGATGCCAGACACAAAGGAGTACATACTGTAGGATTTCACCTGTATAAAATTTTACATCAGGCAAAATAAATCAATAATGATAAATAGCAAGTCAGTGGTTGCCTGGGGCTCAGGGACAGTGGAGGGATTGAATGCAGAGGTGCGTTAGGGAGCTTTGTGTGGTAATGGACATGTTCACATACAATAGGCGCATTTTGCATGGTATTTAATAATTTACTGTACTTAAATCTATAAAGTAGATTTAAAATGAAAAAAATAGATATGGTCAACAAAACATGTCCAATATTCAGCACCACTAGTAATCAAAGAAATATGATCAAAATATGTCATTTTCAGAATCAAATTGGATTGAGAAGTTTTTTGAATGATAATATCCACTGTAAGTTAAGGTGTGGGGAAAAAGGTACTCTCATATATTACCTATGGGGTGTGTATAGGTAAACTGTTTACTCCAGCTGAACCCATGGCTGGAGTCACCAATGCTCACCATCACTGGCCATCAAAGAAATGCAAATCAAAAGCACAATGAGATACCATCTCACACCAGTTAGAATGGCAATCATTAAAAAGTCAGGAAACAACAGGTGCTGGAGAGGACGTGGAGAAATAGGAACACTTTTACACAGTTGGTGGACTGTAAACTAGTTCAACCATTGTGGAAGTCAGTGTGGCCATTCCTCAGGGATCTAGAACTAGAAATACCATTTGACCCAGCCATCCCATTACTGGGTATATACCCAAAGGACTATAAATCATGCTGCTATAAAGACACACGCACACGTATGTTTATTGCGGCACTATTCAGAATAGCAAAGACTTGCAACCAACCCAAATGTCCAACAATGATAGACTGGATTAAGAAAATGTGGCACATATACACCATGGAATGCTATACAGCCATACAAAATGATGAGTTCATGTCCTTTGTAGGGACATGGATGAAATTGGAAATCATCATTCTCAGTAAACTATCACAAGAACAAAAAACCAAACACTGCATATTCTCACTCATAGGTGGGAATTGAACAATGAGAACACATGGACACAGGAAGGGGAACATCACACTCTGGGGACTGTTGTGGGGTGGGGGTAGGGGGGAGGGATAGCATTAGGAGATATACCTAATGCTAAATGACGAGTTGGTGGGTGCAGCACACCAGCATGGCGCATGTATACATATGTAACTAGCCTGCACATTGTGCACATGTACCCTAAAACTTAAAGTATAATAATAAAAACAAAAACAGTGGCAGGGGAGTTTCCATAAGGATGTTCCCCAAACCTTCCCAAGATGGGTCTGGTTGAGATTCTAAAGAAATAGTAAATGCTAGAGTGATCAGCATTTATCAGGAAAAACTTACAGAGGGCTATGGCCACCCTCACCAGAGACAGCAAGAGAAAGGGGGTGTACTACATGGGTATGTCCACAGTGAGGGGGCCGAGGTGTGGAGCCTTTATGAGGGCTGAAGGAGTTTGGCTCAGGGCTGGGGCTCGTTTCTTTTAGTGTTTTGGGCAACAACCTAGATAACCTTTATCAGTGCCTGAGAATGTTCAAGGGCTTGGGGTTGAGCCTGCTGGGTAAAACCTGCAGCTGGCTGGGTCACAAAGTGGTCAGGGCACTCTGTGATTTTCAGTGAGGACACAGAAAGGAAGTCGGGGGAACTAGGGGACACTACACAAACCCTTATGTATGTATAGTTCAGCAGCATGTATAAAAGAATGTAATAAAGAGCAAGTCTGTAGATACAACAACTGCACTTTAGGAGTTTATCCTAAGAAAATAATGTTATGTTTGCAAAAAATGCACATTCTTCTCAGCATTGTTTATCATAGTGAAAAATTGGACATAGAAATTGTCAAAGAGGAATTGCCAGATTTAATTATGGGTCTCCTGTCAAAGGAATACCATACGCCCATTAAGAATGATGTTTAATTGTATTTATTTATATGAAAATGTTAATAATATTTTTTAAATAAAAAACTTAAAAATATTATATACAATATGATCTACTTTTCTTAAAAACAATACTATGTGAATTAAATGAATGCAGAAAATGTATGGAGAAATATACATTTAAATGTTAGCTGATTATGCATTGTGGAAATATGAGTTATTTAAATTTTCTGCTTTATGTTTACTTATGTTTTGTAGTTTTATGAAGTAAGCACATACTTCTTACAAAAAAACTTGAAAGTAAAACTAAATTTAGCAAACTGGTCGTTTTACAAATTGAGTGTTCAGTGAATTGGCTTTCAGTAAATTGACTTTTTGGTTAGTTATCTTTCAGCAAATTGATTTTTAGGCAACCAGTATGTATCATTAAAAGATAAAATCAGGCCGAGAGTGATGGCTTATCCCTGTAATCCCAGAACTTTGGGAGGCTGAGGCAGGAGGACTGCTTGAGCCCAAGAGTTTGAGACCAGCCTGGGCAACATAGCAAGACCTTATCTCTACCAAAAAGCAAAAAAAGATAAAATCAAGTGATTGATGCCTGTAATCCCCAGTGCTTTGAGAGGCTGAGGCAGTATAATCACTTGAATACAGGAATTTGAGACCAGCCTGGACAATGTAGTCAGACTCCATCTCTACAGATAATTTTAAAAATTAGCCGAGTATGGTGGTACATGTCTGTAGTCCCAGGTACTCAGGAGGCTGAGGTGGATGGTTTATTTGAGCCCAAGAATTTGAGGCTGCAGTGAACTATGATTGCACCATTGCACTCAAGCCTTATTTATTTATTCTCTCTAAGAATAAATACATAAATATATAAATTTAAAGAATATTTAAAACAGATGAAAATAACATATTTTAAATATTGATGAAGGGGATTGACAAACTAGGAAAATGGTGCCATATTTTGACACAGGGTAACATGGGGAAAAAAAGAGAAATTTTAGAAAGAATGATATGGTTTGGCTTTGTGTCCCCTCCCAAATCTCATCTTGAATTGTAATACCATAATCCCCACGTGTTGTAGGAGGGACCCGGTGGGAGGTAATTGAACCCCGGGGGCAGTTTTCCCCCATTCCGTTCTCGTATAGTGAGTGAGTTGCATTTCCCCTGCTGGCACTCATTCTCGCTCCTTCTGCCCTGTGAAGAGGTGCCTTCGGCCATGATTGTAAGGTTCCTGAGGCTTCCCCAGCCATGCAGAACTGTGAGACAATTAAACCTCTTTTCTTTATAAATTACCACATCTCAGGTATTTCTTCATAGCAGCGTGAGAACTGATTAATACAGGGAAGATAATAAAATAAGCTTTCAATGTGTTGAGTTTTAAGTGTCCACGGGACATTCAGGTGGAGATGTCTAGTAGGTTTTTGCTATTTCAGGTAAAAAATTCTAGCCTAGAAATACAGATATTATTTTCAACAGACCAAAGCATTCAAGGTGTGGGTGTAGATAAGATCTTTCAGAGAAAGTATTTAGGATGAGAGGAAGAAGGCTGAGGATCTGTGGGTCATCAGCACTTATAGGCAGATGAAGAAGAAGACTTGAAGGAGAAGGAGAGTGAAAGGAAGTAGCCAGAAATTGGAGCAAAATCAGAAAGTTCATGGGCCTTGAAAGTGAAGGGATATGAATAGTTCATGAAGAAGTTAGCTATCAACAGCATCAAGTAAAACAGTACTGAAAAGTTTTCACTGGGTTTAAAGACATCTTATTTGATTTATTCAATGACATCATGACATTGTTAATAGATAAGTCAGGTTTAATTATTGCTGTTCTACAGAGGGAGAAATGCCAGGCAAAGAGAACTTAATGTCTTGTTCAAGACAATGCAATAAGGGCCAAATCTTTAGACTCCGCTCCTTCCACAATAACATATTTCTTCTTGATTTAAGCTAGCGATCAAAGTTCCTGAGAGCAGGTTTTGTGAAATTCTGGAACACCTTACCAAGAAAATCTGTGGCTTTCTTTCTCAGTAAAGGTCTTTGTAAACTGGGGAAAGTCCTTTCAATCCTTGTTTTCTGCTTATCTAAGACATTTTTCTTTTAATTTTCTTGTCCATGGAGATTCTCCATTAAACTTGGAATCACCTCCCGTCTTCTACCTATTAAACCACATACCTTGCACTTGTAGATCATCCCTGCTTAATCTGCTCTTTATTTTAATCCATCACATATCTTGATTTGTTTTTCACCCTTGGGAAATTTTAGATTTTATAGTATTGTACAGGCAGATTTTGCTTTATGAAATAATACATGTGTTCCTGAAATGTAATTTTTTTTTTGAGGCAGAGTCTCACTCTGTTGCCCAGGCTGGAGTATAGTGACATAATCTCGGTTTACTGTGGTCTTCATCTCCTGGGTTCAAGCGATTCTCCTGCCTCAGCTTCCTGAGTAGCTGCGATTATAGGCACACGCCATCACATCCGGCGAATTTTTATATTTTTAGTAGAGATGGGGGTTCACCATATTGGCCAGGTTGGGCTCGAACTCCTGACTTCAGGTGATCTGCCTGCCTTGGCCTCCCAAAGTGCTGGGATCACAGGCGTGAGCCCCCGCGCCCGGCAATGTGATGTTTAAGAATTTTATTTTGAAGAGGTTTGTGGTGCCTACTTGGGACTGCTCTGTAAATAAAATTCTTTCTACTGCCTTTGTGGTAAGTTTTTGTGTAGTTTCTTCTACAAATACCTTGACTTTGGAAGTCTCACTCAGTAGGCATACATTTTCTGGCATAATTGTCAATAAAACACCAATACTAGCATATTAAAGGCCACAAATTAATTTTTTAAAACTAGTTCTTTCTGTCTCTCTTTTTTTTTGGCATGGAGCAGGGTAGCTAAGGAGGGTCACCAAATGACTACAGGAACTGCTAATGTATTACTTCAGAAAATAATAGACCATCCCTGAATTTACGGGTTTGCAATATGGATTTTTATTGAAGTGTATTCATATGAAAGTCTGTTATATTCAATAATATTTTAAAGGAGCACCTATAATGTGTTCATTACTGTATCAGATACTGAATGTGTTAGTGTACACAAAAGTTATAGAATATCGATTTTTCCTGAAAGAAGATTTTTATCTAGAATATAGAGTCTTGAAATAATCAATTAATAGTAGAAGGCTCTTTTAGACTAAGCACATGTGGAGATTAATGTAAAAATGAGTGAACAGGAGGGCAAGAGAATGATCGAATTCAAAGTTATTTTCAGTTCTTCCTCTTGACTGCTCAGGAATATAACTATTCCTCACCCTTGAAATATGCTTCTCTTTTGGCATCAGTGAAATTCTCATTTATTCCACAATTATTTTCTAAGTTGAATATTGACTAATGCCACATATATCTTCACGAATACCTTCAAGTTTCTTATTGTGTTTCCTGTTTTTCAGATGGCAACATCGAGTTTAGAGAGTGTTAAGCAACTTTTGCAAGTTCACACAATTAATGAGTAAAAGAGTAGGGATTTAATTCCAGGGCTGTTTGACTCCAAAGCCTGTTCTTGAATGCTACCTATGCCTTTTAAACACTTCTGTTGGTCAACTTCCTTTTCCCATTTGTGGGCATTTTTGAGGAAACTTTAAGTCCTTAGATTGCAATTATTTTCTCTTTAAACACTTGTTTGGAGGAATTCACCATTCCTCTGCTTTTTGTGATCCTCTCTGTTTTTATAATTCTCCAGCTTTCATTTCTACCTCTTTTCTCCCAAGTTGTGATCTTTTATTGCTGACTTCTTTCTGATCTTTGCCTTTTAAAGGTTCTGCCAGCATTCTGTAGCCTTGTCTAAAATTGAGTTCATTACCCTCGTCACCCTTTGATCCTTCATTTATGTCATCCTATTCCTGACTCCCTGGGCTTAAAATCTTAGTCAAATTTGATTTGTGCCTCTTTCCATCATTCTCTCCTGTAAAAATTGAGACATCAAATCATGTTAATTATCCAATTACCACGTCTCCTATACTGTTCATCTCTTTCTGGATTTACTGCTTGTGGAAAGTCTTCTAGCTGATCTCCCTGCCTGCTGTTCTCTCTGTTTCAGCCTATTCAAACACCACTAGCTACATAAGACACCACTGTTATTAAAATAAATAATTTTGAATGCTAATATTATTTAAACTACTTCATTTTATGTCTTCTAAGTGCTGTAATCAGCACCACTTATTCATTACGATAATCATTTGAGGTTGGTTATTATATTCATTTTAAGATTAGGGACTTGCAGTTCAGAGAGAGGTTAAACACTTCCTAAGGTCACACATCTAATAAGAGGTAGAGCCAGGATTTGTGCTGAGGTTCATCTAATTCCAAAGTTCAGTTCTGAATACTTAGGGAGACCATAATTTATCATTCATTAGAATATATCTGAGACAGAAAGAAGGTGCTATTAATAGTTTTGCTGAAACAACAGGCAAAAACTGGGAGTATTCCAGGCAAATTGACAGTTGGTCACCTTATTGATACTATACTGTAGTTCCTTTCCAGTGGTTATACCCACTTAAATAGTGCTTTCGCAGAAGAGAACATGAGCTCAGCTTTCAAGTTAGTATTTGTAATGAGCACTAGACAGCCTATAGTAAAGTGATTGGATACCAGTTTATGGGCTTAATAGAAATACGAAAGCTATTAAATAGGGAATCATTTCCCCATTGCTTGTTTTTGTCAGGTTTGTCGAAGATCAGATGGTTGTAGATGTGTGGCGTTATTTTTGAGGCCTCTGTTCTGTTCCATTGGTCTATATATCTGTGGCACATAAACACCATGGAATACTATGCAGCCATCAAAAAGAATGAGTTCATGTCCTTTGCAGGGACATGGATGAAGATGGAAACTATCATTCTCAGCAAACTAACACAGGAACAGAAAACCAAACACCACATATTCTCACTCATAAGTGAGAGTTGAACAATGAGAACACATGGGCACAGGGAGGGGAACATCACACACTGGGGGCTGTTGGGGGTTGAGGGGCAAGGGGAGGGAGAGCATTAGGACAAATACCTAATGCATGCGGCACTTAAAACCTAGATGACGGGTTGATGAATGCAGCAAACCGCCATGGCACATGTCTACTTATGTAACAAACCTGCACGTTCTGCACATGTATCCCAGAACTTAAAGTATATATATAAAAAAGAAACATGAAAGCTAAAGTTACAAATTTGGGAGCCTCTTTTGGCTTAGGATTGACTTGGCGATGCGGGCTCTTTTTTGGTTCCATATGAACTTTAAAGTAGTTTTTTCCAATTCTGTGAAGAAAGTCATTGGTAGCTTGATGGGGATGGCACTGAATCTATAAATTACCTTGGGCAGTATGGCCATTTTCATGATACTGATTCTTCCTACCCATGAGCATGGAATGTTCTTCCATTTCTTTATATCCTCTTTTACTTCATTGAGCAGTGGTTTGAAGTTCTCCTTGAAGAGGTCCTTCACGTCCCTTGTAAGTTGGATTCCTAGGTATTTTATTCTCTTTGAAGCAATTGTGAATGGGAGTTCACTCATGATTTGGCTCTCTGTTTGTCTGTTATTGGTGTATAAGAATGTTTGTGATTTTTGTACATTGATTTTGTATCCTGAGACTTTGCTGAAGTTGCTTATCAGCTTAAGGAGATTTTGGGCTCAGAAAATGGGGTTTTCTAGATATACTATCATGTCACCTGCAAACAGGGACAATTTGACTTCCTCTTTTCCTAAGTGAATACCATTTATTTCCTTCTCCTGCCTAATTGCCCTGGCCAGAACTTCTAACACTATGTTGAATAGGAGTGGTGAGAGAGGGCATCCCTGTCTTGTGCCAGTTTTCAAAGGGAATGCTTCCAGTTTTTGTCCATTCAGTATGATATTGGCTGTGGGTTTGTCATAGATAGCTCTTATTATTTTGAGATACGTCCCATCAATATCTAATTTACTGAGAGTTTTTAGCATGAAGCGTTGTTAAATTTTGTCAAAGGCCTTTTCTGCATCTATTGAGATAATCATGTGGTTTTTGTCTTTGGTTCTGTTTATATGCTGGATTACATTTATTGATTTGCATATATTGAACCAGCCTTGCATCCCAGGGATGAAGCCCACTTGATCATGGTGGATAAGCTTTTTGATGTGCTGCTGGACTTGGTTTGCCAGTATTTTATTGAGGATTTTTGCATCAATGTTCATCAAGGATATTGGTCTAAAATTCTCTTTTTTGGTTGTGTCTCTGCCCAGCTTTGGTATCAGGATGATGCTGGCCTCATAAAATGAGTTAGGGAGGATTCCCTCTTTTTCTATTGATTGGAATAGTTTCAGAAGGAATGGTACCAGTTCCTCCTTGTACCTCTGGTAGAATTCGGCTGTGAATCCATCTGGTCCTGGACTCTTTTTGGTTGGTACGCTATTGCTTATTGCCACAATTACAGAGCCTGTTATTGGTCTATTCAGAGATTCAACTTCTTCCTGGTATAGTCTTGGGAGGGTGTATGTGTCGAGGAATTTATCCATTTCTTCTAGATTTTCTAGTTGATTTGCATAGAGGTGTTTGTAGTATTCTCTGATGGTAGTTTGTGTTTCTGTGGGATCGGTGGTGATATCCCCTTTATCATTTTTTATTGCATCTATTTGATTCCTCTCTCTTTTCTTTATTAGTCTAGCTAGCGGTCTATCAATTTTGTTGATCCTTTCAAAAAACCAGCTCCTGGATTCATTAATTTTTTGAAGGGTTTTTTGTGTCTCTATTTCCTTCAGTTCTGCTCTGATTTTAGTTATTTCTTGCCTTCTGCTAGCTTTTGAATGTGTTTGCTCTTGCTTTTCTAGTTCTTTTAATTGCGATGTTAGGGTGTCAATTGTGGATCTAAGCCAAAAGAACAAAGCTGGAGGCATCACGCTACCTGACTTCAAACTATACTACAAGGCTACAGTCACCAAAACAGCATGGTACTGGTACCAAAACAGAGATATAGATCAATGGAACAGAACAGAGCCCTCAGAAATAACGCCACATATCTACAACTATCTGATCTTTGACAAACCTGAGAAAAACAAGCAATGGGGAAAGGATTCCCTATTTAATAAATGGTGCTGGGAAAACTGGCTAGCCATATGTAGAAAGCTGAAACTGAATCCCTTCCTTACACCTTATACAAAAATTAATTCAAGATGGATTAAAGACTTAAACGTTAGACCTAAAACCATAAAAACCCTAGAAGAAAACCTAGGCATTACCATTCAGGACATAGGCATGGGCAAGGACTTCATGTCTAAAACACCAAAAGCAATGGCAACAAAAGCCAAAATTGACAAATGGGATCTAATTAAACTAAAGAGCTTCTGCACAGCAAAAGAAACTACCATCAGAGTGAACAGGCAACCTACAAAATGGGAGAAAATTTTCGCAACCTACTCATCTGACAAAGGGCTAATATCCAAAATCTACAATGAACTCCAACAAATTTACAAGAAAAAAACAAACAGCTCCATCAAAAAGTGGGCAAAGGATATGAACAGACACTTCTCAAAAGAAGACATTTATGCAGCCAAAAAACACATGAAAAAATGCTCACCATCACTGGCCATCAGAGAAATGCAAATCAAAACCACAATGAGATACCATCTCACACCAGTTAGAATGGCAATCATTAAAAAGTCAGGAAACAACAGGTGCTGGAGAGGATGTGGAAAAATAGGAACACTTTTACACTGTTGGTGGGACTGTAAACTAGTTCAACCCTTGTGGAAGTCAGTGTGGCCATTCCTCAGGGATCTAGAACTAGAAATACCATTTGACCCAGCCATCCCATTACTGGGTATATATCCAAAGGACTATAAATCATGCTGCTATAAAGACACATGCACACGTATGTTTATTGCGGCACTATTCACAATAGCAAAGACTTGCAACCAACCCAAATGCCCAACAATGATAGACTGGATTAAGAAAATGTGGCACATATACACCATGGAATACTATGCAGCCATACAAAATGATGAGTTCATGTCCTTTGTAGGGACATGGATGAAATTGGAAATCATCATTCTCAGTAAACTATCGCAAGGACAAAAAACCAAACACCGCATGTTTTCACTCATAGGTGGGAATTGAACAATGAGAACACATGGACACAGGAAGGGGAACATCACACTCTGGGGACTGTTGTGGGGTGGGGATAGGGGGGAGGGACAGCTTTAGGAGATATACCTAATGCTAAATGACGAGTTGGTGGGTGCAGCACACCAGCATGGCACATGTATACATATGTAACTAACCTGCACATTGTGCACATGTACCCTAAAATTTAAAGTATAATAATAATAAAACAAACAAACAAACAAACAAACAAACAAAAAAAACAAATTTGGGAGCCTCCATATAGAGGAGCTGGTTGATTAGATGAGCTCACCAAACCTTAAAGAAGAAAAGGAAGTGCATGGGACCCTGAAAAAGGTGAAATGCGAGGGGAGAGGAATAGAGGAAGAACCAACAGTACCAAAATGAACGTAGTCAAAAGTGTTTCTTTCTATGCTGTTTTCTGCTTGTGCTGAAGCAAGTCGTCAGTAACTCTGACTTTGGAAAAGCCATGATTGAAATGCATTTGAAATAAAGTTTTCATGGCAATGGTCTCTGAAATGACATCAACCCGTAGAAACATTCCCTAGTGTTGCATCATCCAGACAAGAAACTTCTAAGGCTCCTAGAGAAAAGCCAGCTTTTAATGAACCCCTAAAGTTTTCTCTGCCTTTGGGTCCCCAAGAGAGTTTATGATAGTTAATTGTTTTTCTCCATTTGTAACTTATGTGTAGTGGCATAAAGATCAGGCATTGGGACTCATTAGAGACACTGTAGGACACAGCAAAATTGTAAGTGTAAATCTACAGATGAGGCACCATTACTGTGGAATACTGGTTGAAAAAATCTCCCAGAGGTTGATAAGCAAACAGATGCTGATGTGTGCACACATATAAATGTGAAGTGATTAGTGCCATGATTGAAGATGGACTTGACAAGGAGTCATACCTTTATGGTATGATTTCATAAACTTCTTAAGAGAAATCATGATCAAAAACATAGCTTACCTACTTGCTCAATGAGGTTTGAGTTTCTCCAAACAAGTTTCTTTCCTTTTTGGCTAAAAGCATTGTAAATGGCCCTGTGAAAGGATTTGGAGTGTAGGTGGCTATTCAGCAGCTCACTCTGTCCCTATAGAAATGACTTTATCAGATCCCTTCCTGAGAATGAATGTGAAAACTAAGGGAATTTAGAGCAGCTAGTGCTGGTTGTTTAAAGACCAACAATGTGTGCAGGCAGTGAACTTCATTGCATAACTTGTGATTTTGTAAAAAGCTCGGAAAGGTCTTTTGCTTCTCTAACTTGTCACAATGTCCAATATTCATTCATTCAAGCCAGTGCTATAGGTAGAGCTATTGTCAGAAGCATGAAGCAATGATGCATTGCGATACGCTAAGCAACATTCACCCGGTGGTCACTAGAGTAACTGCTATTGACCAGCACAACTCTGATCACAGTCTTTCAAGACTGCTTAAATGTCACTCTCCAAAGACGCCTAACCCTACCATCCTATTTCAATGCATAACTTACAACTCGCCCTTTGTATTCACTTTCCTTGCTTTTTTATTGCTCTTATTATCATCTAATATATTACATAAGTTATTTATGGTCTGTCTTCCTCCTATTAGAATACAAGCTCAGTGAGGGCAGAGACTTGTTTTGGTTAGGGCTTTATCTGTAGCCCCTAGAACAGTGTCTGACACAGTTTCTCAATATTTGTTGAATGAATTAATGAATGTCATTCTCTTACTCAATGACTATTGGAGGTTACCTACTGGCTAGTAAATTGTGGTTAATTATAGCATTGTAGGTTAACCTCAGTGTGTTCCTAGCATACTTTTCCAGACAAATCCATTATTTCTTTTCAAGATTTCTCCCAGGTTGCTGCACATATCAATAGTCTGCTCTTTTTTTTTTTTTATTGCTGAGTTGTATTCCATTTAGTGATTATACCATGGCTTATTTCTGTATTCTTCTGTTGATGCTTATTTGGGTCATGACTACTTTTTGGCTGTTAGGAATAAAGCTGCCATAAATATTTGTGTTTGAGATTTTTTTTTTGTGGAAATATGCATTGACTTTTGGGGTATATACATAGAAGTGAAATTGCTGGGTCCAGGGTATTTGTTTCGTTTTATTAGATAGTGCAACTTTTACACATGGTTGTACCACTTTACATTTCTACTAGTGATATAAGAGTGTTTTATTTGCCCCATATTCTTGCCAACATTTGGTCCTGTCAGTCTTTTTAATTTTAGCTACTGTGATGGGTATGTGGTGACAGCTTATTGTGATTTTAATTTGCATTTTTCTAATAAATAATGCTTGGAGCAACTTCCCGTATGCTAATTGGCCATTTGAGGTATCTTCTGAAATGTCTGTTTCAATCTTTGTCCCATCAAAAGTTTTTAGTATTTCAATAATTTATTTGTAAGAGTTCTTTATATATTATAGATGAATCTTTTTTTTTTGTTTTGTTTTTGTTTTTTTTTTTTGAGATGGAGCGAGACATCTCAAGGACAATGCCTAGGCTGGAGTGCAGTGGTGTGATCTCGGCTCACTACAACCTCCACCTCCCCGGTTCAAGCGATTCTTGTGCTTCAGCCTCCTGAGCAGCTAGGACCACAGGCATGTGCCACTAAGCCCGACTAATTTTTTTTTTTGTATTTTTAGTAGAGATGGAGTTTCAACATGTTGGCCAGGCTGGTCTCAAACTCCTGACCTCAGGTGATCCACTCACCCAGGCCTGAGTCTTTTGACAGATACATATACTGTGACTATTTTCTCCCTGTAGTTTGCCTTTACATTTTCTTAATGTTGTATTTTAAAAAGCAGAAGTTTAGAATTTTAATCACATTGGATTATTATTTTTTTCTTTTATGGTTATTGTCTTTTATGGTCAAGAAATCCTATTCTAAGGTCTTGAGAACAGGTCTTATTCTAAGGTCTGATTTTCTTCTAGATGTTCGTAGGCTTAGATTTTATATTTAAGTCTCTGATCCATCATGAATTAAATATGTATAGAATAAGATAGGGGTTAAAAGATCATTTTTGTTTATATATTGCTATTTAGTTGTTCCAGAATCATTCATCAAATTTTTTTTCTCTTGTTGAATTGCTTTAGCACTTTTGTAAAAAAAAAAATCAATTGACCCTATAAGTGGGTCTGTTTGTGGGTGCTGTGCTCTGCTCTATTAATCTATTTGCCTGTCTTTACTTCTCTACTAAACTGTTTTAATTTCTGAAACTTATATAATTCTTGGAGTCAAATAGTGTAAGTTCTCCAACTTTCTTCTTTTTCAAAGTTGTTTTGGCTATTCTAGGTCCTTTGCATTTTCATATAATTTTTAGAATTATTTTGTCAATTTCTGTCAACATGTCTGCTGGCATTTTAACTGGTATTGAATTGAATCTGCTGATTAATTTAGGTAGATGTAACAATTTAACAATATTTAGTTTTTCAATCCATGAATATGATATATTTTTTCATATATGTAGATTTTCTAAATATTATTCAGTTATATGTTAGAGTTTTCAATATAGAGGTATACAAAAATTTTGTTAAATAAATTTCTAAGTATATCAATTTTTGTTGCTAGTGTCAATGTTATTGGAAAAATTTCATTTTGTAATTTTTTGCTAGTTTGTACAAATGCAGTTAATTTTTATACATTAACCTTGTATTCCATGACTTTATTAAATTCACTTTTAAGTTCTAATAGCCTGTTTATAGGCTTACTTTGATTACTAGGTATATTCAAGTCATGTGTAAATTAAGATGATTTTATATCTTGCATTTCCATTTTAGTCCTGTTATGCAAACAAATCAGAGACAGCAAACTGACACTGGCAATCTTATGGGGGAGGATTTAGTTTGAGAACACTGAGCAGCTGGAAGGTCAGGTGCAGTGTTCAGCAAGGTGGTGGAGGGAGAGGCAGTCAAGAATAATTTTTCATTATATGCTTGATATTCTGACTGATACATGGTAGAGACTAAATTACGTTGTCCTTGTTTTTTTTTTTTTTTTTTTTTTTTTTGGTTTTCCTTTTTTTTTTGAGACAGAGTCTCACTCTGTCACCCAGGCTGGAGTGCAGTGGCGTGATCATGGCTTACTGCAGCCTCACCCTCCCTGGGCTCCGGTGGTTCTCCCACCTTAGCCTCCTGTGTAGCTGTTGCCCAGGCTGGTCTCAAACTCCTGGGTTCATGGGATCTGCCCACTTCGGCCTCTGAAAGTGCTAGGATTACAGGTGTGAGCCACCGTGCCCGACTTGTTCTTTTTGAGACTGTTGAGAAGCTCAACGTTTACCCCTATTAAGTGGGCTAGGACTTCCGATAAAATGTTGAATAAAACTTATGAGAGCGGACATTTTAGACTTATTATTGACCTCACAATAAAAACAATCAGTATTTCACGACTGAATATGATGTAGGTTTTTAGCTGTAGGTTTTTCACGGATGTCTTTTATCAGATTTAGGATACTCCTTCCTATTCCTACATTGCTGAGAATTCTTATCATGAATAAGTGTTGCCTTTTATCAAATACTCTTTCTGCATTGAGATGATTATATAATTTTACTGTTTTATTCTATTAATGTGGTGGATAATGATTGATTTTTAAAATATTAATTTAAGTTTGTTCCTCTTGGGTCATTTAAATTTTTAAAAATATTTCATTTTAGGTCTTTTGTTGGAATTTTAACTATATCTCTCTCTGTTATTTTTATTGCATTATTTGTATTACCGTATTATGTTTTATTGTGTTATTGGCATTTTATATATTTTACTTCTACACATATTTTAAATCTACCATAAATTGTTTTCTGTTGCTTTAAATGGTCAAAGTAATTTAAATTTAAGGAAAATTTTAAAATGGCCTTTTATATTTACCCATATATTTCCTATTTTCAGTGTTTCACATTTCTTCCTGCAGATCTAAGCCTTCCTCTGGGACCATTTCCCTCTCTCTCTTTCTCAGCTTTTTTGCAGTGTAGGCTTATTGGTGACATATTCTTTCACCTTTTGTCTGAAAATTCCTTTATTTTTTTGAAGAATATTTTAGCCAGGATATTTTTGCCAATACTAGGTTGACAATTTTTTTCCTTTCAGTATTTTAAAGGTCATGTCATTGTCTTCTGACTTCTATTTCTTTTATTACAAGTCAATTATTATTATTTTTGCTTCTTTGAATGCAATACATCTTTTATCTCTGATTGCTTTTAAGCTGCTTTGTTTTTGTTATTGGTTTTCAACAGTTTGACTATGTATAATATGCCTAGGTGTGGTATATTTTATATTCATCTTGTTTGTGGTTTCCTGAACTTTTTGGGTCTATAGATTCATAAATTTTATTAAACTTGGAAAAATTTCAGCTATTATCTCTTAAAAAATTATTTCTACCCAATTCTCCCTTGACTCACCTTTTGGAACTCTAAATATACATATGTTGGACTATTTAGCATTGCACTAAATGTTTTAGTTACCATGTTCTTTTTTAATATTACTTTTTGCCTGTCCGTATTTTAGTACAGATAATTTCTATCGATTTGTCTTTGCTTATACTGATCTTTCCTTTGACTGTGCCTGATCTGCTATTAAGCTAATCTGGTGAATTTTTATTTCCAATATTTTTTAGTTTTGAAATTTTCATTTGGTTATCTTGATTGTTTCTATTGCTTTGTTGGAATTTACCACATATTAGCCAATTCTGTCCTTTTATCTAATATTTTAAAAATAATTATAGAAGTTATTTTAAAGTCCTTGTCTGTTAATTTCAACATCTAGTTCAGATGTGGACCTGCTTCTAATATATTTTTCCATCTTGACTTTGGGTCACATTTTCTTGCTTCTTTGTGTTTCCAGTAATTTTTGACTTTATGATATTGGACACTGTGGATATGTTTTAGAGACAGTGGATTATGTTGGCCTTTGTTACAGAGTGTTAAATTTTGTTCTGGGATGTAGTTAATTTACTAGTAGTTCCCTCTGATCATGTTAAGACCTGGATTTAGCCTTTGTTATGATTCAGTTTTGCCCTTAGCACAAAGGAATAGTATTTACTCTTAGTGTATGACTTTTCAGGGGTCTCACTTAAAGCCTGGTTTGCTGACCAAGGCCTCTCCATTTTCAGTAGGTCAGAATTCTAATTTATATCAGGCACTGTGGATCCTCTGTGATCTCTGTTCAGTTCTTAGCCCCCAGCAGCTGTTGTCTCCTAAGCCGGTAGAACCTTGCCCTCCAGATATAAAATTTAGGATTCAGCCAAGAACTTAAGGGAGTCCTTTGTGCAGGTACCTGAGGGTCCTTTTTTTTTTTTTGGCTTTTTATTCTCCATTCCTTGCCCCACACATTCCAGCTGTCTTAGCCTCCTTACACTTTTTCATTCCACTAGTAGAAGCTGCTGCCATTTGTTGGGGCATCACTTTACTATGCATCGTTTAGAAACTGGCCTTAGAGAAAGTTGGGGTGAATGTGTTAGTTACCTTGTTTTTTTGCCTTTTCTCAAGAATTTCATCCCTGTGTTGTCTACTTTCCAAGTATTGCAAATAGTTGCTTTATACACTTTTTCCAGCCTTTTTTTTTCTTTCTTTTTTTTTGTGGTCAGAGGGGTAAGTGCAATAATAGCTATACCATCACACTTGAAATAAAAAGTCTCATAACTTATGTTTCCATTATTTGTGTTTTACATTCCAGCCAAAATGAAGGTCAGGTGAGTTAATGGATGAGGAGAGATTGGAAATGCGGAGACTTAGAAGAGATCTGTGACCTTGGGTGAATGGCTTTACTTCTTTGAACTTTTTAGAGGTCTTTGCCTGTAAGATGAGGGCAAATAATAGTTCTGTGAATCTATCAGTTCCTGGCATTGGAAATGCTTGGGAAGATTTTAAAAAAACACAGCCACCATATCCATATCTATGGAGATTCTGATTCCAAAGGTATGGTTGGAGCCCAGCATTTCTTTTTAATGAATATTTTAGATAATTGTGATAACCAGCTAGGTTTGGGAAACACTGGATGAGATACTCTCTCAAGTCTTTTCGGGTCTAAAATTTTATGAGTTTGTTGGTTTGATGTTAAAGAAAATAAGTAAATATCTTAGAGACAGAGACATAGGATAGACGATTTTAATCCAGGCAGAGCTTGGAGGTATGGAGTAAAAGACAGAAAAAGACAAATGCAAACCAAAGAGGAAGAACAAATGTGGATGTGTTCCTGCAGTGGGAGTCTGGTCTACTAGGACTCAGTTTGAGGGCACTGAACAGATGGAAAGTCAGTTGGGAGAAGTGCTCAAAGAAAAGTGGGTGGAAGGCAGGGACAGCCAGAGGGAATTTTGACTAGTTATTAATTTAGAGAAAGGCTGGTCTTGGTAGACATTGAGAGCAGTTACCTGATAGGGATTCTTGTTACCATTAAACATACACTCCATGAGAGGACAGGGGAGGGGAACGAGAGAAGTATGTTCTTGTCTGAGCTGGGACTAGAGTAGTGCAATTAATTCCTGAGGTGAGTGGAATATGAATAAATTATTGAATAGCCTATTCTAAATTACAATAGCCCTTTGTGTTAACCTTTCCAGGCTCTAATTGCTTCCTTTTAAAACTTAAATTCATTGAATATTTACTTGTTATTTTCCAAGAGACTGTCAGATCCAAGAAGGCAAGGGCTCTGCTTTATGGATTTCAGTAGCTGTCCTTGGGAGGTAGTTTAGTCTAGCAGCTACATAAGGGGCTTGGAGTCAGACAGACCTAAGCATACCTGTGGACTCTGAAACATCTTGTCTCTGTGAGCAACTTACCTGTAAAATAGGTATTGTGAGAAATAAATAAAGATATGTTTGTATATGTGTACTCTGGATCTTGGCAGCTGGAATAAGGGTACTATGTCAGGTACTAAATTATTGGGTATTCAAGAAATGGTAATGACAATCATTTTTTTCACAATGATTTTCTCTTAATAGTACAGGATACATGTTAGTAGAAAGCCAAATCAAGCAATTCCAAGAGATAAACAAACATTTCTTCTTCTCTAGGGAAACTAATTGCTAAGCAAGTGGTCTTGAGGGAGTCTCTATCTTAATGGCCAGATCATTGAGGTCTGTAATCCAGAATAAAACTCTTTAGTCTTTTGTTATTCACTGGTCAGGAAAAAGCTTTGTCTCCTTCCTGGAAGCTGGAGAGGCCTTTGGGCAAATGAACAATTGGAAGTCATGTCCTTCAGTGCAGGAAGTGTTATGAGATACATTAGAGGTTCTGATCCTTTGACCTGTACTGGGAAGAGAGGGCTTTGAGCTCAGATCTGTCATCTTGTCTTCACTAGGGTCATCTTCCTCCCCAGAATGTGAAAAAGAGGCAGTAGAGTATAGCATTTATGGCTCTAAAGGGAAGGAAGGTGAGTGCCTGCCCCGATGCTGGTCACTTATGTAACATGGTGATTTCAAGTGCAAGCCATTTGAGCCATACTGCCGAAATTCACCTTCTGGCTGCAGGTGGTTTGGGGACTTTTGTCTAGTTATGTCATCTTACTTGTTTCATCTGTAAAATGAAGATAATAATATTGCTACATGGCTCTTCAAACAGAACCTCTTATAGTAACCACTCAATAAGTGTCAGCTTTAAAAAATTATTAAATGTACAGCCACTTGAGCTAAGAGATCTTGGAAAAGCATGAGCTCACCTACTTAATCTGACAGTGTGGACCCAGAGGTGGAAGCTCTGAGCAGAGCCACTGTGGCTTCTGCATCTCAGGATTCCCTTCAGGGAAGAGGTCCAGGTTTTACCAAGTGAAGCAGAGACAGGAGAGGGAAAGATATAGAAAAGGGACTGACCTAAGGATCTAAAAGACATTTGGATTATTTTTGGTACCCCTTTCTTCAGCAGATCCAGCTCTCATTCTGCAGTTACAGTTGAGTCTCATATTACACTTTGGGAGTTATAATCACTCGGACTGTGAAGATAGACCCACAGTGAGTGGTAAAAACCTTCCTACCAAAGTTCAAATCTCTCTCCTTGGATTCCTTTTCTAAGAATGGGAGATAGAGACTAAGAATGTGGTGGTGATGTTTCTTTCTAAGTGGTCCTCTTCTCTTGTCCCCTCCGACTCTCCTGCCTGACCAAAAAGAATGGCAGCCAAAAACTCTTCTGTGACAGAGTTTATCCTCGAAGGCTTAACCCACCAGCCGGGACTGCGGATCCCCCTCTTCTTCCTGTTTCTGGGTTTCTACACGGTCACCGTGGTGGGGAACCTGGGCTTGATAACCCTGATTGGGCTGAACTCTCACCTGCACACTCCCATGTACTTCTTCCTTTTTAACCTCTCTTTAATAGATTTCTGTTTCTCCACTACCATCACTCCCAAAATGCTGATGAGTTTTGTCTCAAGGAAGAACATCATTTCCTTCACAGGGTGTATGACTCAGCTCTTCTTCTTCTGCTTCTTTGTCGTCTCTGAGTCCTTCATCCTGTCAGCGATGGCGTATGACCGCTACGTGGCCATCTGTAACCCACTGTTGTACACAGTCACCATGTCTTGCCAGGTGTGTTTGCTCCTTTTGTTGGGTGCCTATGGGATGGGGTTTGCTGGGGCCATGGCCCACACAGGAAGCATAATGAACCTGACCTTCTGTGCTGACAACCTTGTCAATCATTTCATGTGTGACATCCTTCCTCTCCTTGAGCTCTCCTGCAACAGCTCTTACATGAATGAGCTGGTGGTCTTTATTGTGGTGGCTGTTGACGTTGGAATGCCCATTGTCACTGTCTTTATTTCTTATGCCCTCATCCTCTCCAGCATTCTACACAACAGTTCTACAGAAGGCAGGTCCAAAGCCTTTAGTACTTGCAGTTCCCACATAATTGTAGTTTCTCTTTTCTTTGGTTCTGGTGCTTTCATGTATCTCAAACCCCTTTCCATCCTGCCCCTCGAGCAAGGGAAAGTGTCCTCCCTGTTCTATACCATAATAGTCCCCGTGTTAAACCCATTAATCTATAGCTTGAGGAACAAGGATGTCAAAGTTGCCCTGAGGAGAACTTTGGGCAGAAAAATCTTTTCTTAAGAAAGGATTAGTATTGGAGGAAGGAGATACAATGCTTTGCTTATTAGTGTGTGTTTTCAGTGAGATTCAAGTTCCATTTTTTTCCTGTCTTGTACAGAAAAAGAATTTTAAATCTTTACATTTGGATGAGTGTTAAGTGCAGACATATTCTCCCTGTCTCTGCTTCACCTAGTTATTCCAGGATTTCTTCATTTTATGCAAATTTTTCTATAATCATAGACCATTTAATCGTGAATTGGCCTTACACATTATTTAATCTAGTCTCTTCAATTAACATGTGTTGGAGACTCAGAAATACATATGTTGCTCAAGGACACACAACTACTTGGTGCCACAACTGGGAATGGAATCCAGGTCCTTGAATTCCAGGCTGCTTTTTTTTTCTTTATGTCATTTTTTCATGCTTCATTGCTGCCCTTGCAGATATCCTTTTAAAAGTAAGAAAACTTAACACATTAAAACCTAATTCTATTCATAGTAATTTAATGTGACCTCTCAATAAATAATTTTTAAATATTTCATTTTTTTTCAAGAGGATAGAAGATGAAACATTTTCTTAAGTTGGTCTTCACCAAATGAGAAGAGAATTGTGTCAAGTTTGTAGAATGTGACTGACATTGAGTTAAGATTGAGGTTGTGTGGAACCCTAGGAACCCAGTCTAGGGAATTAGGACTTCCATAGGATTAAGGGTTATAAAGATGCTGAGTAGAAATCATACATTCATTTGAAAACTTAAAGAATCAGAATGTAGAGCTTTTTCAAGGGTTAGTTTGGGTGTTTGAGCTGTGATGGAGAAATATGTGGCTTAGGATAATCAACTAAGGGTCTGGAAGTTTTCGAGGCGAAGTAAATAATGTTGAGAATCTAGTTAGTTATTAAAACAGCACTAAGCAGCTGATTATTAAAAGAGGCAATTTCCATTGAATTTTAAGGTACTGCAGACTGCACTCATATAAACATATGTGGTAAAAGATAATTCATCCAAGACTGGGTTGTAAACCCACAACATATAATGATAGTTATAGAACACGCCAGATCAATACACTTTGATCTAAATAATTTATTAGTAGCAAAGGAAGGTTCTTTGGATTAGCATTAACCATGTTAAGTGCTGGGGAGACACTTTGATTTCTGAGCTTTTCCTTGGGAATATTCTTTGGGAAAAAGGGAAGTTTAGATGAGGGTGTAGTTTTGTTCTTTGGTATGACACGAAGGGCTTGAAGTCATAAGACTGAGAGTGTGTGTGTGTGTACGTGTGTGTGTGTGTGTGGTGGGAAAGATTTTTCTTTAGTCAGCGTGGAATAGGAAAGAGAAGTGAGTTCAGGAGACTTGTGGGTGGGCGTCTGGTGGGTGAGGTGAATAGGCTATTTGAGGTAGAGAGCAGATGAAAACAGCGATTCGTGAGGCACATGATGAAGTTGGTTTTGTATCCTGGCTCAGTTGCTTAGTAATTTTGTGACTTTGGGCAAATTACTTAATGTCTCTAAATATTAATTTTTTTATTTTTGAAAGTGATGTAATGATTCTGACTTCGTGGGGTCTTTGAAGAATTAAATGCAGGGCACTTACTACATTTTAGTTATCACCCTGCAATAATTCTTTTATGTAATTATCAGCACTTCCTTGAGTTTTTCCATGAGCTGAGACAAGTCACTTCATCTTCCTGGAACTCTGCTTAGTCATGAGAAAAATGAACTCTAAGTATCATTTAAAAAGTCATATATTTTGACTAAGTAATATTTGCGTATGGTACAGCACTAAACAATATAAATGGGGGTTATACAGTGAAAATATGTCTTCCTCCTATCTTATCATTCCATTCCTAAAATCTCCTTCCTAAAAACAACAGTTGTTGCTGATTTCCTATGAATCTTCTCATATTCGAGCATATCTATCTATGTATCTTTCTATCTATGCATGTATCTGTGTATGTATGTACATATCTATCTAATTTATCTAATCTATCTGCCTATCTATTCATCCACCTATCTTGTTTTAAAGTTGTATAAAAAGGCATTTTCCAAAGGAAACAGCCTAGAAGAGGATGGGATAAGAGAACAATGCAGGGGTAAAAAGAAGAGGAGCCAATCACAGAAGAGGTCTGGGAAGGGATGCAGCTGAGGAGGGAGAGAAAGAACAGAGGCACACTTGGCCCTGGATGCATCACTGTGGACCCCAGCCCTGGAGCCACAGGGTAACATTTTGGTTCCCTGATCTTCTGTCCTCATCTCGTGGTTGCACCACTCCCATCACTATTTGGTTGATATTGTGGTGAGGTCAGAGCCTCTGATAGTTAAGAATATCAGGATGGCAAGTATTTTTAATCCGTCACAAAGTTCTATACGTGCTTATCTATTTTAACTAATGAGGCACATGGTTTTTCTTTTTCTGATTCTTGGAGCAACTCATATATTATTGTTGAAAATTTGGAATGTGAAATATGTGTGAAGAAAATGATTACCTATATCTCAATGTGGTAGTTTGAGTTATTGGTCAAAATTCGTCATTCATCTAGTAGTATTATATATCCATTCCCTTGCCATGGTCTCACAGAAGTAGGGTATATTTTTCCTTGCCTATGACTGTTGGCTTGGCCAGGTGAACTATTTTGGCTAATAGGATATTAGTAGATGAGATGTTAGCAGGAGCTTGGAATATCTTTGCATGGTATTTGCCCTCTTCGGCTTCTGCCATTGCCTTGAGAAGAGTCCCTCCTGGGTAAATGCTGCCGCTCCCAACTAATTCTCAATATGAACACACGAGGAGCAGTGTTCACTGTGCAGAGCAAGCAGTGCGGCCCAGCTGAGCCCAGACAAGACGAACTACCACAATCAATTTGTAGACATATGAGAAACAAATATTCCTTGTTGTATGCCAATGAGATTGTGTTTGGTTGTATAATAATAGCTAACTGGTCTACTCCACCATTCGGAGAACAGGAAAGGAGAATATTGTCTGGAATATGAAAGTCTCTTCCAGTGGGATCATCCTGTATGTGCTGTGTTACAAAATGTTGTTTAACTTATCATTATAATGTGATCTTTATTCCTTATCAATATTTTTTTGAATTGTAATTTTCCATGGACTTAATTAATCATGTAGCTATGTCATATTTTATTTCAGCTTTTTCCTGTTGCTAAACATTAACACTGTGTCAGTCTCCCCAACATTTAATTGATATAAATAATACCATAACTATGAGTTTTGTGTTAAAATTTTTTAAAAAATTAAGCAATCTCCTACTGAAAGAATGTGTTAAAATTTTTATCTAGATTTCTGATTATTTTCTCAGGAGAGATTCCTGTTGTGTCTTTCTTATTTTTCTATTCAAAATATTTTTCGATTTTCCCTGTGATTTCTTCTTCCTTGACCTATGTGTTGTTTAGTCATTCTTTTCTCAGATATATTTTCGCTAAGTTGACAGGTGAGCCAGAGCTTCAACCCTCTCTCTACTCTGTGTTTTGGTCACCCTAACTGGGATGACCACACCACACCTCCATGTACCCACTGCCACACCTCCATGTACCTTTATATCTTTAGCTTTTCCTTCATAGGTTTCTTCTATTCCTCTGTCATTTCTCCCCAAATGACAATAAGCTTTGTGACAGAAAAGAACATCATCACCTATGTGACATCAAACACTCAGCCTTTTCCTCTGGCTTCTTTGTCATTAGTGATTACTCCATATTTATCCCACTGGCCTTGGATCACTATGAGGCCATGACCCTGCCGGTCTCTTTCATAAGTTTCATTTCTGTAGATGGTTCATAAGTTATAGAATTTGCTGATGCTGTGGTCCATCAAGGGACATGGACCAATTCCTGTTTTGTGATCACAGTTGCATGAGCCTTAACTTGTGTAACATAGGCCCGCTTCAGGCTGCCTGAATCAGTACCTATGTCAGAAGCAGGTGGATTTGTATTCATGAGAACCAGCAGTGTACCATGCTGTGTTATCATTTTCATATTTTGTTTTCATTCTTTTCAACATTTTTCATTAACCCAGTGGTCCAAATCTTCAGCCAGATTCCATAAATCTGTTTATTTCTTTTTTTGGATTAGGGACATTCATGTACCTCAGATCTCCAGAAGCTATGGGTTAGTGTAAATTACAGTGTCCTTCACCAAGATGGGGCCAGTGATGAACGGTCTGTTCAACACCTTGAGGAACAAGACTATCTAACTTGCTGCAATGAAACCTTTGTCATTTTCTTCTTGACTTTGAGTGGTGATGGTTACTAGGACTCTTTTTGAATGCTTTCCAAAGAGTATTTGTCCTCTTAATGTTTTCCTTGTAGTGTAGGTCATATTTAACCTTTCTACCAATGGCTAGAATCATACACAGTCTTGGGATAGTCCAATTATGTTACACTGGCAACGGAATATCACATACACCACCACAGCTGGTTGCTGGAAGACACTGTCTTTGTCTTTGCTTTGTGAACTCTCTATGACCCTGGTTTCTTCATAATATTTGTTTTGGAAGCCAAGACCTATGCAGAGCATCTGATTGGCTGAGATGGGGTGGTGTGGTTGGGCTGTGGATTCCAGGAGTCTGAGAGCTAGTGTCTGGTCTTACTAGTGGGAAGATTTCAACTAAGATTCACACAAGGGCAGATTCCCCAGTGAGAACAGGGTTCTGATACTGAGAAGCCAAATCTCTCTTGATCTTAGCCAAAAGGCAGAGAAGCAATGAGAAGCCAGATAGTGACTGCACTTCCTTATCCTTCGGGTATCTGAATTTCACTTCTTCAGAGAGGCTGTACCTTACCTTAGAAAGTCAGTTCAGTTTCCCCAGTTAATGAGTCCGTAAGACCCTCAACTTACCTTTGGAGCACTTAACCCACTTCTAATTAGTTATAAATAATGACATCTAGGACTTCCTTCTAATAGATGTTTGGCTTGGGGTTTTACATGTCATGTAGAGGTAATGTAAATTCCAGGTCTATGCACCTGTGTATGCTGGTGTGGTAAAGAATTCTTAAAGCAGAGGCTTTTCCTTTCTCTCTGTTTTCCCTTTCCATCCAGAGTCAAGGTTGAGACCAGCCTGTATCCTCACCATCTCCCTGAAGGGACACTTCTTTTCTGGCTCATTCACTCAGGCTTTACATACTTTTGGCGTTGGTTTATGAGGGTTGTGGGGAGGTAAGGTGGCCTCTAATTCTACATCCATCCTGCCTGGGCTCCAGGCTTCATCTCTCGCCCCTCATGTGTCAAAACCCAGGCTGCAGGCCTCCTACGACTGGCAGACACTTCCAAGGGAAACAGTGGCTCCAGCCTTATCTATACTGTTAGATGCTGTGCTTCTGTCTTTATTTTTTACTTCTAAAATCTCTTATTTTTAGACCAGCTAAGCCAATTGGTGGGTTAGTATGTTTGTTATTAACATTTTCATTCAGCATTTTTCTCTGTTTTAGAGGGAGGACATTTTTTTTTTTCCTGAACATTCAAACTGCTAAGTGGTTAGAAATAACAATTCATAAAATTAATAAATAGACTTGTTTTTTGTTTTAATAAGCACAAAATAATTCCTTCTCTCTTATGCTTTCTTTGGCTATTTCTTGGTATTGGGTGAAACTCATGGGAGAAAAATAATGGGGAAAAAGGTCACATTTTCTAAAATAAAGTCAGAAATCAATTAAAATTTAGAGCTGGAAGTTGGCTTACAGACTACAGAGTTTTTGGGTCACTGGACCCAATCATCTCTCCTATGACAGTTTTACCCAGATTAGAGAAATATCAGTTTTACAGATTAAAGAATGTTATGTGGTGGTTGCTCTTTCACTCTGCTTAGTGAGGTAGCCTCTATTTGCTGTAATGTGGGAAGCCAGAGGGTGCCGTGTTTTATCAGCCTGGCTCATCCTGGTTGCAGTGGCCAAGGCGAACCCACAGGAGCTGTCTGTGTAGGCAGTCTGCTTGGAGCGGATGTTGCAAGAGTAGATGCTGGGACAGGAATGTGGCTTTGACGCAGGCCCGAGCTAGCACAGAGGAGGAAGTGGAGGAGCTTGGAGAGCCACCACCTAGGAGTCGCTAGAGGCCACTTTTTTATCTGTGTATCTACTCTTCCAGTTTTTTTCCCTGCCTCCTGCCATGCTCCTGTTTTCTGGGTTGGTACCTGCTGGGCCACAGTAGTGCAGAGTGTGGCAGGGGACAGCACCTGCTGTTTGCCCCAGTTCAGCCAAGTGTTCTGACTCAGGCTTCTGGTCTTACAGCTCTTGTCTCCCAAAGATTCCTCTTGACTCCCAGGCAAGTCAGCAACGGGCTGTTTTTGTTGCACCAGAGTGCCTTCCTAGGACAGCTGTCACTTGTAGAAGAGTTTCTGCCTAGATTTCTGAAACAGAGGAGGGTGGGGGCATGACGCTACAAAGAGGAAAGGAGTCTTGAGTGAGAGCAACCCTTGTCTCCATCTTATGGCTGAAGGACGAGGCAGTGGGGAGACTGGGGAAATGCTCCTGGGAAGTGCCTTCAGTCTACAGCACAGGCAGGGGAGAGAATCAGAAATCCTAATTCTCGCATGCCCCACGTTCTTTTTAATAGGGGTTGTGGAATTGCTGAGTTGGAACCTAAAAAGACAGATATGTGGGTTTGCTTATGTTTGCGTGTCTTGAGTTTGTAGAGAGAAACACAGGGAAGTGGAGAAAGAAGGGAAAGGAAGTGACGATTATTCACCACCTATCCTGTGGCAGGCATGATGTCACTTAGGTGATGCAATCAGTCTCCCGGGAGGAGGGGAGTCCAGAGGTCTTGGATACGTGACTTGCCAAAGCATGGCCTGATTCAGACCTTTAGAGGCCACCCACTGGAAATTCAAACTAAAAAAGTTTTTATTTAACTTACATATTTGCAGGAATTAAAGTAGCTTCTCTTTAGAGTTTTGCTGTTGTGGTTGCTGTTTTCATTGTAAAATTTTAGAAACGCTTTTCAAAGACACTCACTGTGCTGGTGTCCTAAGCATACAGTTGATCTGCCTGTTGGGTAACTCAACCCAGCCCAGGGTTAGGAAATCTAGTCACTGAGGGATTCATACTTTGAGCTGTCTTACTCTAAAACCTACGGAAAGAGTAGTAGAAGGTGGTGAGATTCTTTCCTGCTCTGAGACAATTCACCAGATAATTCCTGGCCAAATGTCAGGGACTTCAACAGCAGGGGAAGGTTGCAGCTGCAAATGGCCATTTAGTGGTGGTGATGGGGGATATAGCTATAAACTTGACCATTTGGTTTGGTTGGGTGGTTGGGGGAGGTGGATCCAGGCCTAGCCCCTTGAGACAGGGTCACTAGTCAGGCAACAGGGCATCTGACAGCATGTTCTCTGTAGCCGTGTGAGTGAATGACATGGTCCTGCTGAGCTTGGGGTGCAGAGGTGGCTAGATGAGATCCTAGGATAGGGTGACAACATGGTAACTGCAGGAAGCCGGCTCTGAGTAGACAGTATCTGCAGCTGCAGTCTTGTATTTATTTGTGCTGGGAGCAGGGATGATTCTCTAAATAAAATGCTAGGCCCTTGTCCAAGCATCCTGGTAATTAGAGAGAGGCATAACTTGAGTGGATGTTTTCTGGAGGAGGGTCAGACTTTATCCGGGGCTGCTGCAAGCTGCATCTCTGAACAGATAAAGCCCAGTGGCTTTCTATTGTCCTTTCATTAATGAAGTATTTTCAGTGGGGTGGTATGAAGATTGAGGGCTTGAGAACATATATTCCAAGTAATTGGTGTGGAATTTGGTTAGCATTTGTTTAAGTGCATTAAAGGCCCTCATTTTGTGTTTTGAGATGAGAATGGAGCATTAAGACCCTGACAGAGATTGCTGTCCTTGTGTTTTATTCTTCCTGCCATGATGGTTTTAGATCTGAGCCCTGACTGTTTTTTTTATACCCTCTCTGCTTTTAGTGATAAAATCCTCCGCCCCAAACTTTTTGAAGCTTTTTAAAGACCAGATTAGATCCTCCTGCAAAGCTGGGAGATGCATGGCAAGGCTGAGTAGTAGAATTTCGCATGAATTTTGAAATTTATAGTTTAAAAAGCCTGAATTTTTGAAAGCTATAGTTTAAAAAAGCATGAATTTTGAAATCTATAGTTAAAAGATATGGGGTCGGGGTGCCAATTTCTCACTTGTGCCTTTGGGTAAGTCTTAACCCCAATGTTCTTATCTATAAAATGGGAATAATGTTATGAGGTCATAAGGATGTAAGATTAATTGATATTGAGTGTTAATGTGCTTTATAAATTGTAGTGTGAAGGACAAATGTTACTTTTTATTTCAGTTGTGGGCTTAGCTAGTTTGGAGGTAGGAGGAGAGGTAGAGAAACAGTGACAGGTCAAATAATAGCGGTAAGGGAGTGCATCTGTGGACCTTCTTAGCCTTGCTGAGAGGGCTCCTTTTCCTGGACTCTGCTCTGGCCATCCACTGACCACATCTTCCAAATTAGTCTGCAGAACCAAAGGGAAAGCATCTAGCTGGAGCCTATGCTCCCATTTCTAAGACATTGAGACAAACTGAAAGTGACAAGGAAGCCTTTATTCACTTATTGCAGTTTGCTTATTGTGTAAGCAAGAGGCAAAAAGAGAAAGAAGGAGGTGCCCTCTCCCCCTGCAGAACAGCACAGCACTGGGAAGGGTCAGGTGGATCAGCCCAGACAGGGTGGGAGTGGGGAAAGGATCGGGGTCAGTGAGAGGGGGAAGTTCTCTGTGTGGAAAAGTCTGAGTACTAAAGAAAAGTGTCTTCAAGTCTCTCCTGTGGCAGACACACTTGAGCAGTGTCTCAGCAGAGGTCCCCCTTCCCTCACTCCCTCTATCGAGGAGGTCTCTGAATGGAAGCACCTAAGGTAGGAATGCAGATATACATAAGGTTGTGGGCCAGGGGGGTAGGGGCTGGGAGAGGGTGTGAGTCCTTGACTGCAAATCTCTTGGAGACTGCAATGCATTGGCTGTGCACCAAGTCTGGTGAGGGGAGGGCAGATTTTCCTCACGAGGCCTGCCACACAAAGAAATTGCTTGTGTGTCTTGGTAATTCCTACAGTCAGGCCTGAAAGATCATACATAGATCTAGTTTGGGGCTAGACTCCTCATCTTCCAGGGTCTGTGTAAGCTTCTTTCCTGGCTCTAACCCTAACCCTAACCCTAATGCTAACCCTAACCCAGCTGGCAGTGGGAAGTGGAGGAGGGAAGCTTTGGGCCATGGGCAGGCACTTGGGAGCCAGGGCAGCTTTCCCTGGCCACCTTCTGACATGGAACTTTGAAGATTCTTAGGACTCTAATTTGAATCTGGCTTTGTAGGGCTATAAAGGTAGCTTGTCAAAGCAAGAGGTAGAAACATATTTTATTTAATACTTTATTAGATTTATTTTTTATTTTTAAATTTTTAATTGTGGTAAAAACACAATGGAAAATATACCATTTTGACCATTTTTAAGTGTGATTCTGTTTTTCTTTTGGTTCCATATGAATTTCAGGATTTTTTTCCACTTCTATAAAAAAAATCCTACTGGGATTTTGGTAGAGATTGTATTGAATTTGTAGATAACTTTGGGTGGTATGGACACTTTAACACTATTAAAATTTCCAATCCATAAACATGGATGTCTTTCCATTTATTTGTGTCTTCTTTAACTTCATTTATCAATATTTTAGTTTTCAATGTGCAAGTCTTTCACTTTCTCACTTAAGTTTATTCCTAAGTATTTTATTATTTTTGATACTATTGTTAGTGGGATTGCTTTCTTAATTTCCTTTTTAGATAGGCCACTGTTAGTGCGTAGAAATGCTAATGTTTGTTGATTTTGTATCCTGCAACTTTACTAAATTTTTTTATTAGCTCTAACAGTTTTTTGTGTGTGGAGTTTTAGGGTTTTCCAAATATAAGATCATATCATCTGCAAACTAAGATAATTTTATTACTTTCTGATTTGGATGATGTTTATTTCTTTTTGTTGCCTAATTGCTCAAGTTAGCAATTCCAATACTATGGTGAATAGAAGTGGTGAGGGTGGGCATTCTTGCCTTGTACCAGACCTTAGAGAGAAACCTTTCCATTTTTCACCATTATGATGTTTCCTATGGGCTTGCCTTTTACGGTTTTATTATGTTGAGATACATTCCTTCTATACTTAGTTTATTGGGTGTTTTTATTATGAAAAGGTGTTGAATTTTGTTGAATGATTTTTTGGATCCATTGAGATGACTGTGTGATTTTTCTTTTTTTTTTGAGATGGAGTGTCACCCAGGCTGGAGTACAGTGGTGCGATCTCAGCTTACTGCAACTTCAGCCACCTGTGTTCAAACGATTCTCCTGCCTCAGCCTCCCAAGTAGCTGGGATTTTAGGCACGTGCCACTACATCCGGCTAATTTTTGTATTTTTAGTAGAGATGGAGTTTTACCATGTTGCCTATGCTGGTCTTGAACTTCTGACCTCAAGTGATCTTCCTGCCTCGGCCTCCCAAAGTGCTGGGATTAAAGGCGTGAGCCACCACACCCGGCCGATTATCCTTCATTCTTTTAATATGATGTGTTATATTCATTGATTTGTTTATACTGAACTATTCTTGCATCCCTGGGATAAATCCCACTTGATAATGGTATATGATCCTTTAAATGCACTGTTGAATTTTGTTTGCTAGTGTTTTGTTGAGGATGTTTTCATCTATTTTCATCAGAGATTGGTCTATAGTTTTTTTTTTTTCTTATAGTGTCTTTGTCTGGCTTCGGTATTAGGGTAATAGTTCCTTCATAAAATGGGTTGGAACTAGAAAAAAGCATATAATGCAGCTCATCCATCAAGAGCAACATCATTTGAGAGGGAAAGGGGCATTTTCCCTGATGCCCCTCTCTGCGTAGGAGATGATGTTTTTCTCTGGCACAAAGTTCACCAGCATTTTAGGGGTAATGATGGAGGAGTAGAAGAGATCCACGAGTGACAGATTGCTGAAAAAGTAGTACGTGGGAGTGTGAAGCTGAGAGTTCAGCCAAATCAGGGAGATCATGCCCAGGTTCCCCACCATGGTGACCAAGCAGATCCTGAGGAAGAGGAGAAAAAGAGGGAGCTGGAAATCTGGTTGCTTTGTTAATCCCCTGAGAATGAACTCTGTCACTGTAGAGTGATTTTTTTTTTCTTCGAGACAGAGTCTCACTCTGTCACCCAGGCTGGAGTGCAGTGGCGCAACCCTGGCTCACTGCAACCTCCGCCTCATGGGTTCAAGCAATTCTCCCACTTCAGCCTCCTGAGTAGCTAGGATTACAGGTGTGTGTCACCATGCCTGGCTAATTTTTGTATTTTTAGTAGAGATGGGGTTTCACCATGTTGGCCAGACTGGTCTGGCCTCAAGTGATCCACCCGCCTCAGCCTCCCAAAGTGTAGAGTGATTTTCTGTAGCCAAGAAACTCACTCCTTCCCCGGGTGGGAGGTCTGCAGGGATGAAAGAGAAGAGCCTAAGGAAGGCTATATATGAGGCTTTCTGGTTAGGCTAGATATAAGCATCTGCCCCTGAGTTTGTTATCTTGAATTCTTTCCTTACTTTTCCTTATTTTATCTCCTCACTCCTTCTAATGTTTTCCAGGATTCAGGCAACTTTGGAGTGTTTTGGAGATCATGAAGGTGGGAAAAAGCTCCACCTGGAGTTTTACTATCCGTATCTTCCTTAATTACCTTAGAGGCCACTACTAGTATATCTTATTTCTTGGAATTAAAGATGTATTTTATCCTGGAGATGGTATCTCCCTTGTCATCTATGCAGTTCCAAAATATTACACCCACAATGAAAACATGAGCTCATCTCATCTCAAATCCTAGTAGCCTGGGCCAACAATCACAAGTTAACTCCTATTTCTGAAAAATAGAGTTATAATATCAATTTTCAAGACTGTTTTAAAAATAAAAATCAATAATATACATGGAAATGTTTTCCAGATAATTCAGTTGCTGTACAAGTATGAGTTTTCATTAGCCATCTGGACTTTGTTCAAATTTTTTATTGAACCTGAGGTCCTAGGGTAGTTATCCTTAATTTTGCTACACGTTATGATCACCTACGGAGCCTTAAAAATAATTACATCAGGTTTCAACCTATAGGAATTCTGTCTTAATTAATTTGTGGCATTTTCTGGGCATTGAGCTCTGTGTCTCTGGGTATGCAGAGAAGTTCAGCCATAGAAGAAAGTAAAGATTTTGTTATTTGACTGTTTTGTGTATATTGAACTCGAATAACTTTGTAGCTTGAAGAATTGGGTAAATTAGGCCCGGAATACAGTTTCTCTTGAGTAAAATAAAGCACTGAGGAAAGATCTGGGATTGTTTGCTGTCTACTGTGCTCGGAGGATTCAGAAAAAGTTCAGATTGAATCAGGATTAGGAGTAGGTAGAACTAGAAAAAAGCATATAATGCAGCTCACTAACCAAGAACAAAATGATTTGAGAGGAAAGTGGGCATTTTCCCTGATGCCCCTCTCTGCATATTCTTAAATCCTGGGATTCTTAGTGATCAGCCTATCCTTAGCCACTTTCTCTCCTCACAGCAAATGTGTTCTATGGAATAATGTCAAGATCTCTTATGCTTTACCATTTCCCTGTTTCTACTCTATTGATTTCAAAATGCTATTTATAGTTTGTCTATTTTTAGAGCAAACATCACCAATGCAGAGAAGACATTCACTTGATGGTAATCATGTGTAGATGCCCTTAGAAGGGGTGTTGGTACATCTAAGTAAAAATGGCAGTTCACAGTTGATCTCAAGAAACAACTGCTGTCACTGGAGCATCTTCTTAGGATAATTTTTTTTCATTTCTCCTGTCTATCTAATGAGAAAAAAAACATAAGAAAACATAATTTATAAAAGCAGCTGGTATTTTTTTCTCGTAAGTTATTTGCTAGAGGTAGTTTGGTAGATTGTGTTGAATAATTATACAGTGGTGAATGTAAGTTCCTTGAAGGTCAATTGCCTGACATTGGCTAAAGATTCCTACATTCTAAACAAGAAGGGTCATTAGATGAAATAACATTAAGCTATTTTGTTCCTTAGATTTTATGATTTATGGGTAAGCAAAAAAAAATTCCATGTCAGTGAAAATAATATTTTTTGAATTTGAGTAATTTTTCAACATAGTGATTCAGCATAGTTAAAATTTAGTGAGTGAATTTTCACTGCCATCCATGAAAGATAAACTCCTACTGAAATTGTCTTTGGGCCATAAACAACTAGATAATCAGGCAAAATAAATGAAACACAACTTTTCTGATGTTTGACAACAGACAATATCAAACTGATTTCTGAAAGGAGGGAAAGAAAAAAAACATGAGCCCTCTGATTGTTTGGCTTTCTTGACTATAGGTATTTTTCATGCCGCAATCTAGAGTGGTCAAAAGAAAGAGATCAGTGATGTCTAAGTTGAAAAATCAGAAGTCAGTATTTGGAAAGATGTATGTGGCTAGATGATGCAGGGCAGAATACCCAAGAATGGGGGAGCTATACATAGAAAATCAGAGATCTGCAGAGGAACGTCTATTTCTTGATCTGCATATGTGTGGGATAAAACTTGATCTGCATATGTGTGGGATAAAATTTCAGAGTGAAGGACTACATGAAACGAGTGGTCAAAAAACTTCAGAAACTTATAAAAAGCTTGAAATAGTCTGATTTCCTTCAAGCCACTGTGTAGACATCTCATAATACATACAGCATTAGGTAGAGACTTTAAAAGAGTGAAACAGCTTTGAATCTTCCTAACAAAGCTTTAAAACAAGACTTGGGATAGTCAAACTTATACGTAAATAACTTAACTATGTGCCAGAAAAATATCTGATCATCTTCAAAAGAATACAACAAAATCTTCCATTTGATAATGTAAAAATCACAATTTCTGGCATCCAATAAAATGTAACCAGTAAAGGAAGCAGGAAAATATAAGCATAACCAGAAGAAAGAGCAATCAATAGAAATAGACCCAGAAATGACAGCAATGATGAAATTAATAGGTAGAGACCTTAAAAATGTTATTACATTTATTAAAAACATGCTCAAGAATGAAAAGGAGAACATTAACTCAATGCAGGGAAAAATGAAAAGTATAATGAAGACCTAAGCTGAAGTACTAGAGATGAAAATACAATATCTGGGCTGGGTGCAGTGGCTGATGCCTGTAATCCCAGCACTTTGGGAGGCCAAGGCAGGTGGATCACCTGAGGTTGGGAGTTCGAGGCCAGCCTGACCAACATGGAGAAACCCCATCTCTATTAAAAATACAAAATTAGCCGAGCATGATGGCTCATGCCTGTAATCCCAGCTACTTGGGAGGCTGAGGCAGGAGAATCACTTGAACCTGGGAGGCGGAGGCTGCAGTGAGCTGAGATCACGCCATCATACTCCAGCCTGGGCAACAAGAGCAAAACTGCATCTCAAGAAAAAAAAAAAAAAGAAAATACAATATTTGAAATAAAGTATACACTGAATAAGGTTAATAGAAGATTAGACACTGAAGGAAAGAAAGATCCACAAACTTGAAAGTATAACAATAGAAATAATCCAAAATAAGGAACATTTTGGATAGTAAAAGGACTAAAAAAGTATAGAAACTCATTAACTTTGGAACCATACTAAATAATATAACATAGTTTAATTGGACAATCCACAGAATGGGAAAAAATATTTGCAAACTACCCATCTGACAAGGGATTAATAATCAGAATATGTAAGGAGATAAAACAACTCTATAAGAAAAATCTAATAATCTGATCAAAAATGGGCAAAAGATTTGAATAGACATTTCTCAAAAGAAGACATACAACTGGCATACAGGTATATGAAAAGGTGCTCAAAATCATTAATCATCACAGAAAGGCAAATCAAAATTACAATCAGATATCATCTCACCACAGTTAAAATGGCTTATATGCAAATTACAGGCAATAACGAATTCTGGTGAGGATGTGGAAAAAAGGGAACCCTTGCACAATGTTGGTGGGAATGAAAATTAGTACAATCACTATGGAGATTCCTCAAAAAATTAGAAATAAAGCTATCACATGATCCATCAATCAATGAAAAGAGAGGAAATCAGTATCTCGAAAAGGTATCTGCAATCCCATGCTTGTTGCAGCACTGTTCACAGTAGTGAAGATTTGAAAGCAATCTAATTGTCCATAAACAGATGAATGAATAAAGAAAATGTGGTATGTATACACAATGGAGTACTATTTAGCCATAAAAAAGAATGAGATCCTGTCACTTGCAACAACATGGATGGAACTGGAGGTCATTATGTTAAATGAAATAAGCCAAGCACAGAAAGACAAACATCAATCACATGGTCTCACTTATTTGTGGGATCTAAAAATCAAAACAGTTGAATTCATGGACATAGAGAGTAGAAGGATGGTTACCAGAGTCTGGGAAGGTAGTTAGGGGGAAAAGGAGGAGATGGAGATGGCTAATGGATACAAAAAAAAAAAAAAAAATAGGAAGGATGAATAAGACCTACTATTTGATAGCACAACAGGGCGAATATAGTCAGTAATAATTTAGCTGTACTTTTAAAAATAACTCAAAGAATGCAGTTGTTTTGTTTGTAACTCAAAAGATAAATGCTTGAGGGAATAGATGCCCCATTCTTTATGATATGCTTATTTCACATTGTATGTCTATATGAAGCCATCTCATATACCCCATAAATATATACACCTACTATGTACCTACAAAAATTGAAAATAAAAATAAATTTATAAAAGGAAAACAAACAAAAATAATACAAGTTCTAAAGGAATACATAGAAGGAAAAAAAAGCTTTTACAACCTTGGGCTAGGCAAATAATTTTAGACAGAACAAAAAACATCACTAACCACAATATAAATGGGACTTCATAAAAATTTAAAACTCTATTCCTTGCAAATACTACTAAGAAAATGAAAAACAGGCCACTAACTGAGATTAAGTATTTTCAAAATATATTTGACAAAGGACTTATATCTAGATGCAATAATAAGAAAACATAATAGCCAAGTAAGAAATATATAAATAGCCAAATTGGTCTATAAGAACATGAAAATAGGATTAATATCACTAATAGTGAGAGAAATGTAAATAAAATTGTGACACCATTTCATACCCAATAGAATGGCTAAATTAAAAATACTGACAATACCAAGTATTGGTGAGCACCTGAAACTCTCAGTTATTGCTTGTAGGAGTATAAAATGGCACAACCACTTTGGAAAACATTTTGGCAGATTTTTACATAATTAAAAGTACACATTCTAGCTCACCTAGCAATTCCACTGCTAAGATATTTATCCAAGTGACATGGAAGCATATGTCCACCAAATGACTTACATATGGATATTTGAGAAGCTTTTATTTACATTAGTCCCAAATTGGAAACGATCCAAATTTCTCTCAATGTGCAAAGCCGTAAACAAATTGTGGTCTATTAATATGAATGATTATTATTCAACAATAAAAGGGATGAACTATTGATACACCCAATAACATGAATGAATCAAAAATGTTTATGCTGAGTGAAAGGAACTTGACAAAAAAGTGTATATGCTGAATGATAACATTTTTACAAAATTTGATAACAGGCAAAAACAATGCATCGTGACTGAAATCAGGCAATAGTTGGCTCAGACCAAGCTTGAAGGTCATTTATTATACCAGGGAACTTTTTATGGCAATGAAAATGACATATATCTTGATTGAGTGGTGGTTGCATGAATATATACATTTGTCAAAAATTACTGAATTGTATACATCAATTGAGTTTATTTTACTTCAGTTATACCTCAATAAAGTATTTATTTTATTTTTATTAATTACTTTTAAACCTTATGGTTGATGTATAATAATTGTATATATTTATGGCATACAGCATGATGTTTCAATGCATGTATACATTTTATAATGATCAAATCAGGCTAATTACCATATTAATAGCTTTAAACATTTATCATTTCTTTGTGGTGATAACATCCCAAATCTTTTCTTCTAGCTATCTTGAAATATACATTACATTGTTATTTGCTACAGTCACCTTACATTTTTAGCTTCCACATTTGAGTGAGAATATGCAGTATTTTGTCTTTCTGTGCCTGGCTTATTTCACTTAACATAATGTCTTCCAGCTTCATCCATGTTGCTGCAAAAGATAAGATTTTATTCTGTTTTATGGCTGAATAGTATTCCATTGTGTATATATACCATATTTTCTTTATCCATTCTTTATTAGATGGGCATTTAGTTTGATTCCATATCTTGACTATTGTGAATAGTGCTACAATAAACATGGAAGTGCAGACATGTCTTTAATATACTGATTTCATTTCCTTTGGATATTTGCTCAGTAATGGGATTGCTAGATCATATGGTAGTTCTATTTTAACATTTTTGAGGAATCTCCAAACTGTTTTCCATAATGGCTGTATAACAAAGTAGATTTAAATATTCCTATAATGTGTATAAATGGGTAAGGTCAAGAAATATAAAAATAAATTCCTAAAGCCTAACATATAATCGAAGAAGTATGAATTAAAACAATGTGATGGCATTTTTAGCATGTATTGGATGCATTAGGAAATTGTTAGAAAAGACATGGAGAAAAAGACATGCTCAGACATTGCTAGTAGGAGTGTTATTGCAAAAGTCTTTCTTGAGAACATTTCCGCAATATTCTTAAACAGCATATTTTTAGACTTAGCAATTTGACTTCTAGGAATTCATCCTCAGAAAATAAATGGTTAGGTTTCCAAAAATGCATATTCATCTCTGCTGTGTTTATCATAGTGAAAACTGGACATAATAAAATGTCAAACAAAGAATTGACATACGAAATGATAGTACTCCCATGGAAGGGATATCATAAAGCTATTAAAAATAATGTTTATTTATTGACATAAGAAGATGCCGATGATATACAGTTTAAAAATATTTCAAGATCATATGTACAATATAATCTAACATCAAACATAATGCACCTAAATCTTAACAGTGGTTATTTATGGGTGGTGGAAATATGAATAATTTTTATTTCCTGCTCTATTGTAAAGTACTATGTATAAAATACTATGTATTTTATAATTTTTCTAATGCATATGTAGAGTACTTGTAAAAAATAAGTTGTTAAAAGGGATAACAAAGTTTTGCAAATTGCTCATTGTTGAATTGGTTTTTGGTAAATTGTCCTGTTGGTAAATTAAATTTCAGTGAACTAATTTTCAGGGAACTGGCCTGATTCTTTTAAAAGTTAGAATCAAATTGACTTTATTATTGATGTAGGTGATTCAGCAGCTGGGAAAATGGTGTTGGTTATTAAGATGGGAAATATAGGGGAAGGAGAAGTTTTTTGAGGAAAGATTGTGATACCGATTTTTTAATGTGTTGAATTTTAGGTGTCGAGTGTTCAGCTGTGGACAGACATACAGATCTGGAAGTCATCAGCAGAGGGTAATATGAGACAGGAGAGTAGACAATATTTTGGAGTGCATAAGTAGAAAGCCGAGAGAAGAAGACTGAGGCTAGAACCCTGAGGAATATCCAACGTTTGCCCTTGAAGGAGACTGAGAAGTAGCCAGAAGTTGGAGGAAGATCGGAAGGATGATGTGTCTTCAAAGAAGGAAAATGAGTGTTTCAAGGAGTTAGCTGTCCCCTGTGTCAAGTAAAAAGAGACTGAAAAATGTTCATCAAATTTAACAACTGCTGGTTTGATCTATTCAAGAATGTTGTGGCATATATAAGGCAGGTGTTTTGTTTTTTGTTTTTTTGTTTTTTTTCCTGTGAGCACACCTTTATTTATTTTCAAGTTAGAGTCCTCAGAATAACCTTGGTGGAAACTCATAATTGTCAAAACGTGAGATCACAGCTCAAAAAATCAATTTAAAACTTCAAATTTGAATTGATTTTTTGCCTAGTAAGGGAGGGGTCTTGTCCAGCAAAGCAAACCATTGACCCTACAGGGATTTTTGAAGAAGTTTGTTGTGTTAGTGAGAGAAGTGGGAGTGGAATTATCTCAGCCTTATTTTGGATGTTGTAGTTTTCATACCTAGATGTTCCATTGGCTCTTTCTCGTGTCTTCTCTCTGTTCACGTTTTCCTTTAACTTCCTGGGAATAGTTATAACAGTCTTACATTTTTTTTTTTTTTTTGAGACAGTCTAGCTCTGTTGCCAGGCTGGAGTGCAGTGGCACGATCTTGGCTCACCGCAACCTCTGTCTCCTGGGCCCAAGCGATTCCCCTCCCTCAGCCTCCCGAGTAGCTGGGACCACAAGTGCGCACCACCACACCTGGCTAATTTTTTGGATTTTAGCAGAGATGGGGTTTCACCATGTTGGCCAGGATGGTCTCGATCTCCTGACCTTGTGACCCGCCCGCCTTGGCCTCCCAAAGTGCTGGGGTTACAGGCTGGAGTGCAGTGGTGCAATCTGGGCCCACTGAAACCTCTGCCTCATGGGCTCAAGCGATCCTTCTACCTCAGCCTCCTGAGTAGCTGGGACTATATAGGGGCGTGCCACCATGTCCAGCTAATTTTTGTAGTTTTTGTAGAGACAGAGTCTCACCACGTTGCCCAGGCTGGTTGTAACCTCCTGAGCTCAAGTGATCGCCTGCGTTGGCCTCCCAAAGTGCTGGGATTACAGGCATGAGACACTGTGTCCAGCCCAACAGTTGTTTTAAAGCCCTCTTTCACGAATATCATTTCTATCATTTTAAAAATTTCTTTTTATAAACCAATTTTTCTTTTGGGTTATGGGCCACATTTTCCTGCTTCTTGGTTGGTCTAGTAATTCTTTCTTGAATAAAATAAAATAGAGACAAGGTCTCACTATGTTGCCCAGGCTGGTCTCAAACTCTTGGGCTCAAGCAATCTATAAGGCAGGTTTTAATTTTCCTTTTATAGAGGAGGAATTTCTAGGCAAGGACATCTTAGTGACTTCTCCAAGACTGCATGACCAGAGTCAGATCTTTAGACTCCTAATCCTAGCATCTGTCTAGGATGCTACATTGCCTCTTGATTTCTGTTAATCACCAGAATAAAGTTCCCGAGAGAAAGCTTTGCAAAATATTGGAATGCATCACTGGGAGAGTGTGTGGCTTTTCTTTTCAGAAGTCTTTAGAAATTGTAGACAGTCTCTTCAATCCTGCAATTAGGACTAGAGAGGAGTCTATCCAACAAGAAAACGTTGTTACCTTGCTGTCTTTATAAAACCGCTTAGTTTCTTTGCACATAAAAGACATTCAATTTAATTTTATTATTAGTCAATTAAGATGTCTCTGTTATGCTTAGAATAATTTCCCTGCTTCTACTCATCAAACCACGTACTTCACTTCCAGTAAATTGCTTGAAGGTTTTTTATAGGTTTGTCCTGATTAACCCCACCATATTGTACTTTCTAGCACAGTCTTGATTTCTTTTGTACTCTTTACACTCCTTGTAAATGATAGATTTTACAGTATCTTTGCATAAATTAGCACTTTTCCAGAATTTAAGTCCCCTAGGAAAGAGAATTCAGTTTTGAGAAGTTTTAAGTTTCTTGGCAGCTCTCTAGCTAAAGCCTTCGGAGCAATTTCTGCCATTTAGCTACTTTCTTTTGCCAGCACCTACAAGAAAGGGGGAGATGTCTTCTACAAACACTTTGACCTTGACAGACAGAAATCTTCTGGCATCATTGTCATTTCAGTGTCAATGAATGTCAGTATCAATGTTAACACAGTGAAGCCTTCTAACTTAGTTTCAGTAAATTTAATTATGTGTAGCTCATATTACTTTTTTCATGAGAATAAAATGTGGCAAATTATTTCAGGTAGTTAAGAAAATCCCCAGAATTATGTTTTTGTAATATGGATTTTTATTGCATTATATTTACATGCAAGTTTATTACATTCATCATTTTTTGAAGATTATCTATAAAGTATTCGTCATCTGATAAATAATGATTATGTTAGTGTACCCCCGAAGCTATAGGATTTAAAATTTTCCTTGAAGAAGTATTTAATCTAGTTGGGCCTTATGGAATATAGTCTTGAAATAATCAATGAATAGTATAAAATTTTATTAGACTAAGCACAGTAAGAATGGTACGGAAAAATGAGTGAATAGAAAGGCGAGAGAATGACTTAGTTTAAGCTTATTTTTCAGTTTTTCTTCCCATGAAACTCTTGGTAACATATATTCCTCACTCTTGAAATTCTCTCCACCTTTGGCTTCTGTGACGTTTTATAAATTCCACTAATATTGACTAAATGAATATTCATTGGGGCACAATGTAATTCTCACAAACATCTGCAAATTTGATATTGTTATCCCTATTTTTTTTTAGATAGGGTCGCTGAGTCTTAACTGGGTTAAGTAACTTATTCAAGTTCACCTGGGAAATGAGCAACACAGTTGGGGTTTAATTCCAGATATTTTTCTTCTCAAATGCTTGCTCTCAGTTGCTACATTTGCTTTTTTATTTTTTGACATTTCCTTTTGTCAATGTCCTTCTTTCATTACCTATTTGTTGGCGTTTTTGAAAGAGTCAATCCTTGTCCCGATTATTCTGTCTTTAAACACTCTTCCTTGTGGCTATTTCCCCATTTTTCCATGACCACTTCTGCTCAGATGATTCCTCTATTTGTATCTGATCCCTTTACCCAAGTTCTGATTTCCAGTTTTCTACTTATTTCTGATCCTTGTCATTTGGAGGTCCTGTTAATATTTCACATTTTTGTCTAAAACTCAGCTCTTTACCCTTCTCCCTCCTTATTTCTCCATTCTTGTCATTCTGCTCCTGTTTTCCTGGGCTTGAAAATGCAATCAAACTTGATGTATGTCTCCTCGTCTCTGTTTTTCTCTCTCCAAGCACAGAGATGCCAAACATTGTTTTGCATTTCATCGTAATATCATAACATGTGGCACTGTTCATCCTCTCTGTTTCTACTCTTGTGTAGTCTCTGAGTTGATTTCCCTGCCTTCAGTCTCTTCCTGTTCTAGCCCATTCTGCAATTACTTTTATCCAAGGGGATAGTAATTGTTACTACTCTAATAGATGATAAGTAAATTTTATTTATTTAATGAAAATTAAATAAAAGTAATACACTTAAAAGAATTATTTACGAAATAATAATAAATAATAATAGATTTTTTTGTGTCTTTGTGCCAGAAGGTGCATTATTTATTCATTAAAACAATCCTTTGAATTACCAGTATTTTTCCCATTTTAACATTACAACACCAGAAACTCATAGAAGGGTTAAACAAAGTTCCCAAGATCACACAGTCTGTAAGTGTCAGAGATTTGAGCTGAGTTCTGCCAGATTCCAAAGTTCATGCTCTGAATGCTTATTCAACTGGGACATATTTCAGAATGAAAGGGGAGATACTAGTAATTTTTCTGAGATAATAGGCATAAACTGGGATGGTTCTAGAAAAGCCAGGATTTAGATTAACTTTATAAGTTCTACATTCTACTTTCTCATCATTGATTACAGCCAAATAAATAAAGGGAATGGTTGAGAGGACATTTACTTTTGGGGTAAAGAGCCATATACTCATCTTTGTACTCAAGTTCAGGGATGATTGGAGAACAGCCTCTTAGAAATATCCAAAATAAATGTGGGACACACAGGAAAGGAGCTTAACAGGAAACTGAGAACTAAAGACACAAATTTGGCAGCCATCCATATAGAGGGTTTGTTGAAGCCATGAAACAAAGTAACTCACTGAGAATTTAAGGAAGCAGAAAAAGCGTGGAAATAAGGCACAGAAGTGAATCCTGGTAAATGTGAAATATGAAGGGACAGAAGTAGAAAGATGAGCCAATATGGGACGTGTTTCTATTAGACTATGCATTTCTTTCTGGCACAAACAATGCCTTTTGTATCCCTGACCTCACATATTACTATACATGCTAAATACACTTATTAAATCAATTTAACATTAAGGACATTGCAGACCCATATGACTGGTGATAGATGAATTTAATTCTATCTTCTTTCTCAGGAGTTAATTAAGGCTATTTGAATGCTATTGAAATGACTATTTCAAGTGCCGTCTCTCCTCTCTGGCCAGGTTTGTGCTTCTTCTTATTGTGGTTGGGAAACTAGTAAGTTTAGTGATTGACCCCGTGCCATACTGTCACCACTTGATGATCTACCTGAAGTCTGAGAGCTAACACACATGCATGAGACATATATGTAAAGATATTTTATTGTATGTAAATGTTCACATGCTCTGTAATGTAACATGTATAATATATCGTTTAAGTATGAAATAGATACAAGAAGAAAAAATTTTTTCAGATAGGTTTTTTTTTTGCTTGCTGCTTGTACTGAAGTGAGTCATCAGGTAACACAGCTTTAGAGAAGCCTTGTCTAAGATGCATTTGGAAATGTAGTTGCCATGGCAACTGTCTCTGAAGTAACAGACAAAATTCCCCATAGAGCTTCCAGAGAACCTCCAATGTCTTCTTTGCACTTGGATCTGAAGGAAAGCCTGCTTAATGGACTCATGTACATTTTGTTTAATAAATTATTTTTCTCCCTTTGTAACTTTTGTGCAGTGGGACTGAGACAGGGATTGGGATCCATTAGGGTCACTCCGGGGTGTGGACAATTCTAAGTGTATAACGACAGATGAGGCAACCTCATTGCTGAGACTGAGCTGAGAGTGAGCATGGCTTGACTGACATATGTGCACATCCTCATAAACACACAGGCTTGTGTGCGGTGGTTTCACTTGGACTTGCCTGAAGATGGACTTCTGCTTTTGTGTTAAGATTTTATAACTTCTCCAAGAATATTTCTGCCATCGAAGCAGGATCAAAAACATATCTAACCTGTTGGCATACTGAAGCTCTAATTTCCCCAAATAGAGATTTATTTCTTGGCTATGAAATGTATCATCCTTAATACACAAAAGGCCCTGGTTAGGGGTGTGAAAGGCTAGTTGCCACAGGAAACTGTATTAGTCCCTGTATTAATGAGATCCCCTCCTGAAAATGGTTTTGACAATGTTTAGAGGAGCCAACTCTGGTGTCTGGAGACAAAATTGGGTGTTGTCAGTTACACACATTAAGTGTCTTGTGATTGCTTAAGAAGCTCAGCAGGGTCCCTCGCCCCTGTGACATTTGGAGCTGGACAGACCAGAGTTTGACTCAAGATTCTAGAATCTATTAGCTGCGTGTGCTTCTCACTTTTAAAGTGGAGATTAACATGTCTGATTTATGAAGGTACTGTGAGAAATAAATGAGGTAAAATTGGACATTGTTGTTGGATCCTTGGTGTCTGTATGAAGGTGCTGGGTCAGATACAGTGTTTGGTACACAGTAAGTTGTCAATATAAGGTAGCAAGAAAAATTGTGCTTAAAACGATGCGACCCGAATGAAATATTAGGTCATTAAAAGCCCCGTGGAGCATTATCAAGTGTGAAAACAAACATTTCCTTTTCCTTAGAGAACTTGGTCTCTGGCAATGGTCCTGAGGGAGCCTCCGTAACTACTCTGAGGTCTCTATTCCAGAATAAAACTCTCCAGATGCTTGTTATCCGCAGTGTCAGGAAAGACTGCGGTCTCATCTCTGGAAGCTGGGCAGAAGCCTCGGGGCAAAGCCATGATCAGAGATAGTGTTCTTCATCTCAGCAAAAGAATCAAGATAAATTGGAGGTTTTAATCCTCAAAGTGGAGAAGCAGAAGCAGAGGGTGTCTGGGCTCTAAGTTGCCACTTTCTTTACAGCAAGGCCATTTGGATTTCTGCAAAAGAGATGGGCGAGGGGCAGTAGACAGCAGCACTGTGGCTCCAAGCTGTAGAGGGTGAGTGCCTGTCTGAGCCACTGGTGCCACAGCAGAGTGGTTAAAAGCTCAGACTAGGGGAGGCAGACCACGGAGTTTCCCTGCTGCTGCAACTCAGTTGCACTAGAGCTTTGTGCAAGTGGCTTAGGCTTTGTATCCTCATGTGTCGAATGGTGATGGTTGTAATGCCAGACAGCATTCAGACACATTTGATAAATGTTTCTCTTCCTTTTTCTTAGCTTTTAATGAATAACGTTACATAATTACTCCATCCCTATTATCCTATACTAATTCCACAGTCATGCCAGTAAAGACTGTGGACGATACAACGTCATCTTACTGCTCCGTTTAGTACAGACCCCAAAGTAGAAGGTCTGGAAAGGTCAAGTGGTTCCCACCTCTCCAGAGAAGGGCCGCCGGTTTTACCGACTTGATCAAGGGCTGTAGAGGGAATGAAGTACACAGCGGGGAGGGCCACGGCGAGGGTTGGAGGGTTGTTCCAGCTCAATTCTGCCGACTCTCTCCTTAGTCTCGGCAGCCTTCACTCTGCAAATGTCACCCTCAGACAGTTACCAGGATGGCTAAAGGGCACTTGGGGAAGGTGAAAACAGAGACAAGGGAATAAGGAAATATCTTCTAGAAGTTCAATAATCTCTCTGCTCCGATGTCATTCTTAAGCAGGGGAGGATTCTTTCTCGTTCTCTCACTGAGTCTTTTTCCTTCACAGCTTTGCCTAGAGGAGAATGGCTGCCGAGAACTCCTCCTCCGTGACAGAGTTTATCCTCGCAGGCTTAATCCACCAGCCGGGACTCCAGGTCCCCGTCTTCTTCCTGTTTCTAGGTTTCTACGCGGTCACGGTGGTGGGGAACCTGGGCTTGATAATCCTGATAGGGCTCAACTCTCGCCTGCATATCCCCATGTACTTTTTCCCCTTCAACTTGTCCCTCGTAGATTTTAGTTTCTCTACGACCATCATTCCCAAAATGCTGATGAGTTTTGTCTCAAGGAAGAACATTATTTCCTTCACAGGGTGTATGAGTCAGTTCTTCTTCTTCTGTTTCTTTGTCTTTTCTGAGTCCTTCATCCTGTCGGCGATGGTGTAGGACCGCTACGTGGGCATCTGTAACCCACTGTTGTACACGATCACCATGTCTCCCCAGGTGTGTTTGCTCCTTTTACTGGGTGTCTACGGGATGGGGGTTTTTGGGGCTGTGGCTCATACAGGAAATATAGTGTTTCTCACCTTTTGTGCAGACAACCTTGTCAATCACTACATGTGTGACATCCTTCCCCTTCTTGAGCTCTCCTGCAACGGCTCTTACATAAATGTCCTGGTCATCTTTATTGTTGTGACCGTTGGCATTGGGGTGCCCATTGTTGCCGTTTTTATCTCTTATGGTTTTATTCTTTCCAGCATTCTCCGCGTTAGTTCTGCTGAGGGCAGGTCTAAAGCCTTCAGTAGCTGCAGCTCCTACATAATTGCAGTTTCTCTTTTCTTTGGGTCAGGAGCTTTTACGTACCTCAAACCCCCTTCCATTTTACCCCTGGACCAGGGGAAAGTGTCCTCCCTGTTCTATACCACTGTGGTGCCCATGTTTAACCCATTAATCTACAGCCTGAGGAATAAGGATGTCAAACTTGCCCTGAAGAGAACCTTTTCCAGAATAAGCTTTTCTTGAAAAAAATTTTAGAAACAGAAAAGAGATACTAGGATTTTTTTAAAATCAGATTGCTTTTGCGATGATTTTTTTTTCAGTGAGGAATCTAAGCTTCCAGTGCTTTCCATCCTATATATAGAGAAAATTTTAACTCTCTTTTCTGAGTGGATTTATTCTTCCCCACCCTCACCTCCATCTCTTCCTTGATTTATAAAGAAGTTTCTACACCTATAGAATATTCAATGTTGAATGAGGCTTAGGAATAATTTTATCTTTCCCCTTTATGTAATACACCACAAATTGCAGACTCAGAAGTATTTGTGTATTTGCCCAGGAACATAAAATTACCTAGTGGCAGACCTGGGACTGGAATCCCAGCTCGAATCCCAATCCACAGTGTTTTCCTTTATGCTATTCTTTATTGTCTCATTTCTTTTTGGAAGATTTCATTTCACATGCTAGTTGACCTAACAAATTTAAGTTCTAAATATATTCACAGTAATTTCATGCTATTTTTCACAGGATAATTTTAATGTATCACTTTTTGCAAGAACGTAGGAGGTGAAACGTTTTGTTGAGGTGGTCTTGGCAAAATGACAAGATCAGTGTTTGATGAATTTTATAATGTGTAAGTGGGAAGTATGTTAGGTTTCATATAGAAGTAAGCGTGGGGCCCACTGACTTGGTGAGTGGAGCCCTAGGGTTTAGAACTAGTTTAGTGGTTTAGAACTTCCAAGGGAGAGATATAAAATTTTAAGGGATGTAAAGATGTTGGGTGGAGGTGTCATGTTATTTTAAGACCAACAGAGACAGCATCTGGAGTTTCATTTCAAGGGTTAACTTGGGTGTTAGAGGTCTTATGGAGAAGTATGTAGTTCAAGATGATTGGGAGCTGTACTATCCAATATGGTAGTGACTAGCCATGCATGTCTATTGAACACTTGAAAAGTGATCATCCATATTGATACATACTCTAAGTGTGCAATGTAAGTATAAAATGCACATTAGATCTTTGAAGAATTATTATAAAAAATATAAAACATCCCATTGATTTTTTTTTTTTTTTTGGTATTTTAGTAGAGACAGGGTTTCACCATGTCGCCCAGGCTGGTCTGAAACTCCTGAGCTCAGGCAATCCACCCGCCTCGGCCTCCCAAAGTGCTAGGATTACAGGCTTAAGCCACTGTGCCTGGCCCCCACTGATTAATTTTTATATTAATTATATGTTGAAATAACATTTTGGATATATTATGTTAAATAAAATATATCATTAAAATAATTTCTGTTCAGTTTTTTATGTACTAGAAAATTTAAAATTACATACATGATTTGCATTATTTTCTAATGGATGTTACTGGTCAAGAGGAAGTAACAGAGCAGAAAATAGTTTGGGGAACATATCAGGGCAGAACCAAGCAGTTCCTTATTTATTTATTTATTTATATTGAGTCAGAGTCTTGCTCTGTCACCTAGGCTGGAGTGCAATGGCGCAATCTTTGGCTCACTGCAGCCTCTGCCTCCTGGGTTCAAGCAATTTTCCTGCCTCAGCCTCCCAAGTATCTGGGATTAAAGGTGCCCATCACCACGCTCGGCTAATTTTTATATTTTTAGTAGAGACGGAGTTTCACCATATTGGCCAGGCTGGTCTCTTGGCTAGGCTGGTCTCAAACTCCTGACCTCGTGATCCACCCGCCTTGGCCTCCCAAAGTGCTGGGATTACAGATGTGAGCCACTGTGCCCGGCCGCAGTTGCTTATTAGAAGAGGCAATTGATAATTAAATTTTCAGGCCTTGCAGAAAGCCGTGATATTTTAATAATGGGACATGTGGTGAAGCAATGGTGCTCTCCAGATAAGCTAATACATCCCCAATATTATGTAAAGGGGAATATAGCTGTATATAAAGAATCTAAACCCACCAGGAGTGGTAAACTTTCTTTGAGAAGCAGTGATAAGTGAAATGCTTAGGAACTTTTCTGTAGGGAAGTCCCCTTCTACTGGTAAATAAGGGAAGTTTGGAGAAATGTTTAGTTTGCACTACAGTGATTCTGTTCAATGTTAGTGAAATGAAAAGAATAGGCGTACAGTGGCGGGATTGTGGTTTAGATGGGATTGAATAGACCACTGAATCCAAGGGACCTATAATTTGGGAGTGGGGTGGGTGTGGTGGGTATGCAGTCCAATATCAGTAATAAAATAAAATAGATACTACCTTTATAAAATGTTGTAGACTAACTTACAGTAAAGTGTACAGATTTTAAGTATATAGCTCATTGAACTTTTTCATATGTATGTGCCTGTGTAACCACAAGCTGGATTAAAATGTAAAATGCTTTCAACCACCTTAGAAGGTCTTCTCTTGTTCATTCCCAGTGAACACTACCCTCTCTCAACGCCCACTCCCACAGCTAGCCACTGTTCATATCAACATGTACTGTACTGTTTCTGGTTTCTTTTCCCCAACATAAAGGCTGTGATACTCATCTGTATTGTTGCATGTATGCAGAGATTAACGTTATTATTTTGTCTCTATGTAGTATCCCATTATGTGTATACAATTATTTATCCTGTTAATGAACAGTTAGTTTCCAGTTTTTGCTTATTATTAATAAAGCTTCTATGAACATTTGTGAACATGTATTTTGGTTGAACTATGGAAACATTTCTTTTGGGTATATAATGAGATGTGGACTTGCTCAATAATAGGGTAGACATAATATTTAGTTTTTATAAATACTGCCAAATGGTTTTCAAAAAATTTGAGTCAAAAAAGGATTCAAGTCCTTTTTCAAGTTTTATTTTATTTTATTTTTATTTCAAACTTTTATTTTAGGCAGAGAGGGCTAATGTACAGGTTTGTTACATGGGTAAATCGTATGTCACTGGGATTTGGTGTGCAGATTATTTTGTCATGCAGGTAATAAGCCTAATACTCATTTATCAAATTTTAAATTTTCAGACAGTTCATGGCTTATCTTTTAATTCTATTAACAGAAGTTCTTAATTTTAGTGAAGTCCAATTTATCACTTTTTAAATTCATGAATTGTAGATTTGTTGTTATATCCAAAACTTTTTGTTTAAGAAATGTTACAAAGATTTTCTCCTACATCTTATTGCAGAAGTTTTGTATTTTTTTTTTTACATTTGTATCTGTAACCCATTTTGAGTTTATCTTTGTACATATTGTGAGGCATGGATTATTAATTATTATCTATAATTTTTTTTGCACATAGCTTTCCTATGGTTGTTCATCTAAGTTAAAATTCAGCTGATCCTATTTGTGTGTGTCTGTTTCTGTTCTCTCTTCTGTCCCTTTCATTTATCTATCTTGAGAGCAATATCACACAGCTTTGATTACTGTAGCTTTAGGATAATTCTTGAAATCAGTTAGTGTAAGTCCTCCATCATCATTCACCGTTTAAAGAGTTATTTTGGCTATATTAGGTCCTTTGATTTTCCATATTAGTTTTCAGAATAAACTTATAAATTCCAACAAAAATAACCTTCTGAAAGTTTAGTGGAATTGTCTTGAATCTGTGGATCATTTTGGGGAGAACAGGCATTTGTATTTTCTGTAGCAGTGAATGACAGTGTCTACTTTCCTATAGTCTCTCCAACCCAGCATCTTCTCAGAATTTTCAAATTTTCCAACCTGATAGGTGAGAAACAGTTTTTGTGTTGTTTAATTTTGCATTTCTCTTATTATGAGAAAGACTGGGGATGTTTTCATGTTTTTAATAGCTATTGGTATTCCTATATGGTCTATTTGTTTTGTACCTTTTCCTCACTTAACTATTGGGATTTTGATCTTTTCAAGTTTTAAGAGAACAGTATATTAGGAATAATAGCTTTTTGTCTGAGGTGTAAGTTGCATGTATTTTTTTTCCAATTTGTGATTTGGTTTTTGACTTTTCTCATGATACAATTTTTTTACCTTAAATGTATTAATCTTTTATTGTTTCAGGTATTTTAATCAAAGTTAAGAGTTTTGTCGCTTCTTAGGTGATGAAGAAAATTCATTTTTTAATAATATTTTTATGGCTTCATTCTTTTACATTGGGATGTCTCATCTATTTAGAAATTATACCAGTGTATCATGTGAGGAATAGATCCAACTTTGTCTTTTTTCTTATGGTTACCCAGTTATTTTATTGTCATTTATTAAATAGTCCCTCTTTTTTCTACTTTTGAGCTCCTGCCTTTATCTCATACTGAATTTCAAAGGCAGCTGGGCTATTTCTGTGTTTTTCCATTCTGTTCCATTGGTCTATGTATCTGTCTACCCATAAGCCAATATCACACTACTTTAACTGTAGAAGCTTCATTATGTTTTCATATCTTGAGGGTAACCTCCCACATATTGTTCCTCTTTTTTAGGGTTTTGCTGACTATTCATGTTTAACCATAATCTTTATAATTAATCTGTCTAGCTCCAGAAAAAAACCTGATGGCATATTTGCTGCACAGATGCATTTAAGATTGCATCTTAAATTTAGAAGTAAATTTAAGGAGAATCAAAATCTTTGGATCTTGAGGCTTCCAATCATAAACTGTGATATGCCTTTCCATGTCTTGGGGGTCTACTTTAGTATCTTTTAAGAGTGTTTCATAATTCCTTATCTATGTTTTGCATATTTCTTATTATAATTGTGCTTGGGAATTTTGTTTTATTTTGTCTTATCTTTCATTAGATATTATTATTACTTATACATATGCATTCGATGTATTACTCTGTTAATTATCTACTTTGTAATGTAACTGTTATTATTTGTAGAGATTTTTCTATAGATTCTCTCAGGCTTTCCAAATACATAATAAATTTTATCTGTATAGAGATAGCTGTAATTTTTTCCTCCTGACACTTATGCCTCTTATTTCTTTCCCATTTACACCTGCATTTTCTAATAACTTTAATACAGTGTTAAATAATTGCTTACAGTGAAGGCTGTAAGCATCCTGGTTTTGATGCTAGTGTTTCCAAAGTAAGTTGCTGGCTTTGGGCTGAAATTTATATATTTTGCCATCTTAAAGAGGTATCCATCATTCCTTGATTTAATGAATATTTTAAAAACATGAATGGAAACAAGAGGAGGGCAAGACGGCTGACTAGACGCAGCCAGGTGGAGCACCTTTTACTGAGGGACTGAAATGACTGGCGTGCTCCTAACAGATCTTCAGAGGGAAGGCACTGAGGGTGGATGGAGGGAAGACACAGAAGCTGGGGTGAAGGGGAAGAAAGCTGGGAATGTGCATGGAGCTGCCATGCACGAGGACTCATTCCTGGCCCCCAACAGCTCTAGGGGAATGAGTGAGTTGAACTGGCAAGGAACAACCTGCTCTCACCACGGGGCTCTGGAACCCCAGTAGGAGGAGACCCTTCGGCCACCACGGACATTCTAGTTGGCAAGGAGGGCTGCTTAAAGAAGTGGTTTGGGCAGCAAGCCTGATTATGAGCCCAGAGGGTTTGGTGTGGAAGTATCCGTAGCAGAGCATGGGCAGGGACAGCCATTCCCCTAGGCTCAACTTACTCCCATAGGAGACTTTAGCCCAAGAAGGACAGTCAGACCTCAACTCTGCAGGGCAGTCTTGCCCATCAGACAGGGCTGGTTTGACCTGAGCAACCCTTGGGCTGCTGGCCTCTCCTGGGTCCTCAGCCTGGCTGTGCCTGCCTGCAAGGCAGTCTCAGGTGCCATGGGGGCTGCATCATAGCTTCTGCACTGGCAGATTGTGCCTGACTGGTAGAGAGCTCCCAAAGGGCAGCCTCTATGGCCACACACCAGCCCACATGCTCCCTCTCTCCTCATATGGTAGCTTCCTTCAGGCCCATGGCAACCCCCAACCTTGCTTTGCTGGTGAGTGCCTGCGTGGGCAGGTTTTGCTTTCCTTGCCTTGCCGGTGTGCAGGAATGCAGTCTGCCCTGCCGTCCCCTGACTGCCATTGCAGACAGAGCCTTGGAAGCAAAGACCCAGCCAGCTCTATTCCCGCCAGTGCCCCACCATTGTGCTAACAGTGGATCCTCCCTTGCCCTAAGTGATCACTCCTGCTTGTGGGGCACAGAGGAAGCACCCAGACTTGTGCCTACAAGTGCCCCACCCCTGAACCAACACCACTTCCAGTGTGACAGTGCACACAGTTGCCAGCAAGGCCCGCCCCCCACGTCCCCCAGCTATGTTGCCTCTGCCACTGTGGTAAACACCTGCAGGGAGGCAGGCATCCCGGCACCCACTAGCACCCTGCTGCACCTGCCGTTACCTCTGCTGCTGGCATGTGTGAACAAGGACAGATCACACTGTCACTGCACTATGAAATGCTTTGGCTGACACCACCCATCAGAGTGTAGTGACCAGCAGTCCAGTAACACCTCATCCCCCACCAGTGCAGTGGATTACTAACCATAAGGAGCCAGAAAACAAAGTTGGGGCACAATACAAGTCCCCCAGAGTTAGAGCACACAGTCCAGGAGTTGGGAGCTGCATGTTGGCCCCCTAAAATCTTTCAGATACAAAACCAGTCAGCTGAATCCACCTTATACCACAATCAAACCCTCAAGGTCATCAAATACGATAAAAGGAAAAAAAAATCCATCCAAAGTCAGCAACATCAAAGACTGAAGGTAGATAAGCCCACAAAGATGAAAATGAATCAGTGCAAGAACCCTGACAACTCAAAAAGCCAGAATGCCTTCTTTCCTCCAAGCAACCACATCACCTATCCGGCAAGCGGTCTGAACTGGGCTGAGATGCTTGAAATGACAGAAATAGAATTCAGAATATGGATAGGAATGAAGGTCATTGTGCTACAGGAGTACATTGAAACCCAATCCAAGGAAGCTAAAAATCATGACAAAACAATGCAGGAGCTGACAGACAAAATAACCAGTATAGAAAAGCACATAACTGACCTGATAGAGCTGAAAAACACACTACAAGAATTTCATAATGCAATCAATCATAAGTATTAATAGCAGAATAGACCAAGTGGAGGAAAAAATCTCAGAGCTTGAAGCCCAGCTTTCTGAAATAAGATGGTTAGACAAGAACAGAGCAAAAAGAATGAAAAAAAATGACTAAAACTCTGAGAAATATGAGATTATGTAAAGAGATCAAATCTATGATTCCTTGGGGACTCCGAAAGAGATGCAGAGAATGGAACCAACCTGGAAAACATATTTCAGGATATCATTCATGAGATCTTCCCCAATCTAGCTCTCTCCCCAATCTGTCTCTAGAGAGGGCAACATTCAAATTCAGGAAATGCAGAGAATCCCAGTGAGATACTTCACAAGAAGACCATCCCCAAGACACATAATCATCAGATTCTGTAAGGTCAAATGAAAGAAAAAAAGTTAAAGGCAGCTAGAGAGAAAAGTCACATCACCTACAAAGGGAAGCCCATTAGGCTATCAGTGGACCTCTCATCAGAAACCCTAACAAGCCAGAAGATATTGGGGGCCAATATTCAACATTCTTAAAGAAAAGAAATTCCAATCCAGAATTTCATATCTGACCAAATTAAGCTTCATAAGTGAAGGAGAAATAAGATCTTTTTCAGACAAGCAGATACTGAGGAAATTTGTAACCACCAGATCTACCTTAACAAGAGCTCCTGAAGGAGGCACTAAATATGGAAAGGAAAGACCACTACTGGCCACTACAAAAACATATTGAAGCACACAGACCAGTGACACTATAAAGCAACTACATAAACAACTTTGCAAACTAATCGGCTAACATCATAATGACAGGATTAAATCCATACATATCAATACTACCTTAAATGTAAATGGGCTAAATGCCCCAATTAAAAGACACACAGTGGCAAGCTGGATAAAGAACCAAGACCCATTGGCATGCTGTCTACAAGAGACCCATCTCACATGCATTGAAGCTGAAAATGAAGAGATGGAGAAAAATCTACCAAGCAAATGGAAAACAGAAGAAAGCAGGGGTTACAATCCTAGTTTCAGACAAAACAGACTTTAAAAAGGCAGATGGATTCACAGCTGAATTGTATCAGATGTACAAAGGAGAGCTGGTACTATTCCTGCTAAAACTATTCCAAAAAATTGAAGAGGGTCTTCTACCTAACTGATTCTATGAAGCCAGTATCATCCTGATAGCAAAACCTAGCAGAGACACAACAAAACAAGAAAACTTCGGGCCAATATCCTTGATGAGCATCAATGCAAAAAAATATCAAAAAATTACTGGCAAATACGGCAGCATTTCAGAAAGCTTATCCACCATTATCAAGTAGGCTCTATCCTTGAGATGCAAGGTTGGTTCAACATATGCAAATTAATAACACAAACAGAATTCATCACACAAACAGAACTGAAGACAAAAACCACACGATGATCTCAATAGATGCAGAAAAGGCTTTGTATAAAATTCAACACCGCTTCATGTTAAAAACTCTCGATACATTAGGTATTGAAGGAACAAACCTCATAATAATAAGATCCATCTGAGACAAACCACAGCCAGTATCATACTGAATGGGCACAAGCTGGAAGCATTCCACTTGAAAACTTGCATAAGACAAGGATGCCCTCTTTCGCCACTCTTTTCAAAATTGTGTTGGAGTCCTGGCCAAGGCAATCAAGAAAGAGAAAGAAATTAAGGGCATCCAAATAGGAACCAGTCAAGCCAATGGCCAAATCAGGAATGCAATCCCATTCACAACACACACACACACACACACACACACACACACACACACACACTACCTAGAAATACAGGTAACCAGGGAGGTAAAAGATCTTTACAAGGAGAACTGCTCAAAGAAATCAGAGATGATACAAGCAAATGGAAAAACATTCCATGCTCATGGATAGAAATAATCAATATTATTAAAATGGCCACACTTCCCAAAGCAATTTATAGATTCAATCCTATTCCTATGAAACTACTACCACTGGCATTCTTCACAGAACTAGAAGAAACTAGTTTAAAATTCATATGAAACAAAAAAAGACCCTGAATAGCCAAGGCAATTCTCAGCAAAAAAAACAAAGCTGGAGGCATCGTGTTGACTTCAAACTATACTACAGGGTTACAGTAACCAAAACAGCATGACACTTATAAAAAACAGACATATAGGCCAATGGAACAGAACAGAGAACCCAGAAATAAGGCCACACACCTACAACTATCTGATTTTCAACAAACCTGACAAAAACAGGCACTGGGGAAAAGATTCCCTATTCAATAAATGGTGCTGGGATAACTGGCTAGCCATATGCAGAAGATTGAAACTGGACCCCTTCCTTACACCATACACAAAAATTAACTCAATATGGATTAAAGATTTAAATGTAAAACCCAAAACTATAAAAACTCTGGAAGGCAACCTAGGCAATACCATCCTGGACATAGGAATGGGCAAAGATTTCATGACAAAGATACCAAGAGCAATTGCAACAAAGCAAAAACTGACAAACAGGATCTAATTAAACTACAGAGCTTCTGCACAGCAAAGGAAACTATCAACAGAATGAACAGAAAACCTACAGAATGAGTTGCAAACTGTGCATCTGACAAATGTCTAGTATCCAGCATGTATAAGGAACTTCAATCAATTTATAAGAAAAAAAACTTTAAAGTAGTTTTTTCCAATTCTGTGAAGAAAGTCATTGGTAGCTTGATGGGGATGGCATTGAATCTGTAAATTACCTTGGGCAGTATGGCCATTTTCACGATATTGATTCTTCCTACCCATAAGCATGGAATGTTCTTCCATTTGTTTGTATCCTCTTTTATTTCCTTGAGCAGTGGTTTGTAGTTCTCCTTGAAGAGGTCCTTCACATCCCTTGTAAGTTGGATTCCTAGGTATTTTATTCTCTTTGAAGCAATTGTGAATGGGAGTTCACTCATGATTTGGCTCTCTGTTTGTCTGTTGTTGGTGTATAGGAATGCTTGTGATTTTTGTACATTGATTTTGTATCCTGAGACTTTGTTGAAGTTGCTTATCAGCTTAAGGAGATTTTGGGCTGAGATGATGGGGTTTTCTAGATAAACAATCATGTTGTCTGCAAACAAGGACAATTTGACTTCCTCTTTTCCTAATTGAATACCCTTTATTTCCTTCTCCTGCCTGATTGCCCTGGCCAGAACTTCCAACACTATGTTGAATAGGAGTGGTGAGAGAGGGCATCCCTGTCTTGTGCCAGTTTTCAAAGAGAATGCTTCCAGTTTTTGCCCATTCAGTATGATATTGGCTGTGGGTTTGTCATAGATAGCTCTTATTATTTTGAAATACGTCCCATCAATACCTAATTTATTGAGAGTTTTTAGCATGAAGGGTTGTTGAATTTTGTCAAAGGCCTTTTCTGCATCTATTGAGATAATCATGTGGTTTTTGTCTTTGGCTCTGTTTATATGCTGGATTACATTTATTGATTTGCGTATATTGAACCAGCCTTGCATCCCAGGGATGAAGCCCACTTGATCATGGTGGATAAGCTTTTTGATGTGCTGCTGGATTCGGTTTGCCAGTATTTTATTGAGGATTTTTGCATCAATGTTCATCAAGGATATTGGTCTAAAATTCTCTTTTTTGGTTGTGTCTCTGCCCAGCTTTGGTATCAGGATGATGCTGGCCTCATAAAATGAGTTAGGGAGGATTCCCTCTTTTTCTATTGATTGGAATAGTTTCAGAAGGAATGGTACCAGTTCCTCCTTGTACCTCTGGTAGAATTCGGCTGTGAATCCATCTGGTCCTGGACTCTTTTTGGTTGGTACGCTATTGCTTACCATGGATGAAATTGGAAACCATCATTCTCAGTAAACTATCGCAAGAACAAAAAACCAAACACCGCATATTCTCACTCATAGGTGGGAATTGAACAATGAGATCACATGGACACAGGAAGGGGAATATCACACTCTGGGGACTGTGGTGGGGTGGGGGGAGGGGGGAGGGATAGCATTGGGAGATATACCTAATGCTAGATGACGAGTTAGTGGGTGCAGCGCACCAGCATGGCACATGTATACATATGTAACTAACCTGCACAATGTACACATGTACCCTAAAACTTAAAGTATAATTAAAAAAAATAATAATAATAATAATAAAGAAAAAAAACTATCCCATTATAAAGTGGGCAAAGGACATGAAAAAACACTTCTCCAAAGAAGACATACATGCAACCAACAATCATATAAAAAAGAAACTCAACATCACTGATTATTAGAGAAATGCAAATCAAAACCACAATGAGGTACTATCTCATACCAGTCAGAATAGCTATTATTCAAAAAGTCAAAAAATAACAGATGCTGGTGAGGTTGCAAAGAAAAAGGAACACTTATACACTGTTGGGGGGAGTGCAAATTAGTTCAACCAATTTGAAGGACAGTGTGGCTATTCATCAAAGACCTAAAAACAAAGATACTGTTTTACCTATCAATCCCATTACTGGGTATATACCCAAAGGAATATAAACTATTCTTTTATAAAGACACATGCACTTGTATGTTCATTGAAGCACTAGTCACAATAGCAAAGACATGAAATCAACCTAAATGTTCATCAATGGTAGGCTGGATAAAGAAAATATGGTACATATACACCATGGAATACCATGCAGTCATACAAAAGAATGAGATCATGTCCTTTGCAGGAACGTGGATGGAGCTGGAGACCAATATCTTTAGCAAACTAATGCAGCAACAGAAAACCAAATACTACACGTTCTCACTTATAAGTTGGAGTGAAATGATGAGAACACATGGACACATATGTGGGAACAATACACACTGGGGCCTGTTGGAGGGTGGATGATGGGAAGAGAGAGAGTATCAAGAAAAATAACTAACGGGTACTAGGCTTAATCCATGGGAGACGAAATAATCTGTACAATAAACCCCCATGACACAAGTTTACCTATGTAACAAACCTGTACTTCTATCCCTGAACTTAAAATAAAAGTTAAATTTTAAAAAATGAATGGATGTTAAATTTTGGCAAATTCTTGTCTTCTTTGGGATTTTATTTTCTCAAAATCTCCTTGTGTTTCTTAGACCATCAATCTCTTCATCTTCACTGAATCTTTTACCTCTAAACTTATGCGAACCTGATTTATCCTTAAACGTTTTGCTTGATACTTCTGTCTTTCTCCTTTTCTTCCCCAAATTAAGAAAAGTGACCAATGCTTCTTTCCTCTCTACATTCACATTCTCATGGCCATTTTTGTTTGTTTGTTACATGTACAGTTTATTCCCCATGTTTCCTTTTGTACCCTAGTGCAGAGTATAACACGCCTGTACTTGTATTTAAAAATCTGATTTTTCTATGCTGTTGAGGACTTTTTGTTTGGTTTTCAGGGCATCTTGAGCCACAGGTTTAGCTTCTGTTTATGTGTCTTGATTACTGTCCTGACATTTAGGCATGAAGTCGCGAGGTGGAAGGGGCCACTCTGTCTGACCTAAATTTATTTATTTATTTAAATTAAATGTTTGATTTTGATATAATTGAAGATTCACATGAAGTTGTAAAAAACACTGCAGAGATTCTACATACCTTTTACCCAGTTTCTCCCAATGGTAACATCTTGCAAAACTATGGTGCAATATCACAACTGAGATACATTGGTGCAGTCAAAATACAGAAAAGCTTCATCACCATAAGGGTCCCTCATGTTGCCTGTTGCCCTCTTATAGCCATACCTCCCTCCTCCAAAATAGAATAAATTGTTTATATGCACAACAACTTGGGTAAATCACAAGATAATTATGCTGCATGGAAAAAGCCAATTTCAAATATTAAATTCTGTATGATTCCACTTATGTAACATTCTTGAGATGACAAAATTGCAGGAATGGAGAATGGATTAGTGGTTATCTGGCCTAAACTTGAAAGTGTTATGTCCACTCCAGTTTTTCAACACTATATTTTATTTCAAATGTATGAGGAAAATAAATAGCATTATTTAAGAAGGTAAACTCTAGAAAATAATTGTACCATTATTCAATGAACATCATGTTTTGAAGGAAACTTTTTATAGCAATTGGGTATAATTTAATTTTATATTCTTTTCTAAATGTAGAAATTATGAAATTATAGAATAGTTATTGAATAAAGATATGAATCATTCATATAGTGAACTTCTGCCTTAGCCAAGATAATAGAGAATATGTACTGATTCTTGCCTCCAAAAGTGAAGTATCTTTAGAAAAATGTCACCATGGTTATGTGTGATTCTTCCCTGCTGTCCTACACAGCTCATCACTGCTTCCATACAGCCAATGGTAATATGACATTTACTTCTCTCTCTCCTTCATGAACAAGTTTCAAGCCCTTGTGGGGCAGCTTCCATTGTTATTTGAATACCCAGAATTTTTGGTAGCTTTGAAAGTTTCTAGATAATTTTTCTGAAAAAGATAATATGATGCTGGGCTTTGCTATGTTGGGCATGTTAGGAGCCTAATCAATTGCCGGGCTCACAAATTGTGTTCTTGAATATTTGTCATTATTGTAGGGAGTCAGTCTAGGGATTCCCACTTAGAGTTAATCCTGCACCCTTTCAGGGCTCTGGAAAGAGGGGCTCCTGATTTTACTCTGGAGATTAGAAGTCTTTGTGGGAAGTCAAATTCTTTCTTTGTTGTTGTTGTTTTGAGATAGGATCTCTCTCTATTGTCCAGCCTGGAGTGCAGTGGTATGATCACAGTTCACTGCAACCTCATCCTCCTGGGCTCAAGTGATACTCCTTCCTCAGCCTCCTGGGTAGCTAGGACTACAGGTGCAAGCCACCACGTCCAGCAGATTTTAAACATTTTTGTAGAGATGGGGTCTCACTATGTTGCCTAGACTAGTCTCAAACTCATGGGCCCAAGAGATCCTCAGCCTCCCAAAGTGCTGGGATTACAGGTGTGAGCCACTGCACCTGGCCATGGGAAGTAAAATTCTGGGCAGAAGTCAAAATGTGCTCTATTTGTAAAAACTACGCATTTTCTTGTTTATTACAGAAACTCTTCCTAGGAGAGTATCTGAGGGAAGTTTCTTGGGTTTCCAGTCAGATCTCTGATCTATACACATGTAAAAGACAACTCCTTTTAAATATCATCTTATGGCCCTAATGCCATAGACAGATTTTTTTTTTTCTTCAACTGGGGAGGCGTATTTAGGCACAGACTTGATTTGAAACCATGGTTTTTAGACAAGAAGTGATTCCAGGATAATGGAGGCTTTAATTTTCTTACCATTACAGTAAAAGAAAAGAACATATACTAAGGACTTCCCCACCCAAATACCATCCAAGCCACCTCCCTTCCTAGGAAGTGGGAGTGCGGGGGCTGAAAGACTCTGCACTGCTGACCCTAAGCTGAACAAGGGAGTGTGGCTGCATGGTGGCATCATGTGTCTCTTTATATTCTTCCTAATATGGAGGCCTGAAAATGAGTATTTTGGAAATTGCCTCCTGGCCCAATTTGATTCTGGTGTGGGGGCGACTGAAGCAATGAAGGCAGAGATCATGATGTCTCTAGGTCTCTTGCCAGTTCTCATTTCTGATTCAAAATGTGGTTCCTGAACAACCTGGGCAGCTACTGAGGCTCTCTGAGATACTGCTTCCCCATATTTTCTGTGAGTACTAGGTTTCCTGTGCACACTCTTAGTATGGCCCAGCCTGAGGAGCTGGTTGTATCAGGGCATTTCAAACCTGGTAGTGCACTGACATGGGAAGGGCTCAGGAAGGTTCAGAAAGACACAGGAAAAGACAGGCGTTCTTACATTACTCATCTGTCCTGTGTTAAGGCTAGTCATTCTCTTTTTAAAGCAATAGAAATTCTCATTTCAGAGTCATGGAATCTGTTTTGTCCAAAAAGAGGTTCTTCTGTCCTACCTACAGAAATGACTCCCCAGAAGTGAATGGCTTGGGAAATGTCTCAACAGAGACTACTTTTATTTTTGTTTGTTTCACAAATGGACAACAATTCCAGCCTGTATGCTTCTCCTCATTTTAAGTGCTTGGCCACTCAGTGCTTGGGCTAAGTTCTCTCCTCAACATCCTGGTGAACTTGTCTTCAGCTTGTTTTCTTTTGTTTTTGTTTTTCAGATGTCCTACTCCTTTGTCATTTTAATTAAAATGATAATGAACTCTATATCTGAGAGGTACATCACCACTAATTTGAAGTGCAAGATTCTGCCCTTGTCTTTATCTGCTTTGCTATCAGTGAGCACTCTAATACTTTTGGCTTGGGGTCACTGTGGGATCTGTGTGCCTCAGGTCTGTTCTCTGACGATGCTTGGCTTGCACTGGGGTAGGTATTGATGGTGTCATGGCCCACCCAGAGGCAATGGTCAGTCTGTCTTTCTGTGACCGCAGCATCATCAACCACTGTGTGTGGCACACTTCTTTTCATCAAACTCTCCTTAGAGCACCTGCTTCACAAGCTGGTGATTTTGTAGTCATTGCGTAGTGACTGATCATCTTCATCTCTGACATACTATCCTTTCCACCATCCTCCATTTTCTCTTTCCTGAGGCAAACTCAAAAGCTTTTCTTTTTCTTTGGATTAGGTACATGCATATATGTTAGTTCACTTCCTGGGTCCAGGGGCTACACCAATCATCTCTTGAAGGCTTGTGAAAAATGCGGATTCTGGGCTCTGTTCACAGTTTCTGCTTCAGTAGGTTTAAAGTAGCACTCAGGAATCTTTATTCCCAGGAAGTTCCCAGGTGATACTTTTGCTGTTGCTCTGGGAACCAACCTCTGAAAACCACTGGGTTACCCCGTTATCTTCTACAGCCAGTGGCAGCCATGCTGGACTCAACAGCCAGTTTCCTGAGATGAGAACTCTAAGATATTTCCTGTGATTTGAAGATACACTGATATAAAACGTGCATTTTGCTTTTGAATTCTTTCATGATATATTCTGCATTCGAAACACTTTCCTTCTAAAAAGTGATGGTTTAACATTTTTCCTCAAATGGTTTTTTCATCTTCTTTCCTCTGGGTGCAATCTTTATTTGGTTTTCTTCTTCTCAGTTATGGATTGAGTTTATCAGAAGACCCTAAGATGAAGATTCAAATTAAAGTGATTTCTTTGGAGGCATTTCAGGCAAATCTAGTGGAGGGATGCACATGTGAGTCTGAGGAAGACTGAGAAAGTGTGCAATGGCAATCACATTCTGAAAATAGGCAGCTTTGGCTCAAATCTACATGGAGTCTTTGAAGACACGTGACTCAGAATTATCCTGGCAGGGGCCAGGCTTCAGGAATATTTTTGCCCTGACACACGTCAGTCATGGGTTCAGGGATGTTCCAGGGGACATACATTTCCCGGCTCTCCAGAGCAGGAGACGTGGGCTCTGGCACCTGGAGTAGAACTCTCTGGCAAAGAAAAGTAGGTGCTGGCTGTTGGGAGTTTGTGAAAGCTTACTTGAAATTGGTGTGCATCAAAATGAGAACAGGATCTGAGCGCGTGGGGGTGGAGCACTGACAAGTATCTGGTACACCTACGACTGGCAGAGGTGTTTCTTTGTTACTGATGTAACACTAAGGAGAGAAGAATTGCATCTGAATTGGTCATTTATCATTCGTCTCCTCAGCTTCCCTCATTCCGGATACATTTTCTGCTCTTGATAAGTGAACATAAACAAAACTCATAATAGAGCATATCTATCTTTATCTTGATGCTCTACCTATTGAGGAAAATTTTGATTTTGTTAATTGTGAGTGAATTACTCCCCCTTGGAATGGAAAGAGAAGTCTGTTTTGCTGTTAGTGGTATCCTGGCTTCCTATGCCTTTGCTCTTCCCAGACATTTAGAGCTGGAACCACTGACTCCATACCATTTATCCTGGCCCTATTTCATTAGTAACAAAAAGCCTCGTAGTTTTCCAGAGACCTTATCCTCTTGGAGGGCTTGGATGACTTCTTGCTGCTCCCAGCACTCTTGTCTAATAAACCCAAGATATTTGGGTGGCCTACATTTTATCATCTTACTCTTCCTATCCATTTGGGCCTCATTTGTAGGGTTGTGTTTCTGACGACGCTGATTGTCCTCTGTTTGACTCTTTTGTTTGTTTGTTTGTTTGAGACGGAGTCTGGCTCTGTCACCCAGGCTGGAGTGCAGTGGCGTGATCTCGGCTCACTGCAACCTCCGCCTCCCGGGTTCACACCATTCTCCTGCCTCAGCCTCCCAAGTAGCTGGGACTACAGGTGTGTGCCACCATGCCTGGCTAATTTTTTGTATTTTTAATAGAGACAGGGTTTCGCCATGTTAGCCAGGATGGTCTCGATCTCCTGACCTTGTGATCCGCCCACCTCAGCTTCACAAAGTGCTGGGATTACAGGCGTGAGCCACCACGCCTGGCCCTTCTGTTTGCCTCTTAAATGCATTCTCTGCACTTATCCAACCTGCTCCGTCCCCTGGGAGTCTGGTGGATGTGGACTGCATTAGCAGACTCTCTTGCCCTTTGTCTTAGCAAGAAATGCAGGGAAAGAAGAGAGCATGGCAGTGCATTCATTCCTCTGGCCTCTCCCTATGGGAGTGCTGTGAACTGCGTCCATCCACCAGGAGTCACACTCATGCCAAGTGCCTCTCCCACACACCTCCCCTTACCGCTTCAGCCTGCACGTTGTAATGGTGCCTCCTTTACTAGTCCAAGGATGCTGAACACTCTCTCGTGATTTTCCTACATCCTACACATACTTTGAAATTAGTTTCTGTTCTCTGCTTAACCAAATCATATAACATCTTGTGCACCAGAGGGCCTAGTTGGTGGCCAGTGGGATTAGTCTTCTGGAATCTCTTCTGGCCATCTCTCTGTCCCTCTTTACTCACACAAATAATGGCAGAATGGAGTGCCCTGTTACTACTCTGAATTCAAGAATGTTATTGCAAGTGGGAAGCGCTGGTGAATTGTTGCAGAACAACGTCTACCCTTTTTCTTCTTGAAGTTACATATGGTGTGGGAAAGCAGGCTTCTAAAACAGCTCACATTTTGGTTATTTGTCCAAAGATTGCATAGGATAATCTCGTTCCCCAGAAGTAGGTCAGGTCACCAACCAGTGTAGGGAAACGTCTGGGCTGAAGTGGAAATAGTTTTAGAGAGGTTGCCTTCTTTACATTTTCTAGTTACTTTTTCAAGATAATTTGAAAAATAAATGTATCAGCAGTGAAATAGTTCTTAGCTATATTTATGGGGCGTCGGAAGCAATAATTTAACACGCAACTATGTACTTATATGAGATAAGCAATTACGTGTTTTTCACAAGAGGAAACCTGGTTTTGGCAAAAGATTTCCCTTCTTTCTAAATGGGCCAATTATTTCTGGCCGAAAGCAGATGATTCCTTTTAAATGGGCACCTATTTTTCATGCCCTAGCAGAGTAAAGAATGAGAGGAATCCTTTTATTTTATCCATATTTCCGCTTTTCCCTGCTGAAGCTGGGTAACTGAACTGGAGTTGAATGGCCTGGTCTCCACAGGGTTCTCTTTTTAGGACTGGCCTGTCCTCTGGACCAGCATTTGTAGCCTCTTTGATGTACCCCATCCCCCTTGGTAGGGGAGGCCTGATATTGTTTGTTTCTCCTTGTGCCTGGGTTCATTAGGCTTGTCTGGCAAAAGCAATGAGGGAATCAGAAAATCCCAGTGTGGTTGTAGATTTAAGCTGTGTCCTCCAGTTAACTTTATCAGTATTAAAGCTGAAATTTTGGGCCGGGCGTGGTGGCTCACGCCTGTAATCCCAGCACTTTGGGAGCCTGAGGAGGGCAGACTGCCTAAAGTCAGGAGTTCCAGACCAGCCTAGCCAGCATGGTGAAACCCCATCTCTACTAAAAATACAAACATTAGCCGGGCGTGGTGGTAAGCACCTGTAATCCCAGCTACTTGGGAGGCTGAGGCAGGAGAATCGCTTGAACCTGGGAGGCAGAAGTTGCAGTGAGCCCAGATTGTGCCATTGCACTCCAAGCTGGGTGACAGAGTGAGACTCTATCTCAAAAAAAAAAAAAAAAAAAAAAAAAGCTGACATTTTTATCTGCTTCTGTGATTATCCTGTGTCTTATTTCTCAATTTGTCTTCCAGTGAGGGTGCAGAGAATAGGATAAATGGTCATCATCTTTAACAACCTCAACTACCGCCTTCTTACCCTTCCACCCATTCAGCATTGTAGCCCGTAGTGTCATGCACCTTTGCCCAAATATGCAGGGCTTTACTGGGCTTCCATTTCCAATTTTTGTTTTTGCTTTTTTTTTTTTTTTTGTTCCTATGCCTGCAATGCCCTCCTTCACCCTCTGCTGTTAACCTGCTTATTATTCATGACTCATAGTAATATGTTCCTACTATATTATAAATCTGAGAACATATTTTCTTAGAAACAATGTAATAGTAACATAATGGGACATGGTTTCTGAGTAGAATTTAAAGTAAAATAGGCCAGGCACGGTGGCTCACACTTGTAATCCCAGCACTTTGGGAGGCCAAGGCGGGCGGATCACGAGGTCAAGAGATCGAGACCATCCTGGCCAACATGGTGAAATGCCATCTCTACTAAAAATACAAAAATCAGCTGGGCGTGGTGATGCACACCTGTAGTCCCAGCTACTCGGGAAGCTGAGGTAGGAGAATCACTTGAACCCCGGAGGCGGAGGTTGTAATGAGCCGAGATGGCACCACTGCACTCCAGCCTAGGTGACACAGTGAGACTCTGTCTCAAAAAAAAAAAAAAAAAAAAAGTAAAATAAATGAAAGATATGATCAGCAATATGTTATCAAAGCAAAAATACACTATATGTTAAAACATGTAATTATGTTTCATCAAGGTCTCTAATTTTATAAAATGGGGCATGAGCTACTTTCTGAATTGATTATCTAGGGAAAGTCAATAGGCAATAAAGCAAAGTTATACGGCCCATGAAAAATAGATCTTTATTGTGATTTTGACTACTTAAAACATAAATGTATGTTAAACAAGAATTTAACTAACAATAATGTAATTAACTTTAATAAACATTAACATGAATTTAGAGATGTGTTGATGACCTTTGCTATTTTATAAACCTACCCAGAAACTTTTGAAGTGACACACATATTCAGTATCTATCTGTGTAGTATGTAAGTCATGTATAATGTTTTCTATTACCATCAGAGCTGCATCATCCGACATTATTTTAAGAAATAATTATTGTCATAAAATGAAATGGAGAAACAAACTGTATATTAATACAATGGTAAAATACACAGAAAAAACCTTCAAAGTACTGCTGCATATAACAACACAGACCCATCTATCTCACAGACATAATTATCAAAATAAACCAGGGAACAAAATATGTCAAGTTCAAGAATAGGTGAAGTTGGTCTATAAAGGTAGAATACAGAATATGGGAACTTCTTGGGAGAGTGGTGTTGCTGTTGACTAAAGAGTGTCACGAAAGAAACTTCTGGGTGTTGGAAATGTTCTGTACCTTGATCTGAGTGGTGACTGCAGACTGTGTTGCTCTCTGAAGATTTTTGCACTTTAAGTATGCTATCCATAGCGTAGGGTGAAGAAATGCGGGTATATTATAAACGGATAAAAAAAGAAATTCTGGGTATGATCGAGCAAAAACTCTACCAGATGACACCCCTACAGGAAAATTAAATGTAGACATAATTAAAGAAAAGCAAAAATCCCTGAAGGTGCTGTAGAATGAACAGAAGCAGATTGATCCTGGTAGGGAATGAAGAATCACTTGGAGGAGGGGAGATGGGGAGCGATACTAAGTAAGCGCCCATCTTGGTAGCTTTTTCCTTGGCACCAAGTGTAGCCTACACAGTGCCCATGTGGAAAAATTCATAGCCTCTCTAACTCAGGAAACAAGAAAAGCAAAGTCAAGAAATCCCAAATACTGAAGAGAGCTGGGGAAGTTCTGGAAACAAATGAACCAGAGAGGAGATCCCCAAACTGGATTCACTCACATCTTTGACCTAAATCATGCACGTGCAGCACAGACTCAGCAGCTCAAGTAAAGATGAAATATCTGGACTGGTATCAGACATGCTCAAGAAAGAAAAACTTGCATTTTAAGCCCAGCCAAGAAAATTCTGTGTAAAAGGAAGGCAAACAAAACTCACTGGAGAAAAAAAAAAATCCAGACTTTCCACTTAACATTTACGATGTCCAGGATACAATCTCAAGTTACCTGACATATAAAGAACTAAGAAAATGAAAAAAATTTCTCAAGAAAAAAATCAATTCATTGGAACACAAGAGGAACCAGATGTTGAAATTAACAGATAAGAATTTATAAGTAGTTATTATATATTCCCTCAATAAAGTAAAACAAAACTTTTGTGTACCAAATGAAAGTCTCAGGTGAGGAGTGATAAATCTCAACATATAAATACAAACACTAAAAAAAGGAAGTTCTAGAATGGAAACATACAATTTTGGAAATAATAGAGGCAATGTACTTAATAGCCATAACAGAACAAAAGGTAGGCAAACTTGAAGACTGACCGATAGAAATCATGTAAGGTGAAACACAGAGAAAAAGGTTGAGGATCACGAACAGAACCTCAGAGATCTGTTAGATGACATAAAATGGTCAAACATGTTTAATCGTAATACCAAAAGGAGAGAAAAGAAAGAAAAAGATGCAAAAAATATCTGAAGAAATAACCCACCTGAATTTACTAAATTTCATAAAAGCTAGACATTTTTCTTTCTTTTATGAAATTCAGGCAATTCGGAGGGGTTATAATTAATCACCCAGCCGAATTAATTTAAAGAAGCCCTATGAAAGAAGATCATCATGAAACTGTTTAAGTCTAATATGAAGAATAAATTTTAAAAATCAGCAAGAAAAAAATATTACATACGGAGTACCATGATTTCTCATCAGAACCAATGAAATTCTGAAGAGTGTACAGCAACACTTTAAAGTGGTAAAACATACAAACAAACAAACAAACAAAACACCACTGTCAACCCAGAAATCTATATTTAGCAAACATATTCGAGAACAAAAGCAAAATAAATATACTTTGAGATAAAAGAAAAATAAGATAATATATTGCCAGCAGACTTAAACATAAGAAAAGATAAAGGAAGTTCTTCAGGATGAAGAAAAATTAATCAGATTAAAAACTTTGATCCTAAAACTATAATAAAATAAAAACAAAGAAGGACACCAGGAATGGAAGGTATCTGGATAATAAAAAATATTATTTTTTCCACTTTTGAATATATGACAAAAAATTGAAACCAAGATCTGGAAGATATATTAGCGCCACCGACTTCATTGCAGCATTATTTACAATAGCCAAGAGGTGGAAGTAACCTAAATGTCCTTTGGCAAGCAAATGGATACAGAAATGTGGATACCTACAATGTTGTGGTTTTCTCTCAACTTACATAGAAACGATATAATAATTTAAATAAAAATTACATGTTATTGTGGAATTTGTAGTGTATGTTGATGTATAATATGATATGAAACTATAACATAAAAATGAGTGATACAGATCCATGTGTTGCAAGATTTCCATATTTTACATGGAATGGTACATTATTAACTGCAATGACTGTGGAAAGTTAAGGATGTGTATATCTCAATAGAACAATTCTTAATAGGGCAATCACTAATAAATTAATGCTAAGATCATAGCTAAAATAATGAACAGGTAAGTTAAAATCTAATTGTAAAAAATATTTGCATTAAATTCAGCCCAGGAGAAAAGAATTAGACCTGTAGGACAGGAGTTTCCTAATAATACAGCCCACATGAAGCACTGATTAGTGGAATCCTCTTTTTGACCAGTCTGGCCAAAGCGCACTGTGTCCTATCAGTTTAATACATTTCAAGTTTCAAGAAAAGAGCCAAGGATCACTAGGCAGTGAAAAGAGATTATAACATAAAGAACGATTTAGGTGAAACTGAGAATGTTATGAGGCAGTTACTTTACCACATGGTTCTGTTTCTGTTGTGGGCACCTCTATCTAACATACATGCTGGAAACAAAAGTTTGTTTCCATGTTTTTCATTGAAAAATTCTGGAAGCGACAATAAGTTAGGCTGAGCCTTCTCACATTTTTCTTTTGCCTCTTCTTTGTTGGTCTCCAAAGTAAATGCTTCTGATGGGGTTTTCAACTGTTGGCTGCAATTCAAAAGTGGACAATGGCAGCAGCTCTCTCAAGAAGAGTTTGGGAAAATGCCAGAGACATCAGCAACAGGGGGAAGCCTGTAGCTACAAACTTGACCATCTCATCCAGTGGCCACTCCAGGCTCAGCCTCCTGAGGTGGCGCCTGTGTGATGAGGCAGCAGGGCACCTGAGAGCATGTGCTTTGCAATTGCCTGTGTAAGGGATATGATATTGCTAAGTGTGGGGTGTGCAGTCATCGGGATGGAATCCCAGGATAGGCAGAATGAGGATGCAACAGCTTCAGGCAGCTGGTTCTGAGCGGAGGGTGCCTGTAGTTTCTGTCTTTAGGAGGATCAGTACTAAGAGCAAGAGATGATTCTCTAAATAACTCGTGAGGCTATGTGCCAGTATCTTGGTAATTATAAGGAGGCTTGCCCTTGATTGTGGATGGGACTTCAACTGGTGATGGTGCCAGGCTACTCTCCTGAAGTAGGTGGAATCCTGTGGCTTTACACTAACCTCTTAATAATGAGTCTTGGTGGCAAGAGGGAGTCCCGTGAGGCCAGGCCACCCATTAAATTGGTGTTGAATTTAGTTTGCTTACATGCATTGAAGGTTTTCCTTTTGTTGTTTGGAGTGGGATTAGAGATCCAAGTCTTGACTAGGATTGCTACACCAGCATAATAGTCTTTTATCACCGTGACAGATTTAGCGTTCATTCCTGGTTCATTACCCTAAACTGCTCTGGATTTGGTGTTAAATTTTTCTCCCTGTCATATCTCATTTTCCAAAATGTTTCAATCACATTATTACAATTCCTTTTGAGACTCCCAAAGTCCTCTAGAATAGTTGGAAAATGCATACAGCAGTAGAGTAGTATTACATCTTTGAAATTTGCAGGTAAAAGACTTCCATAGGAGGCGAGGTATGCTAATTTCTTGCTGTGTTGCTTTGGGCAAGTCATATGTGCTCTGACTTCATTATCTGTAAAATGGGAAAATGAAAACAGTTTTGGGAGCTTTGTGACTTCAACTACTTGACTTCAGCCTGCTACTCAGGCTGAAGACAACTTCTTTGTAAGTTGTCAAAAAGGTACTGGGCTTAATTCCAGGGTGATGGGTTGATCTGCGCAGCAAATCACCATGGCACAAGTTTCCCTACGTAACAAACCTACACATCCTGCACATGTACCCCAGAACTTAAAATAAAAGTTGAAAAAAAAGTACATGTGACTTTATTAACTGGCATGAAACAAAAACAAAAACAAAAACAAAAACAAAAACAAAAGGTGCTCTAACTCCAATACTTAGCTATTAACTATTTACTAATTACCAATGGTTAATAGTCTTTCATTATCTGTCTGCCAGGCAACTTAGCACTAACCAGTCAATTCTTTTGCCTCTGAAGGTATTATTTTCAATGGTTTTAATCAGTCCACCTACAACTGTGTTACTATCCACAGGGATATATTCTTAGGTGGTCCCCAAGAAATCTTTAGCAATTAAGCAGTCACTGTGTGCCAGGCACTATCCATGTCCAACCTATCAGCTAGGATTGCAATCTCTTCACCCACAAGACAATCAGTTGAGTCAGTCTCTAGTTCTTATTTTATGGTACTTTTGATTGGATCACATTTATTATCACTTGCATTGGTCCAAGTCCTCTGAAAAGCAGATATTAAGACAAGATTAGATATTTAACACCTGTCAGGGAAAATAGGGAGGGAGCTGAAAGAAGCCGAAAGAGCTAGCAAACTGGTCAGGCTGATGGAAAGACTGACAGAATTTTTGAGCCAAATTTTATGGGAGAAATCTCATGTCTAGCAGAAAAAGACCTGCTTTAATATCTCTGTTCTTTCTAGTCATTGGCTGGATGTAGTCTTTGGGAAGCATGGCCTCCATGCAAATATGGTAATTGATTTTAGAGTGCAGCATCAGGGGTGATTAATCTTTCACACTTCCTGAAGGGGTATATCTGAGAAATGACTTCCATGATCACCTTAAAGAACCTAAATATAATCTACTAATGTTTATTTCATTAAAAAAATTCTTTAGTATGTAATTTACTGTTTATAGCAAAGATTAGAACCACCTATTATAGGGTTCACAGCACGATAAAATACAATATACAATAATGATGGCATAAAGGATAGAAGGAGCAATGGAAGTATACTCTTTTGAGGTTCTTTATACCATGCATAAAGTATTAAAATATTAGTTGAAGATATTTTGATAAAGTTGCATATTGTCAATGCTACTAGAAACCATCTAATAAAATGAGATATAGTTAATAAGACAACAGAAGAGATGAAAAACAATACTAAAAGGTACTCAAATAAACCAAAAGAAGGCAAGAAAAGAGAAGAAAAAAGTAACAAAGACCAGACCAGATGGGACGGGTAGAAAACAAACGGCAAGAGTGTAGGCTTAACTCAATAATTACATTGAATATAAATAGTCTAAACATGCCAATTAAGAGACAGAAAAAGCCACACTGGATTAAAAAAAACCCAAAACTCAACTAAATGCAATTTAAATAAACCACATTTTATATATAAAGACAGATATTTTCTTTTAAAAAAGGTTGGGAAAAGAAACACTGTATAAGAACTAATAAAATCTGGAATATCTATATTAATTTCTGACACAGTAGACTTCAGAATTTGGAATATTAACAAAGATCATCACAGATATTTCATAACAATTCAAGTATCAATTTACCAAAAATACACAATTTTAAATGTGTACCCAACTAATAACAGAACTTCAAATACATAAAGCAAATATTGACAGAACTGAAAAAAGACAGAACAATTCATCATTGAAGTTGAATATTTTAACATTCTTCTTTTAGTGCAAGGAGACAGAAAAGTATTATGGACATAGAAGACTTAAATAACACTATCAACTTACAGGAACAAAATGACATTTATAGAACATCTTACTCAACAACAATAGAATAGAGATTTTTTTCAAGTACCAATGGAAAATTCACCAAGATAGACCATATGCTGAGAGATTAAACAAGTTTCAATAAATTTAGAAGTACTGAAACACACAGAATATGTTCTCTGACTACTGTGGAATTAAATTAGAAACTAGAACAGATCTCTGTAAAATCTCTAAATATTTGGAAATTGAACTACACATTTCTAAATAACCCAATTATTGAAAAAGAAATGATGATAGAAGTTAGAAAATATTTTCTAAATGAATAAAAATGAAAAAAATGCTAGGGCTTGTATGATTCAGCTAAAGCAGTTTTTCAAGATAAATTTATAATTTAAAATTTTCATAGTAGAGAGGAAAAGTTTAAAATCAATAACTCATGACCCTCCTTGTAAAAACCTAGAAACAGAATAGCAAATTGAACCTAAAGTAAAAGGAAAGAAATTATAAGGGTGAAGTATAAATTAATGAAATAGAAGATTAACAATTAATACAGAAAAATCAATGAAAACAGAATGTAGCTCTTGTAAAAAGTCAGTAAAATTTTAATTTTGTAATTAATAAAATTTAGGTCAATCAAGAAAAAGATCTAAAACTAAAATTAATAATATCAAGAATGAAAGGGTCAATCACTACAGATCCTACAGATTGTGTGTGTGTGTGTATATATATAATATAAAAAACTTTATGCCAATAAAGTTGACAATTTAGAAGAACTAGAAAATTCATTGAAAGATGCTAATTATTAAGATTTACAAAAGAGGAAATAGAAACTCTGAACACTTTTTTTTTTTTTTATTCTTATACTTTAAGTTTTAGGGTACATGTGCACAATGTGCAGGTTAGTTACATATGTATACATGTGCCATGCTGGTGTGCTGCACCCACTAACTCGTCATCTAGCATTAGGTATATCTCCCAATGCTATCCCTCCCCGCTCCCCCCACCCCACAACAGTCCCCAGAGTGTGATGTTCCCCCTCCTGTGTCCATATGTTCTCATTGTTCAATTTCCACCTATGAGTGAGAATATGCAGTGTTTGGTTTTTTGTTCTTGCGATAGTTTACTGAGAATCATGATTTCCAATTTCATCCATGTCCCTACAAAGGACATGAACTCATCATTTTTTATGGCTGCATAGTATTCCATGGTGTACATGTGCCACATTTTCTTAATCCAGTCTATCATTGTTGGACATTTGGGTTGGTTCCAAGTCTTTCCTATTGTGAATAGTGCCGCAATAAACATACGTGTGCATGTGTCTTTATAGCAGCGTGATTTACAGTCCTTTGGGTATATACCCAGTAATGGGATGGCTGGGTCAAATGGTATTTCTAGTTCTAGATCCCTGAGGAATCGCCACACTGACTTCCACAAGGGTTGAACTAGTTTACAGTCCCACCAACAGTGTGAAAGTGTTCCTATTTCTCCACATCCTCTCCAGCACCTGTTGTTTCCTGACTATTTAGTGATTGCCATTCTAACTGGTGTGAGATGATATCTCATTGTGGTTTTGATTTGCATTTCTCTGATGGCCAGTGATGGTGAGCATTTTTTCATGTGTTTTTTGGCTGCATAAATGTCTTCTTTTGAGAAGTGTCTGTTCATGTCCCTCACCCACTTTTTGATGGGGTTGTTTGTTTTTTTCTTGTAAATTTGTTTGAGTTCATTGTAGATTCTGGATATTAGCCCTTTGTCAGATGAGTAGGTTGTGAAAATTTTCTCCCATTTTGTGGGTTGCCTGTTCACTCTGATGTGAAAATGGCCATACTGCCCAAGGTGATTTATAGATTCAATGCCATCCCCATCAAGCTACCAATGACTTTCTTCACAGAATTGGAAAAAACTACTTTAAAGTTCATATGGAACCGAAAAAGAGCCCGTATTGCCAAGTCAATCCTAAGCCAAAAGAACAAAGCTAGAGGCATCACACTACCTGACTTCAAACTATACTACAAGACTACAGTAACCAAAACAGCATGGTACTGGTATCAAAACAGAGATATAGATCAATGGAACAGAACACAGCCCTCAGAAATAACGCTGCATATCTACAACTATCTGATCTTTGACAAACCTGAGAAAAACAAGCAATGGGGAAAGGATTCCCTATTTAATAAATGGTGCTGGGAAAACTGGCTAGCCATATGTAAAAAGCTGAAACTGGATCCCTTCCTTACACCTTATACAAAAATCAATTCAAGATGGATTAAAGACTTAAACATTAGACCTAAAACCCTAAAAACCCTAGAAGAAAACCTAGGCATTACCATTCAGGACATAGGCATGGGCAAGGACTTCATGTCTAAAACACCAAAAGCAATGGCAACAAAAGCCAAAATTGACAAATGGGATCTAATTAAACTAAAGAGCTTCTGCACAGCAAATGAACACTTCTTAATGGATTAAAAAATACAGTTTGTTCTTAAAGTGCTTTACAAAAGAAATTTCAAGCCAAGATGGCTTCAATGATGAATTGTTCCAAACATTTAAGGTCAAAGTGTAGATAAATAGTGATATGGAAGAAGAAAATTAGACTGCAAGGGTACAAGTTACTTAAAGTCATTTTCAGTTCTTTTTTATCCTCTTGAATGCACAGAAATATTAGTTATGCTCACTCTTGAAATTCTCTTTTTTTGGCCTCTGTAAATTCCATAAATTCAAGAAATACTAAAAGAATATTCACAAAACTCAAATTTTATACCTTATGCACATCTGCAAGCATGTTATTACTATATCTGGTTTTCAGATAGAAACGCTATGTCTCCATGATGTTAAATAAATTTTCCAAATTCATACAGCTATGGAGTTGGAATTTGACTCCAGGTCTGTTTGTTTCTAAATCTTGCTCTCAGTTGTTCCACTTGGTTTTTCTGACATTCCCATTGGTCAATTTCCTTCTCCCGTTTTCTAACTGTGGGTATTTTTGGAAGGGCTTAGTTCTTAATCCTTGACTATTCTGTCTTTAAATATTTCTGCTTGGAAAAATTCATCATTCTTTTGGGTTCACCTATGTTTAGCTGATTCCCTAATTTGTATTTTGACTCCTTTTCTCCCTCCTTCATTGCTGTTTTTTTAAAAACTTATCATTCCTTTTGAAGGGTTCGAGCAGCATTTTGTCATGTAGACTGAAATTTAGCTTCTTATCTTCCTCATTCCTTATTTGTTCATTTTCTGCCATCCTACTCAAACTTCCCTCATCTTAAAATTTTGGTCAGGTTTCACTTGTGCTTTTTTTCCTTTCTGTCCTTCTCCAAACCATAGAGATATTAAATCCTGTTTCTTCATGATGTCATCACTTGATTCTGTTTTTGCTTTACTATTTCTACTGCTTGTGGAACCACCTTAACTGATCTTCCTGCCTTAAGTCTCTCTCTGTTTTAGCTGATCCTGTGTACCATGGCAGTTTAAAATATTCCTTTCATCCACGGGCATAGATTTGAACATAATAATAGCAACCTAATACTTTTTAATACCTTCTGTGTTGCATGTTCTACATACTAGAAAGTGCAACATTTATGATTATTATCCCCATTTTAAGATAAGTAATTTAAAGCTCAGAAGAGGTTAAACATTTTCAATGTCACACACCTAGTAAGCAGCAGAGCAAGTAATCATAGAAGTTGGTTAGATCCTAAAGTTTATGCTCTGAACGCACACAGAAATCATGCAATTTGTGACCTAAGTGGAATAGATTTCATAGTGAAAAGGATTGTTACTAGTAATTTTTCTGGGACAATAGATCTAAAAGTGGAGGATCCCAAACAAACCAGGACTAGTAACACCATATTAATACGACACTCTACTTCCTCTCCAATAAAACTGGGAAGGTTAGACAGATGTCTATTTTGGGGACAAAGGTGATATGTTAATCTTTGTACTTGTTGAGTTCAGGGTGACAACGAGCATGATACTGGAACATTCTGCTAGAGAGGCCATATACACAGGACAGGGAATTAACAGAAAGGTAAGAGCAAATTTAGGTACTAACCATGTAGAGAATGTTTTCAAAGTCATGAGATGAGATGACCAAACATTTAAGAAGCAAGAGGCAGAGATGATTGAGAACTGGTCACTGGGAATTTTGAAACATTGAGTGGGTAAGGAGGATAAAGAGACAGAATGGGAGATGACTCTATTAGACTGTAAATCTCTTTAGGAAGTCAACGATTTCTTTTGCATCCTTTATTAGCATTTTAATATGCCACACACACATATTGAAGACTAATATACCATTAAGTATAATTGCAAACCACATGACTTCTGGTAGATACGTCTAATTTTGTGCCCATCCTTAGATCCTAACTGAAATCATTTCATATGCAGACATTTCAGCTGCCATCTTTTCTCTCTGGACAGGCTTTCATGTGTTTTTTGTTGAAATTGTGGCTTATTCCTACATTTCTTTTATGTGGAGTGAAGGATACTGCCTTTACCACCACCCTTGTGCTGTTTGACGGTCTACAAGACACTTGAAGGTTAATGCATGTGCCATATACACAAAGCACATTGTACATATGCTTACCACATGAGTATGTTATAATCCATGTCTCATATATATTTTAATAATGTTAATGTTAGCAATAAATAGAACAAAGAATCCATTATACAGAGATTCAAGCTTTGGAAAAACGGACAGTTCTGCATCAAAAGTAAATTAAGCAAGAATATTTATTTCTATGCTTCTCTGTGCTTATATTGGAGTAAATCAACAGTGAAAATGGTTTGAAGAAACCCTGGTTCATTTGAAATAAAACGCTGATGCATTTGAAATGAAGTTCCCATGGAAACCATCTCTGAAGTGACAAAAACCTCAGAAGAACTTTCCTGGTGTGGCATCAGGAATACAAGAACCCTCTAAATCTTCTAAAGGAAAGTAAATGTTAAATGAACCCCTAAGGTCCTCTTTGCCCTTTGGGTCTCAAGACCCAATATCTTAAGCCAAATTATTGGCTCTAAGGAAGAGAATTATGAAAATAGTAAGAAGATAAAGGGGCGAGAGACCTTGTTGAGGATTCAGATAATCACAAGTCACACAATGTTGGTTAATGACTGAGACTGGTATGAAGGCTAAAAAAGCTTTGTGTAGCAACTTGCATTATTTTAATTTTAATTTTTATTATTATTAATTTTTTGATAATGAATTGTTTTTCTCTATTTCTTAAGTGTGCATAATGGGATTGAGAGCAAGGATTGGGATTCATTAGAACTACTCTGGGACGTGGACAGTTCCAAGTGTACATTGACCAATGAGACATTATCATTCCTGAGACTGAGCTGAGGGTGAGCAAGTCTTCACTCATACATGTGCACATCTGGCCTGTGTGCAGTGGACTTGCCTGGAAGAAGACTTCTGCCTTTGTGTTATGATTTCATAGCTTCTCCAAGAGGACTGTAGCCTTTAACTCTGACTAAAAACATGTATAACCCGTCTGCTAACTGAAGCTTGAATTTCCCCATATAGAGATTTATTTCTTGGCTATGAAATCTGTCATCTTTAATATATAGAAGTCCATAGTAAGGGCTATAAAATGCAAGTTGCTACACAAAGCTTTTTTAGCCTTCATACCAGTCTCAGTCATTAACCAATATTGTGTGACTTGTGATTATCTGAATCCTCAACAGTTCTCTTGCCCCTTTATCTTCTTACTATTTTCATAATTTTCTTCCGTAGAGCCAGTAATTTGGCTTAAGATATTGCATTTACAGTGCAGGATAAAAATGTGATGCCTTGGAGGGTTGCTGGTTAAGCCATGAGTGCCTAATGTTTTAGAAGAGTAACTGATCTTATCAAGTAAACACTTTTCAAATCTCTTCTGAGTCATTGCTGAAATGTCAGATTACTCTATTTAAAATTAAATCTGTGCCCCTTCCTTTTCTACCCCTCTCCCTGGCTTTTTTTTTTTCCTAGCACTTTTGATTTTACATGTTTTTTTTCTTTCATTTATATCTTTTTTTTTTGTCTTCTCCCACTTGAATGCAAACTTCATGAGGGCAAGAATTTGCTTTTTTTTTTTTCCCCCAACTAAGAACTTAGAAGAGTTTCTGGGACATAGTAGATGCTCGATATGTATTTGCTGAAGGAATATTATTTTTGTTTACGTCTTTCTTCAAGTCCCCATTATCTGACATATTAGCTGTGGGGTCCCTTCCCTGGCCTTCACATCTTGACAAAAATTGATATTAGTTATCTAATTAGTATTTGTTTTTAATTATCAAGCTTAATTTGCATGAACAGGTAGTGCAGGAAAACCAGGGAAGATTTCTTTATTTTTTTAGCTTGGAAAAGTTTGTATAAATTTTGGTAAATATTGGATGTGAGTGGAATAATGACTCTTCTCCTGTGAAGCCCAGCACTCCCTAATTTGACCTTTCCTGGCTCTAACACTTTCTACCTTTGTCTTATTCCACATATGTTGCTGTGAAAGAATACCTGAGACTGGGTAATTCATGAAGAAAAGACTTTTACTTGGCTTACTGTTCTGCAGGCTGTTCAAGACGCATGGTGCCAGCATCTACTTCTCGTGAGGACCTCAGGGAGCTTCCACCCATGGCAAAAAGCCAGGGGAACTGGTACGGAGAGATCACATGGCAATAGGGAGGAAGCGAGAGGAAAGAGAGGTGCTAATATGAGAACTAATAGAGTGAGGATTCATTCATTACCACTAGGGTGGCACTGCCCCTGTATCTCAAACTCTCCTCTTAGGCTCCACCTCCATCATTGGGGATCAAATTTCAACATGAGGTTTGGAAGGTCAAGTATCCAAACTATAGCAGCCATCCTTTAAGACTGCTTGTTTTTATCTATCAAGAATCTCATGAGATCTTTGTAAGTAAAAATCCTGCTTCAGAGAATTCATTATCACTCACAGGGAGGTAGTACAGCCAGTGGAAAAGACCATGAAAATTGGAGTTAGACAGATCAGGGTTTGACTTAAGATTCTGGAATCTGTTAGCTGTGTGTGTTTTCTCACTTTTAAAGCGGAGATTAACATGTCTAATTTATGAGGTTGTTGTGAGAAATAAATGAGGTAAAATCATTTGTACATTGGTTTTGGATTCTTGGTGTCTGTATGAAGGTGCTGGGTTGGATACAGTATTTGGTATACAGTAAGTGCTCAATACAAGGTAGCAAGCATTGGTTTTTCCCATAGAGCCTTGTCCTTATTTGTGCTTAAAAAGATGTAACCTAAATGAAAGAATAGGTTAAAAGTATGATACATACATTAAAGTATGTATGATACATACATAAAGTATGATACATACATTAAAAGTATGATCAAGAGTGTAAACAAACATTTCCTTTTCCTCAGGGAACTTGGTCTCTGGCAATGGCCCTGAGGGAGGCTCTGTAGCCACTCCGAGGTCTGTACTCCAGAATAAAACTCTCCAGACGCCTGTTATCCACGGTGTTAGGAAAGACTGCTGTCTCATTCCTGGAAGCTGGGCAGAAGCCTTGGGGCAAAGTCACAATCAGAGATCGTTTTCTTCAGCTCTGCAAGAGAACCAAGATTCTCAAAGAGAATAAGGATTCTCAAGGTGGAGAAGCAGAAGCAGAGGGGCCTGGGCTCCAAGTTGTCACATTCTTTTCAGCAGGGCCACTGGGTTTCCGTGAAAGAGATGGGCAACGGGCAGTAGAGAGCAGCACCATGGCTCCAAGCTGAAGGGGGTGAGTGCCTGTCTGAGCCACTGGGTGCCACAGCCACTGGGTGCCACAGCAGAGTGGTTAAAAGAAAGCTCAGACCACTCTCAGCTGTCAGAGCCCCGGCTTGTCACTGAAGGCTCAGTGTCAACTGTGAGAAGATAAGAGGAGTAATTTCGATGTTCCTGTGAAGCGCACACTAACTCATATCATTGTTCCTACCTTCAATCTGCATTTATTTAATGATGAGTCATGTTGATAATATTTCCTGTGTCCATTGGTATTTTTTTTTCTATAGCACTGTGGATATTTTCCTCTGTAATTGAGTATCATTTAATTACAAGTTTTAAATGGTTAATTTGTGTTAAAAAAAAAAAAAAACAACTAAAAACCAAGTGAACATTGAGATTATACAGTGGAAAATAAAGTCTTTATCCCTGCCACCCCCCCCACCCCACCCCCACAAAAATGCTCAGACCAGGGGAGTCAGACCGCAGAGCTCTCCTGCTGCGGCAACTCTATAGCCCTGGGACTTTGTGCAGGTAACCCAGACAGGGATGAGTGTAACGCCACACAGCGTTTAGAACAGTGCCTATCCCATAGTTAGTGCTCAGTAAATGTTTCTTTTCTTCTCCCTCCCACTACCTTAATTTCCATTAACCTCCCGGTGTGTGTAGCCTTTCTCTCTTTCTGAGTGACTCTTTCTTTTTCTCTCACAGACAGTCCTAGAGGAGAATGCCTGCCAAGAACTCCTCCTCCGTGACAGCGTTTATCCTCTCAGGCTTAACCGACCAGCCGGGACTCCAGATCCCCGCCTTCTTCCTGTTTCTAGGTTTCTACGCGGTCACGGTGGTGGGGAACCTGGGCTTGATAATCCTGATAGGGCTCAACTCTCGCCTGCATATCCCCATGTACTTTTTCCCCTTCAACTTGTCCTTCATAGATTTTAGTTATTCCACTACCCTCGCCCCTAAAATGCTGATGAGCTTTGTCTCAGAGAACATCATTTCCTATGCAGGGTGTATGACTCAGCTTTTTTTCTTCTGTTTCTTTGTCTTTTCTGAATCCTATATTCTATCAGCGATGGCGTATGACCGCTACGTGGGCATCTGTAACCCACTGTTGTACACGGTCACCATGTCTCCCCAGATGTGTTTGCTCCTTTTACTGGGTGTCTATGGGATGGGGATTTTGGGGCTGTGGCTCATATGGGAAACATAATGTTTATGTCCTTTTGTGGAGACAACCTTGTCAATCACTATATGTGTGACATCCTTCCTCTCCTTGAGCTCTCCTGCAACAGCTCTTACATAAATTTGCTGGTGGTTTTTATTATTGTGACCGTTGGCATTGGGGTGCCGATTGTCACCATTTTTCTCTCTTATGGTTTTATTCTTTCCAGCATTCTCCACATTAGTTCCACAGAGGGCAGGTCTAAAGCCTTCAGTACCTGCAGTTCCCACATAATTGTGGTATCGCTTTTCTTTGGGTCAGGTGCTTTCATGTACCTCAAACCACCTTCTATTCTACCCCTGGACCAGGGGAAAGTGTCCTCCATTTTTTGTACTGCTGTGGTGCCCATGTTTAACCCATTAATCTACAGCCTGAGGAATAAAGATGTCAAAGTTGCCCTGAGGAGAACCTTTTGCAGAAAATTAGTCTCTTAAAAATGAATGAGAAAGGGAATCCAAACCTTTGTTAATCAGGGGGTTTCTTTTCTTTTTTTCAGTGAGGGAACAAATGCCACTGCTTTCTCTCCTATACTTAGAGAAAAATTTTAAATGTATTCTTAAGTGCACTTACACCCTGCACTGCTTATCCACACCAACTATTCCAATTGTTATTTTATGAGAATAGTTTCTACTGTTATACAGGGTTTAATCTTGAATAGGCTTATGAAATCATTTACTCCAGTCTCCTCATGCAATACATCACACTCAAAAATATTTTGTAGGCTGCCAAAGGACACACATGTACCTGATGCCAGAGCTGAAACTAGAGTCCAGGCTCTTGAATTTTAATACAATCTGCTGTGTTTTTCTTCAGCTACACTTCCTTGTTCCATCGTTTCCCTGACTGATTTCATTTAAAATTTTTTTTTTTGCATTTAAAGATATCTAATTATATTCATAGTGATGTCATGCAACTTTTCAAAGGTTAATTTTTGGAATAACATTTTTGCAAGAGTGTTGGAAGTGAAAAATGTGGTTGATGTGGTCTTGACAAAAAGATAAGAGAAAATTTTAAAGAATTTTGGGGTGTGTGAGTGAGAAGTAGATTAGGTTCCTTATAGAATCAAGGATGGTGCCCATGGAGATGGTATAGAGCCTTGAGTGAAGGCTTACAATAGAAGGCCTTCTAAGGGAGAGATAAACAGAGTTGAGGGAGTTAAATTTGTTAGATACAAGCTTTATTCTTCATCTGAAGATTAACGGAGACAGAATTTGGAGCCTCACCTCAAAGGTCTGAATAATGTAAATTAGTAATAGACAGCTCTGGATAAGTGAGCCATTAGAACCACGGCAGCCAACTAGTTGTTAGGGGAGGCAATTGCCATTATATAGTTAAGACATTGCATATATCTGTGACCTTCTATTAATAACAATAGGGCATAAAGGGAAGGGACGGTGGTCTTAGGAGAGGTCATATATTCACAGCATTGGGTAAGTGGAAGTACAACTTTGTATAACGAATGAGAGTAATTTTTTTGATCTGAATACATTAGTAATGGTAACAATTATTTCAGAAGTCATGGCATATGAACTGTCTGGAAGATAGTTTAATTTACAAACTTTGAAAAGTTATCTTCTATTAGAAAAAGGGGAAGTTCGGATTAATGTTTAGCTTTCTTCCTTTGGAATCTTTTGGTTTAACGAGGATAGAATTCAGGAAATGAAAGTGTAGGGGAGGGTTGTGTTTTGATGCTAAGGGAGATGAATGATGATGAAATTCAAGACACATGGATTGAGGGTGCACTGGGAATGGTGGAGAATCAGTACAATGAAAACACCCTACTCCTTCTTAAATTGAAATATAAATTTTACAGTGAAGTGCACAAACATTAACTGCTCGATGATTTTTTTTCACATTTATAAGGCTATGATTACTTACCTCCACCCAAATGAAAATATAGCAGATTTTTTATCATTTCAGGGTACTCCTGCCTGCCCTTTCCCAGTAATTACTACTCCCCATGCTCTTCCTGGAAATATTCACTATTCTTACTTTATCATCACAGTTTCATTTTTCTCGTGCTTGAACTTCATATAAATGTTAAATAGTGCATTTACTTTCTTACGTTTCACTTAACATAGAGAGTCATGTGAGATTCATCCATAACAGTTTTCTTGGTTATTGCTGTTTATTTTAGTATTCCATTGTAAGAATGTAGAGCAATTTGCTTATCAATATCTTCTTTATGGACATTTGCCTTGTTTTCAATTTCTACATGTTATTAATAAAGCTGTTATAAACATTCCTTTTTTTTTTTTTTTGAGACATAGTCTCGCACTGTTGCCCAGGCTGGAGTGCAATGGCACGATCTCGGCTCACTGCAACCTCCACTTCCCGGGTTCAAATCATTCTCCTGCCTCAGCCTCCAAAGTAGGTGGGATTACAGGCACCCACCACCACACACAGCCAATTTGTGTATTTTTAGTAGAGACAGGGTTTCACCATGTTGCCCAGGCTGGCCTCCAACTTCTGACCTCGTGATCTGTCTGCTTCGGCCTCCCAAAGTGCTGGGATTACAGGCATAAGCCACCATGCCTGGCCTATAAACATTCTTGAACATGTATTTTGCTGGAAATATACACTTATTTTTGTTTGGGTATATACCTAGATGTAGATTTTATGGGTCACAAGGTAGGCATATGTTTAGGCTTCTAAATGCTATCAAATTGTCTTCCAAAATATTTAAACTGATTTGCACTCCCATCAATAAATTCCAGAAAAGGATACTCTTCATCCTTATTTTCAGTATTTTTCATTTTAATTACTCCGTTGGGTGTGTAGTACAGTATTGCTTTAGTCTTTTAGATATTTCCCTGATAAATAATGATTTTTTTTTTTTTGACGGAGTCTTGCTCTGTCGCCTAGGCTGGAGTGCAGTGGCATGATCTCGGCTCACAGCAACCTTCACCTTCCAGGTTCAAGCAATTCTCCTGCCTTAGCCTCCCGAGTAGCTGGGGTAACAGGAGCCTGCCACCACACCTGGCTAATTTTTGTAGTTTTACTAGAGACGGGGTTTCACTATGTTGGCCAGGCTGGCCTCGAACTCCTGACCTTTTCTTAACAGACAAAGTCTTGCTCTGTTGTCAGGCTGGAGTGCGATGGTGTGATCATGGCTCACTGGAGCTTTGAACTCCTGGGCTCAAGCTATCTTCCTGTCTCAGCCTGCTGAGCAACTGGAACTATAGGTACATGCCACCACACCTGGCCACTTTTTCTATTTTTTGTAGAGATGAGGTCTCACTATGTTACCCAGGCTGTTACCAAATACCTGGGCTCAAGTGATCCTCTCATCTTGGCCTCCCAAAGTGTTGGGATTACAGGTGTGAGCCACCACACCCAGCCTTGTTGGGCACTTTTTATATGTTCATTAGCTATTTGGACATCACCATTTGTGAAGTGCCTGTTCAAGTCATTTGGCTACTTAAAAATAGTGTTGTTGCTGGGCACGGTGGCTCACACCTGTAATCCCAGCACTTTGGGAGGCCAAGATAGGCGGATCAAGAGGTCAGGAGATCGAGACCATCCTGGCTAATATGATGAAACCCCGTCTCTACTAAAAATACAAAAAAATTAGCCTGGTGTGGTGGTGGGCACCTGTAGTCCCAGCTACTTGGGAGGCTGAGGCAGGAGAATGGCATGAACCCAGAAGGCGGAGGTTGCAGTGAGCCGAGATCGCGCCACTGCACTCCAGCCTGGGCGACAGAGTGAGACTCCATCTCAAAAAAAAAAAAAAAAAGTGTTGTTATTCTTTTTTCTTATTGATTAGTTTTTTAAAACGTATAATCTGGATATGAGTACTTTTTCAGACACACACATTGCAGTTATCTTTACTCAGTCTCTGGCTTGCCCCATGACTACTCATTAATTATGTCCTTTGATAATGATATTTCAATTTCAATTTGAATAAAGTTCATTTGTCCACTTCTTTTACTGTTCATGCTTTCTTCTGTTTAATTTTTTTCCTACTACATAGTCACAAAGTCATTCTCAGGTTTTCCTTTGAAAGCTTCATGATTTTTCCTTTAAAATTTAGATTTTAGATCAATTTTAAATCAGTTATCATGTATGGTGTGCAGTTGTTTTATTTCTTTCATAAAGATATTAAGTTGCATCAGCATCATTTATTGAAAAGACCTTCTCTCCTCCCTGAATTGTATTGGCTATATTTGTACGTGTGTATTTGAAGATCAAGTGACAATAATTTAGTGGGACTAATTTGAGAGAAGTTGACATGGAGCCAAAGTGCTGTATTCTCCCATTACAATGGTGAATAGTAATGAGGAAAACAGACATGCTTTTCTTGTTTCGAAGTGGAATTTCATACCTTTCATACCTTTTACTTTATTTTAAATAACTTTTTAAAATTTAATTTTCAATTATTAGTAGTATGTAGTAGCACAGTTGTTTTTTGTATACTGAATTTGTATCTAGCATCTTTGTTATTTCACTTATGAAATCTAATTGTTAGCTAAACTCGACAAAAGAGAAACTAAGAATTTGTACTTTGTTTTTTCTGTATATACTCATGTAATCTGCAAATAAAGACAGGTTTGATTCTTCCTTAATGGTCTTTATACCTTTTATCTATTTTATTTTTTTCAGTGTCCTGTCTAAGACTTCCAATACAATGATTAATAGAGATGAGAATGGATGACCCTGTCTTGTTTCTGACCTTAGGGTAAAGGCATTAAGGCTTTCACTGTTGAATAAGATGTTTGCTGTAGGATTTGTTTTCTTCTGCAGATGGCAGTAATTAGATTATGGGTGGGTGATTAACAGCTTCCACTTAAGAAGGAATACATTTTTCTTGAGAATACATGTCATGGTAAAAAATTAAACAGTACAAAAAAGTATACAGTAGAAATAAGGTTTCCTTTCACATCAGTTCACCCATGCTTATGTTCTTCCTCCTGGATGCAACTATTCCCAGAAATAGAATAGGTATACACAAGCATATCTCTGTACCTTCTATCTATCTACCTACATATTTATGTATCTAGAGACCCTTTTTTGTTTTGAAATTTAATAAAAGGGGATTTAGGGATGTATCTTCCAATGGAAATGACTTAAAGAGGAGGGAGCATAGGATATTATTAGGCAACAAGAAGAGAAATCAAACACAGAAGAGGCATGGGTTAGAGAATGAACAGGACAGAAGAGGATAGAGGAGAGGAGAGGAAGCAACACAGATAACCCATGGTAATTTCAACTCTGGCAACATTTTGGTTTCTTCTGATTTTCCACCTCCACCCCGTGATTTGATCACCTGTATCTTTGCTTGATTGTTGCTGTCCCGGAGGAAGAGACATTGAGCTCTTAAGATACCAAAATGGCAAACATTTTCAATTCAACAAACACTTATGTATTAACTTACATATCTGTTTTAAAAAATAAGAGATGGTTTGAGCTCAGAGAGGTTGGAAGTTATAACTCTTATCCTCACAAGTAAAAAGCCAAACAAACTCAAAATCAACCACTTTTCTTAGAGCCATCAGAGAATTGAGGTCACAGAACAAACTGACTCCCTGAAAACTGCAGGAAGAAGTGAGAAGAGAATAACTGCTTATCCAGAGCAGAAGCTACTGGAGTTAGTATGCATGTGTGTACATATCTATATGAACACAGAACACTTGAGAGGTAGTTGATGAATTGCTGGAGTCTGAGTGTGGACCAGCTTGAAAGGTAAAAACTCCAGGGAACCCAGTCTTGGTGGGGGAGTCCCCATACTGTTGGGAGTTCTACCTCCAGGAGACCCACCGGGTTTTCATGGTGAAGATCAGAGTCTAGTTCCACTAGTGTTGGACAGGGAGAGGGGAAAAGGAACCATTTCAAAATACACTCAGAGCTTTTTGTTCTCACTTAACCTCCCAGAAAACCATACTTCAGTCTACACAATATTGGGGAAGTGAAATTCCTAACTTCAGTCCCCTCCCGCTCCCTCTAGTCTGTCTCACCTAAGGAGTAGAAAGAGCTGAGAAGCACTTGTGAAGGTCACAGCCCCAGGGAATAGGCCAACAAAAAGGCCGAGACTTAATCACAGCAATAGAGAATGTTTTGTCTCCCACCCACACTTTACTATCACATCCATTAATCTCCTGTATAAAAACAGGGGGTTAAAGCACAGCTCAGACTCTGTTTAAGAGAGTTTCTAGGGAAATCCTGAGACAACATGAGGAGACAAGATGGTACTAGAGAAAGTTGAAGCTTTAGACACCTACAGCTACAGTAAACAGTAAACAGTAAACAGACAAAACAAGCAACCATACTAAGGTATAAGGGAGGATGTTGGAATGATCAGACTGGGAATTTAAAACAGCTATGATTAATACGCTCAGGGCTCTAATAAAAATAGCAGACATCTGGCAAGAACAGATGAGCAATGTAAGCAGTGAGATGGAAACTTCTAAGAAAGAATCAAAAGGAAATACTTAAAAAAACAAAAACCACTGTAAGAGAAATGAAAAATGCCTTTGATAGACTCATAAGTAGACTGGGTATGGTAGAGGAAAGCATCAGTGGTCCTAAAGATATGTTAACTGACATTTCCCAAACAGAAATGTCAAGAGAAAATAGAATGAAAAAAATGGAACAGAATACGCAAGAATTGTGGGACAATTATAAAAGGCATGACATATGCATAATAAAAATACTAGAAGAGAGAAAAAAATAAAAAATCCAGAAGAAATATTTAAAATAATAACGGCTAAGAATTTTCTAAAATTAATAACAGACATCAAAACTATACATCTAAGAACCTCACTAAACAGTAAGCAGGATAAATATTAAGAAGTCTACACCTAGCCATATCATATTCAAATGGCAGAAAACCAGACAAAAAAAAATCTTGAAAGAAGCCAGAGGAAAAATACCCATCTTACTTGTATGATCTTATCTATAAAAGAATAAGGATAAGAATTACATTAGACTTCTATTCAGAAACCTTGCAAGCAAGAAGAGAGTGAAGTAACAGATTTAAAGTGCTGGAAAAACAACAACAGCAACAACAACAATTCACCAACCTAGAGTTTTGTATCTGGTGAAATTATCCTTCAAATGTAACGGAGAGTTAGGTAAAAACTTTTTCTGACAAACAAAAGCTGAGAGAATTTGTTGCTGGTACAGCTGTCATGCAAGAAAGGAGTTCTTCAGAAAGAAGATCTACATAAAAAAAGGGAAGTCATTAGAGCAGGAATAAGTGAAAGTCAAATAAACTCCTTTTTCTTAGTCTTAATTAATCTAACAGAGAAATGATTGCTAAAATGATAATAGCACTAACATATTGGGTAACCATAGCTTATGAATAGGTGAAATTAATGACAGCAATGTTATAAGGGATGGAAGGGAGGGATTGGGCATACTCTGTTATAAAGTACCTGCACTACCCAGGATGTGATATGGTGTTATTTGAAAGTAGACTTTTATTAGTTGTAAATGCACATTGCAAACTTTAGAGTACCCACTAAAAATTTTTTAAAAGTATAATTGATCAGCTAACAAGGGAGAAAAAGATAGAATCAATATAAAATTCTTCATTAAGACCAGAGAAGTTTAAAGAAAAAAAAAAGACAAGATCTTATCAATAGATGCACAGAAAACACTTGACAAAATCCCAAACCCATTCATGAAAGAACTTCCTGAAAAACTATGAATAAGGGGAAGTTTTGTGTCTGATAAAGAACCTCTACAAAAAAAACCTACTGATAGCATCATATTTATTGGTGAGAAACTAGGTGCTTTCTTCCTATAATCAGAACAAAGACAGGATGCTGCTTCTCACCACTCCCATTTAACATGGTATTGGAAGTCCTGGCTAATGCAATAGTAAAAGAAAATGATGTAAACAGTATACAGATTGGGAAGGAAGAAATAAAACTTTGTTTGCAGCTGACATAAATGTCTGTGTTGAAAATCGCAAAGAATGAACATAAAAAAACCCATGGAACCAATAAGCAATTATAACTAGTTTCAGGAGACAAGGTTACTATAAAAATAGAAAAAAAATATAAAAAGTTAATTGCTTTCATGTATACCAGCAATGGATAAATGGAATTTGAAATTAAAAACACAAAACAATTCACACTAACACTTGAAGTGTTTAGGAATAAATCTTACAAAATATGTACAAAATCTCTATGAGGAAAACTACGAAACTCTGATGAAACAAATGAAAGATCTACATAAAGAGCTATTCTATATTCATGACTAGAAAGACACAACATTGCTAAGATTTAAGTTCCTTCCAACAGATTTATAGATTCAATGCAATCACGAAATCCCAGCAAGTTATTTCATTTATATGAGCAAGTTGATTCAAAAAGTTATATGGAAAGGGACAAAACTCAGAGTAGCCAACACAATTCTAAAGAAGAAGAATAAAGTCAGAAGACTGATACCACTTGATTTCAACACTTACAACGACGCTGTATTATTGAAGACAGTGTGGTGTTGCTGAAAGTATAGATACACAGATGAAGAATATAAATTCATTGAGGGCATGGTTACCTCAACATTGCTTGGAAGAGTGACTGGCCGTGGATGCTTAATAACTATTTAGTTGGTGAAAGAATGAAGATTCCAGGAGGTTGAGAAAATTATTTTTTACAAGGCCACGTTTGATTTCCTGAAGCCATTAATTTAAACACATTTAAAGAGAACAGATAGCATCTCAAAATATAAGTGAATAGCCCATTCTCTTCCCAGTGGTTGCTCTCTGTTCTTGAGAGTTCATTCTACACCCACCCCTCCATCTTCTTTATCTCTGAGTGAGAACGATCTTTTCCTAAAGGGACTCAGGTATAAGTGGGAAGTGTAGTGCACACAGTCAGAAATTAGCCTCATTAGGGCAGCACTTTATAAAAAGTGGAGATTCTACTTAAATGTTTTTTTTTCTACTTAAATGTTTTTTGTCAACTCTCATCTTCCTAATCTTTATCTAGCAGTCAATTAGGGTCCTCAGAAAACCGGCATCTCTATGTAGCAAAACTTGAAAGAGCACTTTAAGTTTGGACTTTATAGGGACTGCAAAACTTTTTATTTAGAAAAATTGAACCCACCCTTTGGTGGGAGAACTATATATATAAATGACACATTGTAACACAAACACTGTCCAAAGGGTTTATTCCTAATTCAAAATCCCTTTCCTTTTGGTGAAGGAACTGGGGATCCAACTTGATCATTTATGGAAAGGAGGGGAACATAGCCAGTGAGTTGGAAAGGGATCCTGCAATCAATCAATCGAGCTAGATTTTTCTTTAGGGTGCTAGGAACTTGCTCTCACTTTTCACTTACCTCCTTCTATTTTTGTAGGTGGCTTCTTGCTTTTCTGGACTCTTATAGGGTTTTTAGGCTTTGTTCCTGCTCAAAGGCTGAATTTTAAGAAATATATCATAGATATAAAAGAATACATATCTAGCAGTTATGTATGATTTAGAAGCTCTAAATTCAGTTCAGCTCACATGCCGCAGTTGTCCTTGTCAGTGGTAGTGGGACTAGAGTATTTACGCCTTCACACTAATCAGTCATTCCTTCTGGGTTGCCTCCAATGAAGTGCAAATTTCCAAGTAATTTTGCATCTCCTGTGTAGGTAAACCACACTTCAGCATCCTGAGGCAAGCTCTCTGGGAAAGAGAAGCAGGAACAGGTGTTTGAATTTCGTGAAAACTTACTTGAAGCTATTGTGCATAAAAGTCTGATAAGAGGCCAACCACGGTGGCTCATGCCTGTAATCTCAGCACTTTGGGAGGGTGAGGTGGGCGGATCACTTGAGGTCAGGAGTTCGAGACCAGCCTGGCCAACACGGCGAACCCCGTCTCTACTAAAAAATACAAAAAAAAATTAGCCAAGCACGGTAGCGCATGCCTGTAATCTCAGCTACTGGGGAGGCTGAGGCAGGAGAAGCGCTTGAACCTGGAGGGTGGAGGTTGCAGTGAGCCGAGATTGTACCACTGCATTCCAGCCTGGGTGACAGAGCGAGACTCCATCTCAAAAAAAAAAAAAAAAAAAAAAAAAAAAAAAAAGTAAATAAATAAATAAATAAAATCTGATGGGGGACATAGGAGGAACACTGAAAGGATGTGGTACAGCTCCCATCTGACAGATGTTTTTAGGTTTGCTGCTGTGATGTTAGTGAAACCCACATCCCCAAATCCAAACTGCATTGCATTTGAATTGTCTGTCTCTTGAGCTTTTCCTTTGTTTGGTATACTTATCTATATTTTTAGTTTCTATTTGTTGAGTAAAGTTTTGGTTTTTCCCATTGGAATCAATTATTCCCCCTTAGAATGGAAAAGAGGCCTGTTTTACTGTTAGCGATATCCTTGCTTCCTCCGTCTTTGCTCTTCCCATTTAGAGCTGCAACCACGACTCCGTCCCACTTACCCTGGCCCTGTTCCATTTCTGACGAAAACTAGCAGTTTTCAACAGATCCCGCCCCCCTGGAGGACTTGGATGTCTTCTTGCTGTTCCTGGCCTCCCGTTCCATATGCCTGAGATAGTTGGGTGGCCTACATTTTATCATTTTACTTGTCCTATCCATTTGGGCCTCATTTGTAGGGTTGTGTTTCTGACTGTGCTGATTGTCCTCTGTTCGACATTCAAATGCAGTCTCTGCACTTATCTGTCCTGCACTGTCCCCTGGGAGTCTGGCTGATCTGAACTGCATTAGCAGACTTTCTTGCCCTTTGTCTTAGTGAACAATGCAGGGAAAAAAAAAGCAAGGCAGGATATTTATTCCTCCGTCCTCTTCCTGTGGGAGTGCTGTGGACCGCATCCATCCACCAGGAGTCACATTCATGCCAAGTGAGGCCCTCCCACACAGCTCTCTCCTTGTCCACTTCAGCCTACACATCGTAATGGTGCCTCCTTTACTAGCCCTGCACTAACCCTGTGATTTTCCTACATCCCACTGACAACACTGTAAACCATATGGGTTTATTCTGTTCTGTAGATTCTGCACCAGAGAGCTGAGCTGGTGAACCAAAAGATCCATTTTCCAAGCTCTTGTCTGGCCAGTGTGGGTATACTCGCCTACTTTACCAGGCTGTAGGATAGAGGCACAAAGGAAAGATGAAGATTATGATCAGCAGTTACATATCTCTCTTCTCTGCTTGCTCATGGACAGAATGGTGGAGTAGAGTTTCTTGTCCATGCTCTAAATTCAGGAATCTCATCCTAAGTTGGAAGTGCTGGTGAATTGCTTCAGAGCAGTGTTTCTCTTTCTCAAAGTTATCTACGGTGCAAGCAGGCTTGTAATATAGCTCCCAGAGACATCCCAAATAGGGTAGGATGTCTCTGAAGTGTTTTTGATTTGAGAAACATTTTGTTAAGCTATCTAAAAAAATTATACCCAAATATCCTGAGCTCCCAGATCGCAGTTCACATCACTAACTAGTACAGGAAAATAGATGGATTGAGGGGAAGCTATGTTTTTAAACTTTCTATTTACTTCTTTGGGGCTTTAAAAAATTAGATATTTCGCACTCAAACACAAGGAGATTTGAGTTATATTTATGGAATGTTGGGAACAAGATTTTACCTGTGGCTATGCATATATGTGAGATACATGTTTCTATATTGGTCCATAAGAGGAAATATGACTTCGTGCAAATAAATCCTGTGAAGGGGCTGATCTTTGGTTTAAAGCAGATGATTCCATTCCTCTTTGAGTGGAAACCTATCTTTCCATGCCCTAGGGGAGCACAGAATGAAAATAATTCTTTCTTGCTCACATTTCCTTCCTTACTCTTTCTAAAGGGGTTGTTATGCTCCCGACTGCTAGGACTGGGAGACCAAACTGAGCATGTGATGTGCTCTCGCCCAATTTGTAGGGAAGTGATTGTAGCTGGGTTTGTAAAATTACTCTGTGGCGTCAGAAGGCATTAGAGAATTCTATTGTAGTTGCAGATCCAAGCTCTGCCTTCCAATCAACTTTTACCCACATTAAATCACCTCTTTTGATCTCCTTTTGACTACTGTATCTTCTTTCTCCATTAGTTCTCCCCTCAGAGTGCTGAATGGAGACTGATTGTCCCTGTTACCATTCCTCTCACCCAAATATTCTATCGACCTCTTTATACACTCAGTGATTCATCCCCTAATATCACTTGCTTTTCCCCAAATGTGTAGGGTTTGGGACTCTGGTCATTCCTCTGCCTGGAAAGGTCTGCCCTCTCCTCTACTGGTCAGCTTCTACCTATCATTCAGGACTCACAGCAATATGTTCCCAGCATAACATAAACCTGACCATGTATTTCTATAGTAACAATGCTGTTACGAGACATGGTGTCTGATGGGAAATTTAGCGTCAAATAAAAATATGATCAATGATCTGTCCTAAAAGCAAAAAGATACATCATATACAATAAGCAATAATTATTTTATAATCAAAATCAGATCTCCAATTTTATAAAATGAACAATAAACTACTTCCTGTATTGATTACATAGGGCACCTCAATAGTTATTAACCTGTAAATCATAGCCCATGAAAAATAGATCTTCGTCATAACATAGACCATTTAAAATCTAAATGCCAAGTATATTCATTTTAATTAAACATTAAATTAATAACTATGTCATTAGATTTAATAAGCATTAACAAATTTGGTGGATTAACTGATGGCTATTATTTTACAAAACTGTCCAGAAAATGTTCAGTTGATATATATGTATATTCAATATATTACCTCTGTGTAGCAAATGAACTCTTTTTATGTTTATTCTATCATCATGAAAGCATCAAAGTTTGACTTACTCTTTTGATTTCATTTTTAAGTTTGGGGGTACACGTGCAGGATGTGCAGGTTTGTTACATAGGTAAATGTGTGTCATGGTGGTTTGCTGCACCTATTAATCCATTACCTAGGTATTAAACCAAGCATGCATTAGCTCTTTTCCCTTATGCTTCGATAAAAGACTTACTCTTTTAAGAAATACCCATTGTTATCAACAGCAGATGGATAAATTACATATTTATACTTAGCGTAAGTGCAGCAATAAGAAGGAATGTTCTACTGCATCACCCAACATGGAGGATGCTCACAGACATAAGGAATCAGGCATAAAAAGCTATGTATTAAATGGCTCCATTTATATTAAGTTCAAGGACGGGGAAAAGTAATTGTACATGATAGAAGACAGAAAAGACTGGGAACGGGATGAAGGAATCTTCTGATGTGTTGGAAACATTCTGTACCTTGAGCTGGATAGACATTGATTTGGACACTGGAAATTCCTGCATTTTACCTTTTTTGTTCCTACATTTTATTCCTGCATTACATACAATCTAGAGTGCAGGAGTGTATGTATGCATATCTTACAATGATAAAGGGCTTAAGAATCCCACCAAGAATTTTAGGTGTGATCAGATGAAGAAGGGCGGTCTTCAGAATCTGATCTTTTCATCCACTTTTTTCCCTCAAACTCTATCAAAAGCAGCCTGGAAGGTTTAAATACATCCAAACAGCACAGTTTTTGTTTGTGTGTGTGTGTGGGAAGCAAAAGGAGGGTCTGTCACCCCGTCACTAAGGTGATGATGTATGGGGTTCATGGGAAATCACTGGGGCATGAGAGAGCTGCTGCACAGCCTGGACACTGGCCTCCTCCCACCCCTTCCTCAGCCCTGTGCCAGGCCAGCTTCCACTGTAACCAGTCAGGGTTCTTAGGTGCAAACAACTGTATATGACGCTGGTTAACTTGCGCAAGAGGAGAGTTTATTGGAAGGAAATGGGCTATTGGAAAGAACTAGGTTTGAGAACAGGCAGGATTCAGGAGAAGGCAGACAGCTGGAAACACAGCCAAGTCACACCGCAAACTGTCAGGATGCTGACGGGCACAACCAACACCACCTCCACAGGCAGCTGAGCACTGCTGGCAGCAGTCCCATCCCCAAATCTCACCACACTCCAGAGCTGTTGCTGGAACATGTTGCCTCTGCCTTCTCCATTATGAACTCTGCATTTCTTCAGAGACATGGTCATGAGTGGAATCACCCAAGTGGCTGAGGCTGGGTCATGTGTTCGATGGTGGCCGCTTCCATCACGTGGAATCAATATTTAAAGTCTCACTTGACTATGCCTGTCTCAAAGTCCAGGTACAGAGGGAGGCTCGCTTTTCCCTCCTCAATCTATGTAGGGCTATCTTTCTCAGTGTTGGCTTTTGTTTGAGAGTCTATGTCTCCCTTGGGAGACTGACACTGCCAATGCCTTTGACTTTGCATAAGAAATCCTACTACCTAGCAGCGTTCATCATTGTTCTCACAGTAAATGAGGGAGTCAGAGTTTGAAGTAGCTTGGACTGGCCTTAAAACCTATATTTTTGCACTGAATGATATTGCTGTATCATTTTAATTTCTCTGAGAACAAGAGAACTAATTATTGCCTGGATCCCACCTTATAACCACAACCTACTAATCAGTTGTAATTTTAATCTGTTATAAGTTTGGTTATATTACAGCCTGGTATACTGATAATAGCATACTCTTCTCAGATATAGTAGGCATGAGTTTGTAGCTCTGCTCTTTTACTAACCAGATGTATTGGAGCTAATTATTTTACTATATTAAACTCAGTTTAGTTCCTTGTAAAATAGGAATAATGCCAGTCTCATATGGCTGTTATATTAATGTATGTAATTTATGGAAAGCACTTTTCTTAGTGTCAGATACTTCTTTTCAGTTGATTTCCTTCCTTTCTAAAGGAAATATGAAGTTTTATATTCGAAATTAAATTTAGTAAAATTTATTTTTGAAGTACTATATAATAGGTAAGAACATAAAAGGAAGCCACTTCTTGAGTTGCACACCAGTGACAGGTAAGTTCTCTTTTCCCATTTAACAGACAGAGTAACTGATGCTTAGAGACATTCGGTAACTTGCTACTTACAGCTAACATTCCAGAAAAGTTGTGGAAATATTATCATATGCTTTTTCTTTTTTCTTTTTCCTCCCTTCTCATAGAAACACTTTTGCAATTTTTCTGCCCTTCCCAAGCCTGGCAGAAGTCTTAAAGTTTACTCTGTGGGGAGTTTGAATCAGAGGACCCCTGGACTCTGGATACAAGGCACAGTTGAGGGTAAAGGGACTGAGCTCAAAAGACAGGGATTATGTGAAATTCTTGGAGTTAATCACTGAACTCTCTTAATATGGCTGGCATCATTATTAAGGCCACTCTCTCTCTACCCCATAAATTAGGAGACTGTGGTCTCCTTTCTGGGGAGACTTACCAGCCTATAAGTCTGAAATTGGTGTTCCTCCAAAAAATAGCCCACATGAACCATGATGAGTGACATCCTTCAGTTTCCATGCATGACACAAGCCCACTGAGTGGCTATCAACATCTATAGTCATTTCCCAGAAGGAGAAATTAGAGAAAACTAATGATATTCTTAGTTTTGAGAAAACATTTAGGGATCATGGAGCATTTGAAGAAAGATTACAAGATGAATAAAAGAAACTCGAGGCAGAGAATGTTATGTGCATTTACTGTCTATCTAATGGCATGAGAATCTTGAGACTGCTGATCTAATGTGGCAGACCGGAACTTATCTTGTCCTGACCAGTCTGATCATGTTTGTGGTCACTGGGAAGTTCCTACATGGGATGACCATGAAGGTAGCCTGCCTGTTACTGAAGTTACTGGGAAAGAACTCCTGATAGGAAGCTCTGGAACAAGAACACTCTTTTCCATCAGCGCTCTGCAGGAATGGAGAATGAGAGCTGCAACACAACCAATAAGGAATTTTCTGGAGACCATGCTTCACTTCTTTAGAAACTTTTGCATCTGGCAGGCACTGTCTGCCACCTCCTGTGCCCAGGTTTTCTGGTGGGGCTCTGCTGAGCCATGGAAAGAATTGGAACAGCACTCTGCCATCTGCCCCAGGCCAGCCGAATGCACTGACTCTGGATTCGGCTCTGGGAATTCTTCTCCTTCCACATAGCTACTGAACCAGACAGGCCAGCCGTGGGTGGCATCAGCTAACCTGAATTTTGGCATCAGGTTCTTATAGTTTTGATGTTGATATCTACCCTGGGATAGGTGACATCTTTTAGAGGATTTATGGCCTGGATTTTGATCCTAGATGCAGGCTGGGGGTGGTCTTGAAGGAAAGGAGAAGGAGCAGGAAGAAAGCCTTTGGGATTGGTTTCCCATTATCATTTCCCACAAGGAGAAATTACAGGAGCTGATGCATTCCTCATTTTGTGGTGAAAAAACAGGTGACATGAGGTTGGGGCTCCCTCCATGGATAATTCAGTATGCAAATCACATCACAAGAAAAAAGAGGGCCAGGTCTCCCAGCTCGCTGTTGTTCCACATTCTCTCTCTCTCTTTTTTAAGAGTTTGTTTTTTTTCAGAACAGTTTTAGGTCACAGCTAAATTGAGAGGGAAGTGGAGAGAGTTCCCACATACCCCCTACCCCCAACACATGCACAGCCTCCCCCACTATCATCATTCCCTAACAGAGTGGTAGGTACATTTGTCACAAAATTGATGAAGCTGCACTGACACCACATTATCATCCAGAATCTGTAATTTACAGCAGGGCTCACTGCCTGTAGTACATTCTGTGGGTTTGGACAAACATATGATGACATGTATCCACCATTATAGTATCATACAGAGTAGTTTCACTGCTCTAAGAATCATCTGTGCTGTGCCATATTCTCTGTAGTAAGATTTTGTAGTGGATGAACAAGTTGAGAGCTCCAAATTATACATGTAATAATGGTTTGGATGGGGTTTATAAGGAGATGGAAAGGAAACTAGAGAAGAAACAGAAATAACATTTATTCAGCACATATTACGTGCCAGGCAGTGTTGGGCACCAATCATGTGTAATTAGAGCTTTGGAGGTGGGGAACAGAAAGCCACTCAGAGAGAATAACGCTTTGCTTAAGAACTTTTGAAGCTCTGGGCCCTGAAAAGATTATTGTGGCCCAAATTCCAAGATCCATATGATTTAAAATGTTATTTTTCAAGGTAATAAAAAACAAACCTGAAGATAAAATACCTTATTTCTAGGTCTTTCATTGAATATTAGGGAAACGAAAATAATTCATGTTAACTTTCTCACAGTTTTTTGGTCCCTTCTTTTTTGGTCTCCAAAATACTTGTTTCAGACAAAGATTTTTTTGAACCGTGGGTTATAATTCAAAAGTGGACCACTAGGGACATCAAGGCGTCAGCAACAAGGGGAGGCCTGCTGCTAGGAACATGACCGTCAGACCCAGGGGCCACTCCTGGCTCAGCCCCTGGAGGTGGCACCTGTGTGGTAAGGCAGCAGGGCATCTGACAGTGTGTGCTCTGCAATTGCATGTGTAAGGAACATGATATTGCTGAGTGTGTGGCGTGCAGAGCCAGTCGGTTGCAAGCCCAGGATAGGCAGAATGAGGATGCAACAGCTTCAGGCAGCTGGCTCTGGGGAGAGGATGCTGGCAATTCCAGTCTTGGGAGGATCAGTGCTGAGAGCACGAGACAATTCTCCAAATACAGCAGTCCTCCCTTATCAGCAGCGGATACCTTCCCAGACTTCATGCCTGAAACCATGAATAGTTTTTTTCTATACATACATACCTATAATGAAGTTTAATTTGTAAATTAAGCACAGCAAGAGACAAACAACAATAACAACTAATAAAATAGAACAATTATAACAATATGCTTTAATAAAAGCCATGCGAATGTCTCTCTGTCTCAAATTATCTTATTGTGCTGGACTCACCTATTTTCTGACCATGGTTGACCATGGGTAACTGAAAGCAAAGCCATGGGGATAAGAAGGGACTACAGTATCCTGCCCATGCTGTGGGCCAGAACACTGATAATGATAGGGAGGTTTGCTCTTGAGTAGGTCGCTGGAGGAGGATGCAGACGCTGGCTTCACCGGGGACTGGTGCCAGGATGCTCTCCCTGGGCTGGCCCTGAATAGGTGGAGCCCTGTGGTTTTATGCTGCCCTCTCATTACTGAGGTGTGGGAGGTGGTGGGGAAGGGGAGTGCTTTGGGGCCAGGCCACCCATTTAATTGGAATGTGTGTGGAATTTGGTTTGAGTTTTTAAAAAATGCATTGAAGGCCTTCATTTTGTTTTTTGGGGGTGAAATTGGAGACACAAGACTCAGCTAGGATTGCTTCCCTTCATGGAACTCTTTGTCCCAGGGATGTTTAGCTCTGGGCCCTGATTAATTCCTCCAAACTGCCTTGCATTTGGTACAAACTTTATTTCTGTGACCCCAATCTTTTTCCAAAGTGTTTCGATATCATTGTTAGAATTTTCTTTTATACCCATAAGTCTTCTGGAAAAGTTAGGAGAGGCTTGGCCAGGTAGAATATTGAAAAGATGATGAAGTTTGAAAGTTAAAGGCAAAAGATCTCTACTTGAGTTAAAGAAGTTACATATGCGCCCCAGCTTCCTTTTACGTAAAATAGAAAAATAATACACTCTTCCAGGATTGTGAAGATTGATTAAAATATGGCATGAATTGATTTTAAAATATATCGTACAGTACAAGGGTCAACTCTTGCTTTCAATGTGGGCCACACCAGTGTCAACCTGTAGGTTTTGGACTTAGTGGGTCAGGGTGATAGGGTAGGCAGAAGTATGTAGAAATACATCCTAGAGGGCAGGAAGACAATTATTTACACAGGACACAAGATTTTGCAGTGAAGTGTATTCCTGCCCTGATCATACGGAAGAAACTCTCTCTAAAGGGAGGAAGTTGTGGGCAGACAGTGGAAGGAAAAGATCTGAAGCTATTTTTAAGGAGCTATTGAAATTTGAAGTACACGTTTATGGCAAAACCAACAAGCTCAGAGGAAATGGATTACCAATTGGCTAAGAATTTGGTAAGTAGAGTAAGACAATTTGGATTTGCTTCCTGGGGCTATCACTTCTGTAAATGCCAGAAAATTACCAATCTCTGTAAATATTAGTTTCCTCATTTGTGAAATTAGTTAGTAACAGAATCTATTTCATTAAGAAATGAGTTAAAGCATATAAACAATAACATCTGGCTTGAATTAAGCATCCAATACATGTTAACGATTCATATAATTAGTATGAATTTTAAAAAGCTCAGCTCTTATTTATTATTAGCACATGTCAAAATTACATTTCATTTATTAATGAAGCAGCCACCAGGAAGACAAAGAAGCTAGTTCTAAGAGCATTTAAGGTATGAGGACATACCTACAAGATTTTATATATGTATCTACAAAATCAAACACATACATGCACATAGTTAGAAAATCATGCTGAAATAAGATCGCTTGTTAGATATGTGAATGGTTAACGTCCTACAGAGCAGTACAACCATACTCCTTTTAGAGTTAACTCTATTGAGCTATACAAATTATAATGACTTACCAATTTATGCAAAACTGTTACCTTATAAAGTTGTAAAATGTCTTGCCCTTTATCAGTTGAAATATCACAGGACTTTTGACTGAAGAGTTTCAGATTAAAGTCAAACAGATATTTTAGAAAGTGATCTAGCTTGATATTCAAGAATCAATGATCTTATTTACATTTCTCTGTATGGGGGTAAAATTTTATTTAACATCATTCAAAGAATTTTTTGAAGATACTGAGCAGAAATGAGATACTAAAGATACTGAGATACAGAGATACTAGACGATACTGAGTGGAAATGAGATAACTGATGATAGGAGATAAGGAAATACCGAAGGGAAAGAAGGAAAAGGAAGGACTGATTAAGGTGAAGGCCTGGGGTGGGTGGCTGGGGTCAGTATATCCAAGGAACATTTGGTCAGAACCAGGGTAGAGAGCAGACTGAGAAAAAGTAATTTACTTCTGGACTGCCAGGAGTGAAGTATGACTACTAGAAAATTGGAAGGAAAGCCACTTATGGTTTTGTAAATCTCCAGAAAGCTTCTTTCCTATATTGATACTGTATTGGGTTGATTAGCAACTCAAGATAATTACATCTGCAACAAAACTTACTCCTTAGTGTTTTCTGCATGGCAGCTTTTACATCCTTGTTTTTCAGGCTGTACATTAGGGGATTCGGCACGTAGATTACTGTAGTGTAGAACACAGAGGCCACATTCTCTTGGGCCAGGGAACTGGTTATGGCGGGTTTTAAGTACCTGAATGCAGTCTATCCATGGAACATCCCTATAGCTGCAAGGTGGAAGCTGCAGGTGCTGAAGACTTTGGACCTGCCCTCAGTGGTGCTGATGTGCAGGATGCTGAAGAGAATGAAGGTGTAAGAAACAAGAACTGTTAAGATCATGATTCTCAGGTTGAATCTAGCAAAAAAGAAGACTGCCATCTCAACATCATAGGCACTAGATCAGGAGAGTTTCATGAGAGGGAGGATGTCACAGAAGCAGCGACTGGTGAGGAGTTCACAATAGGGCAGTTTTAATATGAGCCCAGTCTCTATTGTGGAGACAACGAGTCCCATGGTGTAGACCACAGCCACCATCAGGGAGCAGGTGACATGAGACATGATGACGTTGCAAAGCAAAGGGCAGCAGATGGCAACATAGTGGTCACAGGCCTTCACCATCAGCATGTAACACCTAGCAATGACAAAAACCAGGAAAAAGTAGAACTATGACATGTACCCTGCATAAGAGATAATGCTCTTCTTTAACACAAAGTTCACCAGCATCTTAGGGTTAGTAATGGAGGAATAGCAGAGATCCAAGAGTGACAGATTGCTGAAGAAGTAGTACATGGGGGTGTGAAGCTGAGAGTTAAGACAAATTAGAGTGATCATGCCCAAGTTCCCCACCATTGTGACCATATGGATATCAAGGAAAATGAGGAAGTGAAAGAGCTGGAGATCTGGCTGCTTCGTTAATCCCCTGAGACTGAACTCTGTCACTATAGAATGACTTTTGACAGTCATTCTCCTCTGGGTGGGATGTTTGTAGGAATGGAAAAGAAGAGCCCTGTGAAAGGTCATATCTGAATTTACTTGTTGAAGCCAAGCAGGAACATCTGCCCTTGCTTGAGCAGTCCTGGACTCATTCCTGTTCCTTCTCTTTTCTTTCTTTTTTCCCTGTTCTTTTTTTTTAAGACAGAGTTTTGCTCTGTCGCCTGGCTGGAGTGCAGTGGCGTGATCTTGGCTCACTGCAACCTCCACGTTCTGGGTTCAAGTGATTCTTCTGCCTCAGCCTCCCAAGTAGCTGGGATTACAGGCGCATGCCTCCACGCCTAGCTAATTTTTGTATTTTTAGTAGAGACGGGGTTTCACCATGTTGGCCAGTATGGTCTCGATCTCTTGACCTCATGATCCGCCCACCTCGGCCTCCCAAAGTGCTGGAATTACAGGTGTAAGCCACCGAGCCGACCCTTCCTTCTCCTGTCAGTTGAACCAAGCAGAGTCTTCTTGATTTCAGAAACTAAGAACCTGAGAGGAAAAAGGGCCAAGACCTGAAGCTTTTACCACCTACAACAGTGACTCACAACCTTAGATGCCCATTGGAACTGTGTCCAGAATTGGTTCCTTCTGGTGGGTTCTTGGTCTGGTTGACTTCACGAATGAAGCCACAGACCCTCGCTGTGAGTGTTACAGTTCTTAAAGATGGTGTGTCTGGAGTTTGTTCTTTCAAATGTTCAGATGTGTCCGGAGTTTCTTCCTTCTGGTGGGTTCATGGTCTTGCTTGACTTCAGGAGTGACACCGCAGACCTTCACAGTCAGTGTTACAGCTCACAAAGGCAGTGTGGACCCAAAGAGTGAGCAGCAGCAAGACTTACCGTGAAGAGCAAAAGAATAAAGCTTCCACAGCATGGAAGGTAACCCCATCGGGTTGCCACTGGGGCTCAGGCGGCCAGGTTTTATTCCCTTATTTGGCCCCACCCACATCCTGCTGATTGGTCCATTTTACAGAGCGCTGATTGGTCAATTTTACAGAGTGCTGATTGGTCCATTTTTACAGCGTGCTGATTGGTGCGTTTACAAACCTTTAGCTAGACACAGAGTGCTCATTGGTGCGTTTTTTGAGTGCTGATTGGTGTGTTTACAAACCTTTAGCTAGACACAGAGTGCTGATTGGTGCATTTACAATCCTTTAGCTAGAAGGAAAAGTTCTCCAAGTCCCCACCCGACCCAGAAACCCAGCCAGCTTCACCTCTCGGAACCACCTGAGGAACTTTAAACATTACTGCTGCCAAGGTGCATCTCAAACTTTCTGATTTAATGGGTTTGTAGTATGGCCTGAGAATCAGGATTTATAAAGAGCTTCAGGTGATTCTACTGTGCAGCCATGTTGAGAACTTTCGGGCTACAATTTGATCAAATAGTGTAAGAGGTGAAAACCAGCCTATTTCATTAGTTGAGTTTGCTGATGTAACTTATTTCAGAAATTAATTCTCTCTTTTCATCTGGGAAATCCTCAAATGCATGCCAGGGTATAAAAAATATGGCTCTGCAATCCGAAATTCAGGTAATGGTAGCGTGGCATGGTTGATAGAGACTGGTATTTATATTTAAATAACTAGCCCTTGAATCTCAGTTTTAACTTTTACAGAGTAACAAGTCAATTTCCTTAGTTGTAAAGTAAAGAGAAATCATAAATTTAAGGTTGTTTTAAGGATTGTTTAAGGTAATAAATATGGAAATATTTTTCAATTTTTAGTATGCTTTTTAAATGTGGATTGTCATTCAGGCATTGGGTTTTATTTTCGACTTTTACCTGGATTTGTAGTTTGTGGTCCAATATAGTAGAGGACCCAGAAAATGTGGGGGGAAGTCAGATAACAACTAGAGCTGGGGGAATAAACTGGGGTAAAAGCGTTTTGTATTGATGCTTGAGCCTCACTTTAGGAAAGGTATGAGGATGTCAACATCACTGGAACTTGGCTAAAAGTAGTCAGATATTAAGAAAATCATTGAAAAACGTGCTTGTTTTAGACCCTTCTGTAGTATCTGTGCTGTGCGCAGGATGTCCTTAAAAAGACTTTTCAGAAAGGCTGTAGTATTTTTATCATCTTCTACTCACTCCGTTTGAGAGAGAAGGATTCCTGCCCTACGGTTACCAAGAGGGCTGAACACAACGACACTTGGCAATGGGCAGAAGTTTATTAGTTATTTATACTCATAGCCCAGGGGAGGAAAACATTATGCCATGCAGGGCTACACAGGGGCTGTACTAAGAAACAGGGTGAAGAACCAGGGGCTGTGGGAAAAGGCGTTGTAGTGTCAAGAGGGTGGGGCGGTGCTGGTTTTTATGAGACTATAGAATTGGTTTATTTGAATAGTTCTGCAGGCTAGCAGGGAATTGAAACTCTAGGACAGGCAGGGATAAGCAGGGGTATCTTCCTGATCCCCATGATAAAGAGGGTTGTTTGGCTAGTACATTTTATCAGTGGGACCAGAGTCCGGAGGGGACTTGCAATGAGGCCATTTGAGGCTCTCTTAATTTCCCCCAAATATCAATGCATCACATAATGTTGGGCCTTAATTTTAGGCCTTATACCACATACCACATGCACATATTCACAAAAAGCCACATATGTATTCCCATTTATGCAAAGTTATGCATATATATGTGGGCATATATATTAAGAATTAAATTAAAAAATCAAAAGAAAGAGATGTAGCTCTTTGATTATTGATGCCAAATAACTAGTTTTGCTTTACATATGGTAACAAACTAATGAATGACAAGTTTTTAAAAAATCATAGCTGTTAAGTCAAGTTTTGGGTTAATAATCAACATCTATAATTCTGGTTGGATAGGGAGGTCATATCAAGAACAAAAAGATTGTGTTAAATTTGGTTGTTAATTTTGTATCTTGGAGAGTTGGCATAACTAAGCTGGGGATACAGTTTATTTTGCATGCAACATAGGAAATGAGAAAAATGTTCTCTGCTTTTTTTGGTGGCTAGAGCAGCCCAGATAATGTTAATGTCAGATGAAGACTAGGACTAGTGCACCTAGAAACAGAATATGGAGCTTTTGCAGATTGGGTGTTGGAGTGGGGAACACGCTTCCTCACTGGCTCTGCCTTTCTTGTGTACTCTTTGATGTTGGGGTCTCCAGGCTTCTGTCTGTCCTTGGTTTTCTCATTCTACTTGATTTTCCTGAATAATCTCAACCACTTTCATTGCTTTTTCTTCCCTCTATTTTTATACTGTTGATTTCTATTTCTAAATGTATACTTTTTTATAGTTTTCAACTTCAGGGTCAATTTATGCGTAACACATGGAAACCTGAAACCAACAGACATTATAGGTAGATGGCAAGGCTACCTGGAAAGAACTGGACCAAAACAAAAAAAGCAAGTTTAAGTTTGGCCTTTAGATATAATTGTTATCATTGTCTTTGTGACTTCTGACAACTTTATCTTCATTTCTCCTTTGCTATTGAATGACTAGAAGACATAAAAAAATACAAATTGAAACTTTCCTCTAAAAAATTACTTGATAGAATTGAACTGAGTGCTCTTGTCAAGTAGAAAACAAGAATCTAAGGGTGATAGATTTCTGGGCAAATGGGCAAGTGGATAGGGTTACCAATGATATCATTTTTATTTATTAGATATTATGATTTTAAAATATGACTGGCAAGGAAGGGTGTGAGTGGAAGACATCTTCTATAAAACTGGAGGATTATATGTGATACAGTGATTCCAAATGGATAAAAGTAAGCTGGCTGTCCTGAGGTGTTCGCATATTTTGAAATCTGACTTTAATTTCATTTTTTGAATGTAATCTCTTATTTATCTTCAAAACAAGAAAAAACAGGAAAAAAATCAGAAAAATTAAGAAAAATGCGATTAAAAACTAAAAATAGTATAACCAAAATAAAAATTAAGCTCAAATAGAAGAGTTGGAAAATAAAGTTGAGAAAATCTTTGATAAAGAAAAACAAAGAGAATAAAGAAATAGAAAGGTAGAAAGGTAGAAAGGTGAGTTCATTACTTGAAAATTAACACTTTATGAAAAAAATGTTTACTGCATTTAGCCTTAACAAAAATAAGTTTGAAGATATGTTCTAGGGGTATATGTTTGAGTGAAATACATTCTTGAATTTGAAAAATGAATAATAACATTGAGTGCTTAGCACACGATAAGTAATAATCTTATTCCTCTCTCTGCCTCACATTCTTCTCCAGTTCATTAAAAGCCAGCTTACTTAATGGTATCGTGATTATGTTAAAGGGAAAATAGGCATATGTATTAGAAACACATGCTGAATTATTTTTGTTTGAAATCATCTTGTATCTAGGACTTGCTTTGAAATGCTTTAGCCAAAAAATATGTATTAATAGAAATGTATGACACAAGATTGTTAAAATGAGGATAATCGTTGACATTTGGTGATGAATATATGGAGGTTTGTTATACTATAACTTTTGTATATGTTTGGAAAGTGTCCTAATAAGAAATAAGAAGGCAGCTAATGGTAAATAATCAAAAGAAATAACTTTGATAAATCAGTCATCGGGCAAATTGAATTGGCATCTGAAAAAGTATCCTCTCGGGATCTGTTGACTGATTGGATTATAGAGGGTGAGAAAACGGCAGAATGCAGGATGACATTCAGATTATAGGCTAAAAAAGTTATGCCTTCATTAGGTAGACAACACACAGAAGAACATTTTAGGGAGATAAATTTATTTTGCTTGGCCGAGTTTTAGTTTCCTGTGACATCTTCAAGTGGAGATGTTATTCTATTAAAGATATAGGACCCAAGTCGGACCTAGACATGCACATTTGGCAGCTGTCAATTGTCTAGCATGAGTTAATCTCATGCAGCATGGATTGACTGCATGTTTATCCCCAGAGCTTCCTGGGACATGATATTGAGCATTGGCCAATGCTATGAAGAAATATACATATTAAAGATAAATGATGTTCTATAACCCTGAGTCCATGAGCTGTTTTGGAGCAGGAAGTACTAGCTTACCAACATTGTCTAGAAATAATCATCGGAATATATTAATAAAATAATAAAAATAATTTCACCTGGTTTCATCAGAGCCTAGGAGGTTTCAATGGTTCAGGTTGGTCACATAGGTGGACTGTCTACAAGATCATCTCATAAAAGTAGCAGTCTTTGGACTTCTTGGTACCAAGAGGCTTCCCACATATGTTGGTGGTGGTTCAAGATCTGGTGGCAATGTGCATCTTGTGCAACACAGTGGTGAGATGGCACATGAGCCTGCTCCAGAGATCTCTGGATCCCTTCAAATGCAAACCCTTCTCCTGTTGTTGCTGTATTGTACACTTTACCCCTAATAAAGCTGTTTTGTGATCATAAATGATTTGAGTCTTTTGTAAGTTTTTTCAGCAATTGAATACTTAAGGCAATTAACTTAAAATTAACATATCAGTAGGTGATATTTGAGCCATAGGAATGAATGGAATTACTCCAGGAAATTATATGAGATGAGGAGATAAGAAAGATGAGGTTGGAAATTTGAGGAAGTTCAATATTTCATAATGGGCAGAGATGAAGCCATTAAGTGTGATGCATACAGTATCATAAAGCAGATAAGTCAGGTTTTGATATTTCTGTTTACAGAAGAGGAAATCTCAGATTAAAAAACATTTTGACTTTTCCAAGGCCACACAACCAGATCTTTAGACACATAAGCCTGGCTTCTTCAAGTATATCACATTGCCTCTTGATTACAAGTAGTCTTTAGAAAAAGGTTCCCTAGAGAAAGCTTTGAAAAAAGTACGTCAATATTTTACAGAGAGGTTTTGTGGTTTTCCTGACCTGTAGAGCTGTCAGAAAATAGCAGTCAGCCTCCACCATGCTGTAATTAGGATTTCTGAAACATCTCTATCCAACAAGGAAACTCTGTTGCTTTCTGTAAGATTTGTGAATCTTTATGTTTAAGGCTTACTCTTTTTAAAATCAATTGACATTCCCACGAATGCCTAGAATAACCCCCACTCCATCAAATAGCCTTTAAATAAGACCGTATCTCCTTACATTTTCCTTCTCTAGCACAATTTTGGAACATGATGTGCCTTTAATACACCTTGAAATCATATATTTTACATTGCGAGTCCTAGTATAATTTGCTTTTTATAGCACATATATTCCTGAGATGAATGTCACTTAAAAATGGATTCCTATTTTAAGAGCTCCAAACTGTGGGCTATGATGAAACTGAGCTCTGGGCAGCTCCTAACTTCAGAAGCCTTTGCAACTCTTTCTGTCACTGAGTAACTTTCCTTTCTTAGTCCTCAAAATATCAGGAAGCTCCTTTTCATCTGTAAATATCTTGATCCTGAAAGTCACACCCAATGGGCACATACCACCTAGCATCATTGTCAATTCAGTGTCAACATTTGCATATTCAAAATGTCAATTACACTTATAGTAAAACTAGTTATGTATAATCGACATTATTTACAAATCTTTTGAAAATAGGTTTAGCCACATAGCTATTTATAAAAAAATCTCTAAAAAGCTCCTTCAGTATTTGAAAAAATTAAATATATCCCTTAATTTATCATTTTTAAAATCTAGGCTTTTATTGAACCATATTTATATTTCTTTCTACTGAAACTAGTAAATATTAATGAACAATATATGCATTTATCATTGTGTTCCATGTTGGGAGTGTTAAGTTAAGTAGTATTTGAACATACGATATTTTTCTTTTTTAACTTACATTTTTAAAATTGACATAATTTACATATTCATGGAGCACATAGTGACGTTTTAATGCATATTTCAGATGAGGGTAAATAGCATATCCATCATCTCAAACATTTATCATTTCTTTGTGTTGGGAACATTTACTATCCTCTTTTTAGCTATTTGAAATTATAATTATTGTTAACTATAGTCATTTTACAGTGGTATAGAATACTAGAACTTATTCTTTCTAGCTAGCTGTAATTTTGTATCATTTAACAAATCCTTGCCTATCACCCCCTTCCTCCTACCTTTCCCAGCCTCCAGTATCCTCTGTTCTACTTTTTATTTCTTTGAGATCAACTATTTTCAGCTTCCACATATGAGTGAGAACATGTGGTGTTTAACATTCTGTGCCTGGTTTATTTCACTTAGCATAATGTCATCCAGTTCCATCCATGTTGCTGTGAATGACATGATTTCATTCTTTTTTATGGCTGAATGGTATTCCGTTGTGTATATATACCACATTTTCTTTATCAATTCATCTGTTGTTGGACACCTAGGTTGATTCCATATCTTGGCTATTGTGAATAGTGCTGCAATAAACATGAGGGTGCAGATGTCTTTTTGATGTAATGATCTCCTTTCCTTTGGATAGATTCCCAGTAGCAGAATTGCTAGATCATCTGGTAATTCTATTTGTAGTTTTTCCAGGAACTTCCATACTGTTCTCCTTAGTGGTTTTACTAGTTTGCATTCCCACCCCTGCATCCTTGCCGGCATTTGTTATTTTTTGTCTTCTTGTTAATAGCCATCCACTGGGGTGAGATGATATCTCATTGTGGTTTGGATTTGCATTTTCCTGATGATTTGTGATGTTGAACATTTTTTGTTATATTTGTTGGCCATTTGTATGCCTTCTTTTGAGAAATGTCTGTTCAGATCATTTGCTCATTTTTTAATTGGATTGCTTGTTTTCTTACTATTGAGATGCTTCAGTTCCTTGTATATTCTGGACATAAATTGTCTATCATATAAGTAATTTGCAAATATTTTCTTCCACTCTGTAGGTTATTTTTTCACTCTGTTGATTGTTTCCTTCACTGTGCAGAAGCTTTGTAACTTATATAATCTCATTTGTTTGTGTTTTTGTTACCTGTGCATTGGAGGCCCTATTCATAAAATCATTTCCTTTACCAATGTCCTGAAGCATTTCCCCCATGGGTTCTTATACTAGTTTAATTGTTTGGGTCTTACATTTAGGTCTTTGATCCATTTTGAGTTGATTTTTTTTTTTGTATAGAGTGAGAGATGAGGGTCTAGTTTCATTCTTCTGCATAAGAATATCCAGTTTTCCTAGTAGCATTTACTGAACAGACTGTCCTTTCCCCAACGAGTGCTCTTGGTGTCTTTGTCAAAAAATCATTTGGCTGTTGATATGTGGATTAATTTCTGAACTCTCTATTCTGCTCCAGTGGTCGATGTGTCTATTTTTATGCCAATCCCATGCTGTTTTAGTTACTACAACTTTGTAGCATATTTTGATGTCTGGCAGCATCATTCTTCCAGTTTTTTCTTTTTGCTCAGGATTGTTTTGGCTATTCAGGGTCTTTTGTGATTTCATAAAAATTTTAGATTTTTTTTCTATTTTTTGTGAGGAATGTCATTGGTATTTTGATAGGGATTGCATTGAATCTGTAGATTGCTTTGGATAATATTGTCATTTTAATAAAATTAATTATTCTAATCCATGATCATGGGATGTCTTTCTTTTTGTTTGTATCCTCTTGAATTTCTTTCATCAAGGTTTAGTAGTTTTCCTTGTAGAGGTTTTTAATTTCATTGGTTAAATTTATCTTTGGGTATTTTAATTTTTTGTCACTATTGCAAATGGGATTGCTTTCTTGATTTCTTTTTCAGGTAGTTCATTGTGTATAAAAACACTGCTGAGTTTTATTGATTAATTTTGTACCCTGTAACATTACTGAATTTGTTTATAAGTTAGAAGAGTTATTTTAGTAGAGTCTTTTCTATATATACATATGTCATCTACAAAAAAGGACAATTTGACTTCTTCCTTTGCAATGTGGATGTCCTTTATTTCTTTTTCTTCCATTATTGCTCTGGCTAGGACTTCCAGTACAATGTTGAATGAGAGTGGTGAGAGTTGGGCATCATTGTCTTGTTCTAGTTATTGAGAAAAAACTTTAAAATTTTCCCTGTTCAGTAAGATGTTAGCTGTGGGTTTGGGATATACGGCCTCTATTATGTTGAGATACTTTCCTTCTATATCCAATTTATTAAGAGTTTTTATCATGCAGGAACGTTGAATGTTATCAATAGCTTTTTTCTACATGTATTGAGATGATTATGTGGTTTTTGTCCTTCATTCTGTTGATGTGATGTATGATGTTTATTGATTTGTGTATATTAAACCATTCTTGCATTCCTGTGACAACTTGTCATTGGTCTGTTTAGGTTTTCTGTTTCCTCCTAGTTCAATCTTTGTAGGTTATATGTGTCCAGGAATTTTTGCATTTCCTCTAGGTCTTCAAATTTATTGGTGTGTACTTTGCACTATAGTCTCTAATGAGCCTTTATATTTCTGCGGTATTTGTTGTGACATCTCTTTAATTTCTAATTTTATTTATTTTGGAGTTGCTTCTTTTTTATTAGTAGAGCTAATAGTATGTCAATTTTGTTTTTTTTAAAAAAACAGCTGTTTGTTGATTTTTTAATATTTTAGTCTCAATTGTATTTATTTCTGTTCTAATCTTTATTTTCTTCTACTAATTTTAGATTTGGTTTGTTCTTGCCTTTCTAGTTCTTTTTGGGGAATTATTAGGTTGTTTATTTAAAAATTGTTGTAGTTTTTTAATGTAAGCATTTATTGCTATACACTTGTCTCTTAATACTGCTTTTGCTGTGTCCCATAGGTTTTGGTATGTTGTGTTTCTATTTTCATTTGTTTCAAAAAATTATAAAATTTCTTCTTAATTTCTTCCTTTGCCCATTGATCATTCAGGAGCATGTTGTTTAATTTATAGTTATTTATACAGTTTCGAATGTTCCTTTTGTTATTAATGTCTAGTTTTATTCCATTGTAATCTGAGAAGGTACTTAATATTATTTTAATTTTTTATAATTGTTGAAACTTGTTTTGTGTCCTAACATATGGTTAATCCTAGAAAATGTTCCACGTGCTGATGAAATAAATGTGTATTCTCTAGCTGTTGAGTGAAATATTTTGTAAATGCATTAGGTCCTTTTAGTTTAATGTGCTATTAAAATCTGACTTTTTTTGGTTGATTTTCTGTCTAGATGATCTGCCCAATGCTGAGAGTATGGTGTTGAAGTGTCCAGCTATTATTTAATTGGAGTCTTTCTTTCTCTTTAGATCTAATAATATTTGCTTTATATATCTGAATGCTCAGGTGTTGGGTGCATATATTTTTACAATTATTATATTCTCTTGTTGAATTGATCCCTTTATTATTACTGAATGGCTTTCATTGTTTCCTTTTTATCTCTTAACTTGAAGTCTGTTTTATCTAAGTATAGCTACACCTGTCTGCTTTTGTATTTTGTTAGCATGGACTATTCTTTTCAATCCCTTTACTTTCCATCTATGTATGTCTTTATGGGCAAGATGAGTTTCTTATAGGCATCATATAGTTGGGTCTTCTTTTAAAAAAAATATTGTTCAGTCAGTCTTTATCTTTTAAATGGGGGAATTTAATCCATTTACATTCAAGGTTATTGTTGATAGATAAGGACTTATTATGGTCATTTTATTAATTGTTTTCCATTATTTAATATAATGTTTGTTCTTTACTTCCTCTCTTATTTATTTTTGCAGTTGAGTGATTTTCTGTAATGATAAGGTTTGATTCCTTCGTTTGTGTACCAGCTGTATAGTTTTGCCTGTTTTTATGATGGTGGTTATCATCTTTTCACTTACAGATGTAAGATTCCCTAGAGCATTTCTTGTAAGGCTGGTCTAGTGGTGATAGATTCCCTTAGTTTTTGCTTGTCTGTGAAATATTTTATTTCTCCTTCATTTCTGAAGGATAGCTTTGCTGGTATAATATTATTGGGTGCCAGTTTTATTTCTTTCAGTACTTTGTATATATTATCCCATTCTCTGTTGGCTCACAAAGTTTCTGCTGAGAAATTCACTGTTAGGCCTACGGATATTTTCTTATATGTAACTTGATACTTTTATCTTGCTGCTTTTAAAATTCTTTCTTCATCTTTGACTTTTGACAATTTGACTATAATGTACTTGAGAGAGGATCTGTTTGGGTTAAATATATCTGGGGTCCTTTAAGATTTCTGAAACTGGATGTCCATTTATCTGCCAAGACTGGGGAGATTTTCTGATATTATTTTATCAAATATGACTTCCTCATATTTTTACCTTTCTTCTCCTTCTGAAATACCCATAACATGGACATTTGTTTGGTTAATGATGTTACATAAATCCTTTGATTCTTTTTTTTTTGTCTGCCTGTGTTTTTTCAAAATACTTGTCTTCAAGTTCAGAGATTCTTTTTTCTGTTTGGTCTAGTCTGTGACTGAAGGTCTTAATTGTGTTTTTTTTATTTTATTTATGAATTTTTCAGCTCTAGGTTTTCTGTTTGGTTCTTTTATAATATCTGTCTCACTGTTGAATTTCTAATTTAAATCATGAATCATTTTCACAGATTTGTTGAATTGTCTAGATGTATTCTCTTATATCTCGGTGAGTTTCCTTAGGAGAATTATTTTAAATTCTTTTTCTGGAAGTTTATACATTATGATTAGGGTCTGTTACTAACAAATTCTTATCTTCTTTTAGAGGTGACATGTTTTCCTGCTTTTTTATTGCTGATATGTCCCTGTGTTGATTTCTACTTATCTGGTGGAAAAGTCACCTTTTCCAATTTTATGTAGTAGGTTTCTTAGGAAAAGTCTTATTTGTTTAAATGAGTCTTGGGGTGACAGTTCAGTGGAATGTGTTGACCTTGGTTCTAGGTAAACCCAATAGTGTAGTCTCTGTATAGTTTCTTATAAATGAGTCTTGGGGTGTTGGTTCAGTGGAATGTGTTGGCCTTGGTTCTAGGTAAGCCCAATAGTGTGGTTTCTGTGTAGTTTCTTCAGCTGTAATCCACACTAGTGGCATTTGTGAGTTTCTTGGTAGCCTAGACTGAGAGAGTTTATGGCAGTGGTGGTACAGCTTTGCCAGGGGTGGGCTTGCTGGGCTGTTTCTCAGGTTAGGGACATGTGCATGCACTTGGTGGGCCAACTAACTCAGGGTCTACCTTGCTGCAGTTGAGGCCATGGGGCTGTTACTCTTGGCTGCATGGGAATGTGGTTGCTTGGCCAGCTTGGTGACATGTCTGCCAGAGGTAGCCCACAGGGGTGTTTCTCAGGCCCCAGACACAGTCACGTGGCTTCTCAGCTGTGGTGTGTGTGTTTGCTGGGGGTGGCCCACAGGGCTCTTCCTCCAGCTCAAGACATGGGTGTACAGCTGCTCATTCAGCCTGGGAGTGTGTCTACTAGGGGCAGCTCATGAGACTGTTTGTTAGGCCTGTGATGTGGGCACAAGTCTGCTTGGCTGGCCTATGGTTGGTTCCCAGGGCTCTTTCTCAGGTCCAGCACATAGGTACACAGCTGCTTTGCTGGCCTGGGAGTATGTATTTTCCCTGTAATGAGAAGTCCCTCCTGTTTCTGGGCCAGTCTGATCTGGACTGGGGAGACATGGATGCAGAGTCTGCCTTCTTGGATTTTCCATCATCACAGATGCATCTCCACTCCCTTGCTGCATTCTGGTGCTCTCACATTGACACTCCAGTCTAGTCTTGGCTGTTTATTCATTGTCTTGGTCTTTTCTTGTGGGAGAGATGACAGTCAGGTATCTCTAATCAGCCATCTTGCTCTGACTAGATTTTTAAACTAGATATGATTTTTTTTTTTCTAGAGACAGGGTCTCGCTCTGTCACCCTGGTTGGAATGCAGTGGTGTAATCATAGCTCACTGCAGCCTTCAACTCCTGGGCTCAAGAGATCCTCCTGCCTTAGCCTTCCAAGTAGTTGACTCTACAGATGTGTGCCACCACCCTGGCTATTTATTTATTTATTTATTTACTTTTAAGAGACAAAGTCTCTCTATTTTTCCCAGACTGGTCTCAAACTCCTAGCCTCAAATGATCATCCTGCCTTAGCCTCCTTAGTTGTTGAAATTACAGGCATAGCCCCCAGTTCCAAACATATGATCTTGACTTTAGTAGCTTATAACATAATTGTGGCTGGGGTAAGTAACTCCTAAAGCAGGATAAATTAGACTAAGTGGATAAAAAAGATGTGTAGTAATAATACTTCAGTAAGTCTATAACACTTTGTTAATTCGAAGCTACTTATTGAACACTATGATAGTTGATCCTCATACAATCTTGTATGCTAGGTGCTAACATATCTGATTTCAGATGTAGTTACTGAAGTCCAAATAGCGTAAGCTCGCTTGGCTAGTGGGAGACCTAAGGAGATCCCAGGTCATTTTGCTACAAAGCCTGCTCAGGGTACCATATTTGCCTTCTCTGACAAATTTACTAACAGTTTTCTCCTTCCCTTTTATTGATCATGGATAATTATATGGTTCCACCCTTTACCCTTAACTTGTAGTTTCTGCAATCACTTTTATTTACATGACTTCTCAATATGTGTCTTGATATCTTTTTCTCAGCTCTGATCTCATGCTGATGACTCACTACTGACCATTTGCTCTTACATGTACTTTCAGCACATGAAAGTCAGGTCTAAATTCTACCTCTTTATTTATCTCTTTACTTCCTTATTTCTAGGCCCTGGGGTTGAGACTTTAGTAACCTTTGACACTTGGTCTTCCCTCTCGATTCTTCCTTTATAACCATTAATCTAGCAAATTTATTAATCCTCTATCACTACAAATACTTGAGGCCTAAAGAGACAAGGTTGTCCCAACTAACAGATAAACAGGTTTGATTTTTTTAATTCAAGGAAATGTTCTTGTGCAGAGTAGGATAATAAAAGTAACCATTTAATATAACTCGTGAAAACTAATGGCATTAATATGTGTAAAGCATTTAGGATAGTTCCTAGCACATGGTCAGCACTTACAAAGTATAACATATTAGTACTAGTATTAGTATTCTTAATACTAATGATACTAAAATATGATTGGATGATGTTTTTTAAAATGTCAGCTTTGCACTTTGTGCAGATTACTCATTTTCTACAAATGACATAATGTATATAAAACTTTCTGCACAGTGGTTGATACATATGTGTTTATACATGGTAATTATTCCCCAACATAGACCTCCAAGGTCCCATCTAACTCTAGAATTCTATATTAAATACATATATAATTTATGCATAGGTTTGTATATCAATGAGTTGAAAATAATAAAAGTAAAGTCAGATTAAGTATAATGCAGAAACAGATTACTGCTGATATTGCTTTCTCAGGAGTGAATGAAGGCCATTTCAAATGAAGACCTTTCAGTTGCCATCTTTTTTCTCTGATCAGGTTCTGTAATTTCTTATGAAACTTGTACTTGGTCTTCTTGGTATGCTGTGATGGTTGCTGCAGTTGGGTCCAACCTTGTGCCACCAGAAGTCTGAGGGTTAATGTGTGTGTGTGAGAAACATTGTATTGACTCATATTCATGTGTCACATATGAAATCACACAAATTAGAATGTAATTTTGAAAAGTTAGGAAAAAATAGAAATAAATAAAACAAAGAAGCACTATACAGAAATCCAAGTTTTGGAAGGAGGGCAGTTCTGCAACAAAAGGAACAGAGTTAAGAATAGTTCTTCCTACACTGCTTCCTGCTTGGGCTTCATCTGCTCCTCAGGCAACAAGACTTTAGTAAAGCCCCAGTTGAGAGGATTTTGAAGAGTAGTTTCCATGGCAACAGGCTTTAAAATGACATACATCCAGAAGAACTTTTCTTGGTTGTTCTACCATCCAAACAGGAATCCTCTAAGGCTCCCAGAGAAAAGTCAACTTTTAATGAAGCCGGAGTCTTGCTTTCTGTGCCCTAAGGAGCACCTTTCCTGTGGGACTCATTTCATGCTTGTAATAATGACTTATTTTCTTAAATTGTGAGTTGACTACAGTGGGAATGAGAGCAAGGATTGAGGTTTCTCATAATCACTGAGGGAGTGGCAGATTTCTAGGTATAAGAGTTACACTTGAGGCATCTTGTTTCTGAGCAGTGACTAAAATACATTCCACATGTGGCAGAGGAGCAAGCTCTGAGGTATGTTCAAATGTTACCCAGCACTTATACACAAAACACACACACGTGTGTGCGCACACACACCCACTACACACACAGGACTGGAAGAAGGGTGGTAATTAGCTTGCTGCATGGAGGTCAGACAGCTGCCAATGGGGCTCTAATTGTGAAGCCACCACTTCAGCTGCCTTATCCTGACCAAAATGTACCTCTCATTAACTGAGTGCTGTTTGAAATTTCATAACTAGAGATCTATTTTTTTTTTGCTAAAGACTTTGTCTTCATTTTAAGAAATGCCTGGAAGAGGGTGAAGAATGTGGATTGTCCCCAGCAAGTTGTAGTAGACTGTGTGCTGATGAATTTGTGAGATTCTTCTTGAAAACTTAGTTTTGACAGAGAATTGAAGGAAAGTAGCACTAAGATTGTGAATGTTGGGGAAGAGGAA